>NC_000001.11:44402319-44705350 GCF_000001405.40 Homo sapiens
ATCTGTATCATCTATCTGTGAGAATGTGCACTGGATCTACGGGAACTCTCTAAGTTAGTCTGAGGGAGCCTTTTACTACTGATAAACATTAAAGTACTGACAACATCTTTTGCTATAAATAATAAAATCTTATTTAGGATTTATATAGAGTCTTCCTTCTGCCTTCATCCACCATACTAAAATGGCTAAATCCTGTTGATTCTACCTTTTAGATCTCACTGTAATGTGTCCCCTCCTCTCCACTCACTCTGCCCCAGTACCTTGGTTCAGGCCCTACTTCATCTCAACTGAATTACTTGAGATAGACTTTTTGATTGGCCTCCCTGCCTCTTGTCTAACCTCCACCTTGTCCACCCAGGAACTAGTGCTTGTTTTAAAACAGAAATCCTACCCTGTCACACCCCTAAAACCCTCTAGGGGTTTCTCATCATCTGTAGGATAACATCCACTTTCCTTAGCTTAGTATACAAAGCCTTTTGTGATTTGGCCCACTTCTCCTGCCTATCTCTTGCTGCTCAATGTTTCATATTTCAATTTTGAGGGAAATCAGTGGCTTATAATTCCTTTAACACACCAGGCAAGAGAGTTCTCGATAAATGCTTGTTAAATGAATGAATGAAATACCTTATGTAGCTAGGGTGACCATTCAATCTGCTTGGCCCAGGATGGCCCTTGTTGACATTTGTCATCCCAGTGTAATTATTAAAAGTGTCCCTTTTTTATCATCAAACTTGTCTCAGTTAGATCAATAAATTCTAAGGTCATCCTTATTACAGTGGTTATCAAATTGATTTCTAACTCTTTCTTTGTCTCCTCTACTAGATGGTGAGCTCTTTGAGGACAGGAGTTCATTTTTATATCCTCGTTTATTCATTCAACTAAGAGACTGATGCTGTAAGGTGCTTAGGGTATGATGTAGAATGCAACAAACATGGTTCTTGACTTCATGAAGTTTACAATCCAGCAGGAAATAATAATTTAGTGGAAAGAATAGAGCCTAACATAATAAATGCTGGTGTATGAATGAATGATTAAACATGGATTAGAAGTTCCTCAACAGGCCAGGCGTGGTGGCTCACCCCTGTAATCCCAGCACTTTGGGAGACCGAGACAAGCGGATCACTTGGGGTCAGGAGTTTGAGACCAGCCTGGCCAACATGGTGAAACCGTATTTCTACTAAAAATTATTTGGGCATGGAGGGGCATGCCTGTAATCCCAGCTACTTGGGAGGCTGAGGTAGGAGAATCGCTTGAACTCGGGGCGGAGGTTGCAGTAAGCCAAGATCACACCACTGCACTCCAGCCTGGGCGAGAGAGTGAGATTCCATGTCAAAAAAAATAAATAAATAAAAATAAAGTTCCTCAACAAATAATCCTGATATCACGAATTATAGAAATAGTTGTAAATGTAGAACTCTAAGTGATCAAATTAACAATTTATTTAGAGTTGCCAATTAAAATTTTAAAATACCAACAGCACACATATACATAAACATACTTAATATTTAGATGCTACCTTAATGTTAAACATAAGTAAAAAGGACAATGAAATAATAGCAAGAATGAGATTTTGAGTCTCATTCTTTTTAGACAATTTATAATCCTATGTGGTTCTCTGTAAAGTGGATTATCAGTGTGTACTCCATTTCTCCCCACCCTCCCTTTTTTTTTTCCAGATGAGAAATCTGAGGTTTTAGACACTTAACTACAAAACAAAAGAATGACTTTTTTTTTTTTTTTTTTTTTTGTCACCCAGGCTGGAGTGCAATGGTGTGATCTCGGCTCACTGCAACTTCCGCCTCCCGGGTTCAAGCGATTCTCCTGCCTTGGCCTCCTGAGTAGCTGGGATTACAGGCGCATGCCACCACGCCCGGCTACTTTTTGTATTTTTAGTAGAGACAGGGTTTCACCATGTTTGTCAGGCTGGTCTTGAACTCCTGACCTCTTGTTCCGCCCGCCTCGGCCTCCCAAAGTGTTGGCATTGCAGGCGTGAGCCACCGCGCCCGGCCAGGAATGACTTCTTAAACCAGGATTTGATTTTGGTTGAACTTTGCTTTCAGAACTAGAACTACCTGCTATCCAAGACTTGTTAACCACGTTTTCATGGGCAAATTACAAAACCCTTTCAACCCCAGTTTCCTCTTCTATAAACTAGTGGTAATATTATTATCTCCAGAATTAATCTTAGGAGTAAATGAAATTATGTAAAGGCATTTAGTCTCATAACCGGGCTCCTAGAAAGCACTCAGGAATGTTAGTTCTCTATCCATTTCCCCTGTTTATCTTTGTGTTTGATGAATTATAGGATGATATGAAATGATCTGAAATGAACTGTAATATAAACATCAATAAAACACCAATAAAAAATTTTATTCTCACATCTGGATGCTATACTAGGCCTTCACCTCCTCCAAAAGTTACAGTTTTATTAATATTCATTTATTATTTATTATTATAGTCAAAGACCCAGAGAAGCATTCCAGGAACAAAGCAGCAGGTAAGATTTTTCTGGGAAAAGACAGAGATTTTGAGGGACCCAGGATTTGGGGGTCATTTAAGCAGCAGTGGATGTCAGTCTTCAAGCTTTGCCCATTTACTCTTGGTCCCTTTTGGTTCAGGAAAGGAAGAACAACAAGCACGAAACCATTCACTGAGACCTTTGCGGGTGGGGGAGGAGGGATGTAAACAAAAGCCAACGCTCTCTTTAGTTCACAATGGCTCGCGACCCCAAGACTTCCAAGCTCTTTGGTGAGGGCCAGCAGGTCTGTTCTCCAGGAGTGCCCTGGGTCTGGACTTCATTTCCCAGAGTCCCTTAGTGCCCTAATGTATTCAGTGCTCAGAGTGCCTGTATGTGTGTGAGTGTGAGAGAATGTGTGCGTGCGTGTGTGTGTGCGCGCGTGTGTGTGTCTCCGAGTCCCTGGGAGAGTGGAGGCTCATTCACTGATTAGATCCAGCGCTGAGAGGCAGCACTGCTCCTTCTCTCACGCCAACTGAGTCTCTTGATCTGTACATGCAATCCCAGGCAGCTCGCGAACACAAACCCGGGGCCAGCCGCCTACTGCTGCTGCTGCTGCTGCCGCTGCCGCCGCCGCCGCCGCCGCTGCCTCCGCCGGCTCTGCGAACCCGGGACTTTTCATGCACCACACTCTCCGCCTGCTTCCCTCCGTGTCCTGAAAAGTGCGACCGTTCTCCCAAGGAATTTCCACGGCAAGTATGGAGATCAGAAAGGGGTGTGGACGTGTGTGCGTACCCAAGAGGGGTGGGTGCGAGGGCGGCCGGCTTGTTCAGGAACCTGGCTAACTTTCCGGGTCCGTTTCCTAGGGATTCGGGCGGTTCCCTCTGGACGGGGGCAGGGACTGGGACTCGGACTGGCGCGTCTTGGATCATCGCGACGGAGCCTCTCGGCATCGGCGCCCTGCGCGCTCCGTGCGCTGCCTCGCTCAAACTTTCCGTCTTGAGTTTTCCTTAATGTGTTTTATTTGGGGAGGGGGGGAGGTGCAAGGGGGAGGGACCAGACGCGGGAATTGGACAAGTTGGGAGGGTGAGGGCACTGCAAGGGAAGGGAGCAGGACTTCTTTTCTCCGTCTCTTAATAAGCCCCATTCCCACTTTGTTCGGGTCGATATCGAGAATGCCTTCTCGCCGGGCTCTCTGGTGCACCCCCCGGTGATTTCCGGGCTCCCCTATGTACCCCGCGTTGATTTCCGGCGAGGCCAGGGCTGGGTGGTACTCAGTGGGGAGCCCGAGGCGGCGGGCGGATGGAGAAGGGGCGAGCCGAATGAGAAACTACCCCGACAGCCTCCACCCCACACACAGCCGGCTCCGCGGGATACCCGGGGAGTGGCTGTTTAGCCCTGGACCCCGGGTGCTCGGCTGACTTTTTCCTAGCGGGGGCGGGTGTGAAGGGTGTGGAGGGAGGGAGGTGGGGTAGGATGGATGGATCCTCTGCGGGCAGGAAGGAGGCAGGTGCTAGCATAGAGGCGGACCGTTCTAAACGCCACCGGTAAACTCCCCACTCCTCTGGGCTGGACCGGCCTGGCCGTAGAGTAGCCCGACACGTGGGATCTCCCGGGATTTTCGGGGTCGGGACCCCCTCTCCCAGCGGTTCTACTGAGCAAGGCGGGAGGACGATCGTGGAGACGAGGGCTACTTGACTACTCTACTTGTAGTTTTATTTTTATCTTAGACCTGCCTTAAACTGAGTAACAATTTCTCTTCTGACTTAAGAACAAAACTTTTCAGTGAGCACGCCGGTCGCTGCGGTCCTGCGGCCACTGCCGCCGCGCTTGTCAGCCCGGGCCGAGCGACCTTCTCTGCCCGGAACCCAGCCCCGCCACCGCACTCCGGAGCCTCCGGCCTCCCCCACCCCACCCCCGCCCCCCAACCCGGGGCTTTTCAGGGCTCGGCCTGGGCGTTTCGCCTTTGTGCTTTGTAAGAGAAAGCCTTTTCTTCCAGGGCACAACAAACTTGGGCGGAGAGCTTCCGTGTGGCCCCCCGGGCGAGGCCGCCCACGGTGGTGAGGCCATCCGAGGGGATGCCCGGTTCATCCCCCAGTCCAGGAGCCTCTCCGAGAGCTCGCGGCCCAGGTCGACCCCAGCTGGCGAGGGCGCGCAGGAGTCCCGAAGTAGCGGGGACTAGGGCAGCCAGGAGGCAGGGGGAAAGCTCTCGCTTCCCGTTAAGCACACCCTGCATTCTCGGGTCGTGGATGCAGCTCCAGCGGAGAGCCCGTGTTCCGGCCCTGAGCCAGGCGCGCGTCGCACTGGGTGGGTGCATGGGGCCCGGGCCATAGGTGTGGGGGCACAGCCCTACCTGGCCGGCCCGGGTCGTCTGGGGTCTGCGCCGGCCCACTGGCCCGGGAGCCGCCGAGGGGGAGAGCACCGCACTCGCTGCCCACGACGCCCAGCAGCCACATCTTGCCTCTCGCCTCCGCTCCGGACTCGGCTTGAGGGGCAAAGGGGAGAGAAAGGAAAAATAAAGAAAAAAAAGGGCGGCAGTGAGGAAGCAGCGAGGGGACTGGGGGGAGCAGAGTGGGCAGGGGGGCTTTGCCTTGCCTGGCCTCCTCTTTCCGTCTCGCGGGCTCTTCCTGCAAAGGGGAATGAGCAGAGGGGGGAAAGGCAGAAAGAGCGTCGAGGAAGAGCGGTGCTGGCGTCTTCCGTGCCGATCCCTCCTGGCCCGCAGAGACCCGGCAAAAGTGGCGTGAGTTCGCTTGCTGCGCTTCGAGGCAAGGCTGGGGAAGGCCGAGGACGGGGCGGCGCCGCGTCGCGCCGCTGGTGGCCGACAGGGCCGGGGCCGGGCGCGGAGCGAGCGGGGACACACACCTGTTCTGCGAGCCGCGCGGTGTGCGGCGGCCGGACGGCCGCGGTGCGGGCCGCAGAACCCTCCCTCCCGCACTGCGCATCCGCAGTCCAGGAGCTGGAAGGGCCCGGCAGCCCCGCGCCGGTCCGTATTTGCAGGAGAAGCGGGAGTGGAGGAGTCCGCGGCTGCCCGCTGAAGCGGTGGTGCGCGCGGCGGCGGGACCCGGGTGACCCCCGGGGCGGGGCTGCTCGGGGGCTGGAGGTCCTTGGACTTTGGTCGAAGGCTGGCAGCTCTGAGCCCCTGCCCCGCGGGCCCCGCGCGGCTGCGGACCAGGGGCCCTTGCACGTGTCGGTTCTTCCTGGACTGGCGCTTTGGTTGCCCAAAGTTGGGCGCAGATTGTTTCGTGCGGAGGTTGTTGGGACCCAGAGTATTCTATATACAAAGGCAACCGAGAGCCGGAGGGAGAGGTCGGGCCAAAGAGTAGTGGGCTCGGCTCCGCGTTGGGCCCAAGTTTATGTAGGTTTCGCCTTCACCTCTTCTTCCCCCGTTTTCCCTAAAAGAGTTGATTTTTTTTCCCAGTCGAGACTCTTCCGAGCTGAATAATGCACCCGCTCGCTGAGCCAGTATCCCGCGACCCCGCACTCTCGGACTGGCCCGGGCTGTCTCGGATTCGCACCCTTTGGCCAAGCTGGGCCTGAACCCGGGTCCAAATCTGGGACCATACCCGGCCATGCCTGAAACACAGGCGTCGGCCCTAGCCCGGGAACTGTGTTAGCCTTATGTTCCCTGAGCTCTCGCATATGGTGGTAAAATTTCTGTTAGAGCGGTGTTTCCAAATACCCCCTGGGCATTTGGTGTGCGGGAATTCTCTTCAAGCGAAGAAGTCTGTGAACTTAAAAAAAAAATTTTTTTCCTGCGTTCTTAACAACCCCCCACTACTCTGCCTCATTTCCCATTGTTCTTTGCTTTTTAAGTTCCTTGTTAATTTTTTTAAAAGTTTATTTATGCAAAGGAAAAATATCGTTTAATTTGTTCTATTATTTTAATTCCTGGCTTTTGGAAACGGTTCAGAGACCACAAAACTGTCACCTGTTGTAATAAGCAGAGGAGTGTTGTGTGTGCATTTTAATTGCCAGCAGAGCCGTAGTTTGGTGGGCGCCCTGAGCTCGGCTCCGGGAAAGAGCCCTTTGCAGCTTTCTTTGTGGCAGTCATTTGCAAAGGGGTTTGGCTCTCAGCTACGGCGGAGGCAGAGGGGGCAGCAGCACCGCTTCCTTCTATGCCGATCCCGGGCGCAGGTCAGGAAGCCCAGACCTTGGACTGGGATGGGAGATTACCTACTCTCTGAGACTTTCTCTTGGGCTTTCGGTTTTTCTGTGCGAAAGTGGCTAGTTCGCTCCGCAGAGCGCGGAGCGCTGCGCATCAGCCCAGCCTCAGACATTTTCACGTTCCAAACGCGGACGTCTTCGTTTCATTTGTCTTGGTTCTGGCGTGTTTAACCACGCAATTAGTAATCTCACTAATTATTCAGATAGCTGGCGTTTTGCAATCACTTTAAACCAGGGTCAGGAGTGTGATTTAAGAAACAAACAAACTCCCACAGATACGGAACTGAACCAAACCCATCACGTCAAGGATTTGAAATTTTTTAACTCAATATTTGTTGGTCCCTCCGTCCAACCTCACTGCCTGCCAGACAATTTATTTAGCTTCGTGGATTGATCCCTCCTCCTTGTTTAGTTAATTCAACAAAGACTTTTTGCAATCTGTTTGGAGTTTGTCTGATGCCGTGGAAAAGTAGCTGATGATTTATTTGGTTGCTTTTCGATTTCTGTCTTCAGCCCTTCTTTCTCCTCCTTTCAGCGGGGATGTCAGCTGTTATTACTTCCTATTGATCCCTTTGCAAAGTGAGAAGTGAACTAAAATTAATGTCAATTCCACTGCTCGGATCAATAGCTGGAGTTATTTTAATCTGGATTTGCACGAAGTGCTAAATTAAAAAAAATCAGCATAGAGGCAGAAAAGTAACAGTTACTTACTTTCCCTTTGCCGGGTTCTTCACAGTCACCCAAATGCTCCATCAAGCTGATTATCTTACAATCCATATTTTTTTAATTAAGAGGGTCAGTTAGTTTTCTTATTTTGGGTTCTGTGTTTAAACCCATGACATTTTGACATTGGGAGTGTATTAACTATAGATTTTCATAATGACTGTGGTCAGCTGAAGCCTCATCTATACAAGTTGTTAATGTGAGGAGAGGGTAAGAAAGAAAAGGGAAAAGAAAAAAAAGAAAAAAAGCACTCCCCCCTCCCCCATGGAGACCAACGCCCACGCAATGAAGTAAAAGAGATGTGGCCTGGAAAAATATTGTTGATTTATTTTCAGTGTAATGAAGTTTTCAAATGAATAACCAGGGTTGAGTGATTCACCAGGTTCTGTTGGAGTGTCCGGTGCTGTCACCAGATTCCTAATTTATGAAACTCATTTAAGATAATGAGGTGATCTAGGAAGTAAAAATAGCAAGTGAATCCTGGGGGGGGTCGTATTTTGAGGGGGAAACATTCCTCCCTTCACATTTCTTTTCTCCAGTTTTCCTCATATAATATTGCTTGTTGATAGATAAGTAGCTATTTCTGTTGTGAAGAGCTGCTTAGAACCCTTGGAACAGCCCTAGACCCACTTTCAGAGCGTCCATGTTGTATGACCATTAATCTGACTAGAAAACAGCCAAGAACAGGATTCCCAGACTTGTCAGCCTAACTGGCTGTCCTTGGCAGATCATTCCCTGCACTGCTATAACTTGACAGGAAAGTTATTTAAAATTTGGAAGAGAGAAAAATCCGTTAATGTGAGATACATAATCTGGTAATTTAGCAATGATGTCTATAAGGAAAGATGCCAAATGAGGAAGCAGTCTGATGGTGTCCACTCATCTTCCCAATTAATAACAGTCATTGACATGTCTGCTACAGGATGGGAGAAGGAAATACTCTCTTTGCACTGCATTAAGCCAGGAGGATTCATCTACCGTTTAACTGATGTTTCTCTGTTTGAGGGAATACCAAAGATACTCCAGGTGGGCTTTTTAAAAGGGACGAGGTAGATTTTATTTCTGATATGACTCTCAATTTAAAGGTATAATTTGTAGCAGACGGTGATTTTTGGTTATGCTTTGAGTTTCACTAAGTTTCTATTTCGTGTATATTTTTGACACTAATAAGTCTTGGTATTCATCTTATATTGTCCCGGCTTTTGATATATAGCCCTTCTCCCAGCCCCCACTCAAAATACACTTTGGAATGGAACCACTGACTATGAAAATGTACAACCTAAATTTACAAGGGAAACTGAAAGAAGTCTCTCCGAACTCCAATTTGTTCCGGGGGCCTTTATTGGACATCAGCTCTGACTGGGCCAATAAGCAGAGCAAAATAAGTCAGAAATTTTGTTAACATTTTGTTCTAAATGTTAATGGCAAATCCAAGGCAGTTTACAAATCTACTTAAGAGTGAGTGCATTAGTAACTAAAATCACCGATCTGTTCTTTGCTGCCCTTAGAAGACAGATGCTTCTAGAGAGCGTATGCCAAAGGCACCCATTATGGTTTTAAGTGTTGTCAGAGACGCCAGGCATTTTATTGATGAAGGTTTTGTTCCTTCTCAGAAAAGAGAAATAGAAAGCCCATGTGATTAGAGAGAGGTGTGCCTCAAAATAAATGTTAATGCTGTTTGTTCATATAGCACTTTTTTCTGGAAACAGTCTTAGATGATACATGAAGATGTGTGTGTGTGTGTATATGCCAATGTGTATCTTTTATCCATGTGTATACTTTGTACTAACTAATATGTACAAGTGTTCCTGGTCTAGATGAACTTGAATTAGGGATATTTCAGTATCAGGGTGTTGTTAGGGGAGATGAAGAGAGGATGCATATGTGGGGAATCGTATAGGTAGAATGTGGTCTCTGAACATCAGGCCTGCCATGAGTGGTGGATGCAGGTGGAAGCACTTTAAAACATAGACCCCCACTTAATCTACTGGATGGCTTGGCCTTCCAAAGCTCATTTGTTCAGAGAATATCGTATTTGGAGGTTTTATGATATTTTTTTCTTTGCTGGGCTCAGGCGCATTTCACCCAGAACGTGTAGGGACCAAAGTCAGCTACGCGTACATCACAGTAAGTTGTCTATTGATTTTCCTGAATGAAAATGGTCTGATGCTGCTGCCCACTGGCTCCTAAAGCCTGTGGTGTCTCTTGCCCGAGCATCTGTGAGCCAGAAGGATGGTGTTTCGATCACTTGGGGTTTCCCTTTTTTTCCTCCCCCTGACTTTCCTCCCCCTTCTTTTTTTCTCTTTGCTGTTTCTACAGGTCTTAGGAGGGAATGATTCCCCAGTAATATTCCCTGCCCTGACCCAAAGTGCTGGTTGGCCTCCCTCCCAGGGAAGACTGCTTCTTGCGTAACGCCGGCCACAGAAAGAGACTCCGATGGACTTACACCGGGCAGCCTTCAAGATGGAGAACTCATCCTACCTTCCCAACCCTCTGGCATCCCCAGCACTGATGGTCCTGGCATCCACGGCTGAGGCCAGCCGTGATGCTTCCATCCCTTGTCAGCAGCCACGACCCTTTGGTGTACCTGTCTCAGTTGACAAGGACGTGCATATTCCTTTCACCAACGGTTCCTATACCTTTGCCTCTATGTACCATCGGCAAGGTGGGGTGCCAGGCACTTTTGCCAATCGTGATTTCCCCCCTTCTCTACTACACCTCCACCCTCAATTTGCTCCCCCAAATCTAGATTGCACCCCAATCAGTATGCTGAATCATAGTGGTGTGGGGGCTTTCCGGCCCTTTGCCTCCACCGAGGACCGGGAGAGCTATCAGTCAGCCTTTACGCCGGCCAAGCGACTTAAGAACTGCCATGACACAGAGTCTCCCCACTTGCGCTTCTCAGATGCAGATGGCAAGGAATATGACTTTGGGACACAGCTGCCATCTAGCTCCCCCGGTTCACTAAAGGTTGATGACACTGGGAAGAAGATTTTTGCTGTCTCTGGCCTCATTTCTGATCGGGAAGCCTCATCTAGCCCAGAGGATCGGAATGACAGATGTAAGTACTTTGGTTCCAGCCCTCCCTTACCCCCAGTAAGCCCTGCCTCACCGTGATGTTCAACAGGTCGGTGGCGTTTTGCATGCTCCTAGTAATAGGAAGGGCCAACTACTTCCCTTTCACTAGCTGTGGAGTGCTAACCTTTGCTTGTCTCTTATCAGTGAGCACTGATAGTTCTTGAAATATTTTTCTGAAAGTAGCCAGAGGCAAGTTGGCCCCAGCACAGCCTTTCTCTCCGGACCCTAGTGGGCTTATTCTCTGAGGACTTGAGTGAAGAGGGGTGCCACCGACGTACTGAAGTGAATGTCATTTCATTAAGAAGTGTCGGCTCCTAGGGAATTTGGGGGGCCTAAAGAAACATGTCCACCCCTCCTCTCTTTGCTGTCCTCGTTATGTTTGTCTGATCTCAGTGTTATTTTTTAGCTTTTCCATTGTATCACATCCAGCAGACTCCACGTGATTCTATTTTCACAACTCTCAGCCCTTGTCCACATCAGGCTATTTTTCAGAGAAGGACAAAGGTGTCGTCAATCACCATAAAGCATTTCACACAGCTGTGTTTTCCTTGCGATCGCAAGGCTAGAAAGCCGACTTCTCTTGGGATTTCACAGGTTTGCTGGATGCTTATCCTGGGGCTCACTTTTAGGACTAGACACGGTTGACCTGTGTGACTGCTCCAAATTTGATGTTCACAACTATTATTAATTTCTGCTTATGAAACAGCTTTTTTTCATGTTCTCCAAGTGCCTTGTTGGGCTCTGGCTACACTTATAGCTGGAACTAAACCTTTATTTGGAACTTGTAGACTAGGAGTGCTGAACCCTGCAATCTTTTGCTCTAATATAATCAGAAAATAATTGTGTTTTGAAGCTTTTGGGCTGTGGGTAGACAGAGCAGTTTTCTTCAAGCCTGGTGAGAATTTATGAACTGAGGGTGTTTTTTCCACGCAACCCTTTGTTCTCAGATTTGCTTCATTTTATTTTCTTAAGAAAACTACATCTGAGGTTTGCCTTCCACTTTTCTCTATTTTTTCGTGCTCCCATCCTCTCTATAACCACCAACACGAATACCATTTTTTTCCCTCCTCTTTATGATGCCGAGGAGAGTAATAGAGACATTGCAGCTCTCTCCCCTGTCGCCACTGCTTCGTCAGGCTGTCTCCTTGAATTAGGCACTGTGTTAACTTCCCTGCGCTAAAAGGCATCTGCCTAAACCCAGCGTACCTTTTCAATAAAAGTCATCATAAAATCAACCTGCCTTGTAAATCCATCGCTCTTTGGTTTTGAAATATGTTGCAAGTGTGTCTTTTATGTCAGCCTCTGTAAGCCGGAGACCTCCCCACTTAAGGGAGAAGGCTGCTGGCTGACAGCACTACTGCTAGTGTTGCCCTCTCACTTTGGCTTTGGTTCTCTTTCACCTTTTCAGTTTCTGTTGACTTGTGTGTCTTGTGATCCTGCTTCTTGGATATACCTGCTGAACAGGTATCGGCATTGTGTTGGTTCATTTGATTTTATTTTAGTTTTCATTTGTCCAGTGATGTGCAAGTGATCAAGGCTAGTTATAATGTGACCTCCAGCCAAAACTGCCTTGTGTTAGGGTGTGACAGATTCCGCCCCTTTTTTTCTCCAAATACAAGTTGAAAATGAAATCTTCTCTTAGCTAATATGCCACAAAGTAACATCTGGAGATTGAGATCTCTTTCTTCTTACCTAACAGATCCAGCTTGTCTCCATTTTTCTATCTTTTTAGCCCAAACCTGTATCCGACTCCAGAGCAGGAGGAAGCTTGTTAGTCAAGTCAGAACTCATAGACGTGGATATCCATTCCCCTCTGAGTGTCAAAGCCATAACTCTTCTGTTTGCCTGGTTTGCATTGTGTGGTGGTGGCATCCCCCATGGAGATGGATCCCTCACACAGGAGTACGCCTGGGTGGAGAAAAATTAAATGAGTCTGTCTCCCAAAGTGAAATGGAATTCTGACCTTGAAATTAATGAGATTCTGATCAGAAGGGTGGGGAAACTTCTTTATTTCCAATGCGGTGTTATACAAATTGGAGTCCCTTTCCTCTTTTATTCATTTAAAATAGTCTTCCCTTATAGAGTACCCTGTGTTCTCCTTTTTTTTTCTTGTACACAAGCATAAAACCTATAGGAGTGTCTGTGAGGGGAGGGTGTTCGTACACCCTCGTTATTATCCAGAGTTGCATTTGTGACTAATCTTTAATAAAAAACAAAGGTGCAAAGTGAAAAGGAGGCTGTGCTACCCTGTGGTCACCCTGGAGTTGTGCTTTTTACTCCCTTCCTTACCTTAGGTGGTTAGCACATCCCTCACTGGGTCATACTAGATAGCGTTTGTGCTTTTGATTGCGAATTTTTGGAAGGCAGGAGAAGTATTTTTCTGTAAGGAAGGGTTGAAGAGGCACTAAGACAAAGTCTGCAGCAGCTTTCTTGGCTCCTGTCATATGCCGACGTGTGTCGGAATATTTATGGTCTGTTTTATGTAAATACATATTTAAGGGTCGTTAGAAGGCCTGATTATTCCCACTAGATGCCTTTCAGGTCCTCCCTACAGAACCGTTTTGAAATAAGTAATATTTCTCAGATAATCGAGTGACAGTATACAAGACTGCTTCCAAAGGGAGAGAAAGCTTCAGGGGCAGATGGGGGCAGTGACGGGGTATGGGGATATGAAAAGACAGAGGATAGAAAGTGTTCAGACGAGCAGAGTGATAGGATACAGTGCTTTCGCCAGATTGCCCAAATTAACCATATATGGTTGATATACACACACACACACACACACGTGTATATATGTATATATATTTATTCTTAAAATTTAGAGTTAATTGCTGATATGGTTGACTCATTTTTCAGTTCTCTTCATATAAATATCTTTTCATAAAATATTTTTTAAATGTTTTAATTAAGTGCAGCAGTCAAACTCCGAAGTAAGCATTTAGCTTTAGAGTTTTGTTGGTGGGTGGGGGTGGGAGATGAGAATGGTGGTGTGTGTCCTTTACTTAGAGCAGAAGTTTTTATGACTGAGTTTTAGGTCATTAAGAAATCAGTTGTATAATGGAAACACTGACAGTTTTTACTGCTGCAGCCACCCCCTGCTCACACACTACATCAATCTGCAGATATGTCCACTTGTGAGCCCACTGGAAAGAGAGGCCTGCAGACATGGTGTAATGCACACATGTTCTTTCCTTAAATCTGGGTACTGGTAGGCAGGATTTCTTTTGTGGTTAAACATGCATTTTTATAGACAGAAATATAGCGATTTGGGTCAAGCATCATCTTTCCTGATAGATGATTCTGGTTTGCTTGCCTGTCCATCCACCTGGCTTCACAGGTGATTCCTGAGGGAGGTGTTGTGCTCTATGGAAAAACAAGCAGCCTTTACTCTGCAGGACTGACTTACTTGCCCTGGAAAATGGGAGAAGTGTTTTGTGAGAAGCCATTCATGGAGGATGCATAATTCCCCAGGAAGGAGACTGAGGTAACTCCTGCTTATTGTCACTCCTTGAATCAGTCCCCAAGACTCATTGTCCAGGGAAATAATGCTAAAATTTACGGACCAATTACAAGTAGTTCACGTGTGCTTTACATATGAAATGTCTACAGCCATGTTTCCCAGGGCCTTTAAAATAAACATTTCCTCATTAAGGAAACTTCACAACAAAAGGGAAGATAAGTATTGTCTGCTGTCTTGTGTTAGAATCTGTACATTTATTACCCCCTTAGCACTCTGGCTCCTGTCATGTGCATATCCTGATGGTCCTCTTCAGGCTGCCCCTGTGCCCAGATTCCTGCCTGTGTGACACAGTCTTTGGCCAGCCTGCCAGCCTATCCACTCAGCCCAGATTGGAGTTGGCGAAGTATACATGCTCACCACAGGGCTGAGAGGGCCCAGAACTGCCCGCGTGGAGCGGCGACTGGCCCTGTCTTCTGGCTTACCCCAGGGATGGACCCTGGGCACTGACCACACGTGGCTTGGCTTTGCCCTCTTTCCTTGACCTTCACTGTGGTCGGGCAGAGTCACAGGTAGGCAGGAAACCTGATGGCTCACAGCAGCTCCTGGATGTTCTGCTTTGCTCTCATCTTTGATGTACTTGAACAGCCATTCTTGGGTCCCAAAAGCCCTGAGTAGGAGATGGTATTTTGTACTCTGTGTCTTTATATAAAGGCATGTATCATTGAAGACCCTGTGTTCTAACAATCAAATCAGCTGAGCCCACCTAGGCCAAAGGCAGCCTGGAATGGGGAGGGCTGGGGTGAGGGGGGATACTTTCCAAGGGCTCTGGGACTGGGGTGGGCAGGGACTCTACACTGGGCTTTTAGGAGAGTTGTTCTTGCTAGGGAGAATGTTTGGGGCATGCCAGGTGGCCAGGCTGCACCTCTGGGTTGCAGCTGGGACAGATGACCACTGGGAAAGGGTCAGCAAATCGCCAGAAGACCTGGGTCAGATGCTTCCCTCTGTCCTGACTGCCCAGACCTAGCCTGACTCTCCCTCAGCTGCTCCCGGGTTCTCCCCTACTCCCCGGGGGCAAGAACTCCTGTGATGTGTGTGGTTGTTTCTGGTTGTTCACTCCCAACACAGTCATGGAGACTCTTTTTCATGCTGCTGGGTTTAATTGTCTTGTTGGGATAAAGAAATGTTTGCACAGCTAAAGTGGGGCCAGGCTGGACGGGAGCAGTCCCTGATGGCTGCAGAGCCATCTGGCCTGGCTTGGCTTGGCTCGGCGCGCCGCTCGCCTGGCGGCTGGGCTCGCTGTAGTTGTGCTCCCGCTCTTCCCCTGCCCTCGCTCCACGCCGCGCCGCTCTGTGCGGCGGCTGCCTCCTCTTACGGCCGGAATGCCTAATCACCATGGTGAGAAAACGGACACCGCAGCCGTCCTCCCTCCTCGCCCCGCGCCCTCCCTCCCATCAATTGTCATGCAGAAGTGATCCGGGCTGCCGTTTTCTCGCGGCCGCCCGCCAGCCCCTCGCCGCTGCCGGCAGAAGGGTGGCTGGTAATTGATCTTCTGGGGGAGGGGGCGCGGAGAGGCGCGAGAACTGGCCCCGGGGAGGCCAGGCCACGGGGTGGGCCCCGTTCGCTTACTTGCAAGGGACCCCCAGCCTCCGCCACCGAGGCGGCTTGCAAGTGGTTTCAGAAATGTTGGTGATCTCGCCGTCGCTCTGCAGCACTTGGAGGCCGCAGGAGGACTCCGCGCGCCGCCTCGAGGGCCGGGAGCGCCCAGCCCGCGGCCGCACACACGAGGGCCCGTCGCGCCCCCCGCCCTGCCCCGCCTCGCCCTCCACGTCCCTGCACCCCCAAGTCGCACTAAGAACCCAGTCCCCGATCGGTTTCCTCTACGCCGTCTGAGCAGAAGAGAGTGGGAACCGGGGTGACGGATAAGGGGGGGGCGCCCACGCGACGTCGGGGTGCATGGGAGCGCGCGGGAGGCGCTAGTGGGTGCACGGGGCGTGAGGGGGACACAGCGCGGGCGTGGGGATGGCCACTGCGCGGGGAGGGTTCTGCCTGGAGAAGGAGGGATGGGAGGAGGTTGGGGGAGCAGGGCGCGTGGAGGAGGGAGGTTGGACGTGTGTACAGCGCCTGGGGACCTCGCTGGCCCCTTGGTGCCCCCAGGACTCTGAGGCTTCTCCTTTCGGCTTGAAATGTTTTTCCCTTCCTGCTTTTCAAATCTGTAAAAATGTTCCGGGGAATGTTTCCGAAGTCCAGGGCTCCGTCCTTCGGCGGGATTGCTGGCATTCGGGCAAGGCGAGTCGCGGTGGCCTCTGAGGCTCGCAGCCAGCACAGCGGGGCTCGTTAAAGTCTGGGCAATTTCTGGAACTCTTCCCACGGGAAGTTTTCCGGGGCTGCCTTCCGGTCAGCGGCCCCAGGTTGATTATTTGGTGGCCCTTTTTTGTTTGAAAACAAAAAAAAAAACACACACACATTGTATCCAAATAACAAAAGTTGCTGTCCCTCCCCACCCCCTTTCCTCATTAGGCAGGGAAGAGGAAACTGAAAAATAGAATTATATTTTTATATTGGTTTTCTTATTTTTAACCCTTATTAACTACATCCATCTGGTTAATAAATATTGGCACACATTGAAATGTATTCTTTGTAAATAATTGAGATTTGGAGTGACAGCATATTTAATGGAGTTATATTTTTATAATAGTTTTTCTTATTTTTAACTCTTATTAACCACATCCATGTGGTTAATAAATATCGAAGCACACCTTGGGACGTGCTCTTTATAAATACTTGAGATTTGGAGTGATGGTACATTGCATTGTAAAATCCACAGGATTTTTAAACACCAAAATAGCAATATTGTTTGGACTTGCATATTTGCTGCTAAGAGTTTAACAGCATTTCCCAGTGCCATTTTATCCCGTCTTAAAGAGAGATGAACTGCAGACTTAAGGATAATTTATTGCTATATATTAGCTAAAATGCCTTTAAAAATTTTTTTTAAGTATCATTTAAATTGTGGCATGTATGGTTGAACAGAATGTGTTGTTATCCTTTGTAACTTCACATGTGTGCTACAGGGTAGGAATTTGTAAGTATCTCTTTCTTTGCAGCAAGAAGAATTTTCTGCGAAAGAACCTTCTTACACCTTTTCCAAGAAAAGATCCTGGATTGGGACTACATGTTGAGCCTGGAGAAATGATAGGCTGTAGTATGAATCAGAACACCTGGTAGATGCTAAGTAAACAGAAGGAATTTATCATCTTCCAGCCTTACCCAATGGATTGGACTTTTCTGTTATCTTAATCACACTACTTTAGTTTTAGTGTTTAAAAAAATTATTATTTTTTGTCTGGTACCAATCATCTAAAAGGGTTTAGTGTTCATTGCATATTGAATACCTTAGTGGTGGCGATTATAATCTAGTTTTTACTTTAAGTTTTCATCATCTTACCACTCTTCAGCATTGCACAGAACAGCATCTGTAAGACTATGTATGCTATCCCAAAGGCGTAGAGGTTTGAGGAAAGAAAGGAAGAACTTATTTATGCCTTGAGGTTTCATGATGATGAAGGTAGGGAGGGAGTTTTCCAAGAATTTGTGAAATCACCTTTCTCAAATATAGACTTATTTTATTACTTGGGGTACTATTAATAAAAAATCGTTTATAACTTAACAAAAATTTAAATCTACTTTTTTCTCCTAACCCTTAGAAACCTAAGATTGGAGCCTATCCCCTTTCCAAATGTTTTCCCACAGCATTACATCCCCTATCGTGGAGTCCACACATACGGATCTGCTTTTGGTGTGTATTTTAGAAAAAAGTTTCCACCTAGATCCTGGCCAAAGTTGCAAACAGTCAAGTGATGTGGAGGTTTTGTAGACACATGTAACCATCTGGCAATTCAGATATGTGGCTGTCAGTTTTCTCTGTGGAATGCGTTCTGGTTTAAGATGACCTAGAAGAAATGAAAGTTGTGTTTTTGCTGGGGAGACATGGTGCTGTGTCCAGTACATTCTGTTAACAGATCTGAAGCTTTAGGAAAATCTGGAGCTATGTGAGTGAAGAAGGAACCTTTTGGTACAGTCTTATGAGAAATCCAGCCCAGTAAGTTTGAGTGTGACTTACCAGGCAAGAGTTGTCTTTTTCCACTGAAATTCAGGCTAGACTTATGGCTTTACATCAATCTTAGTGCAGCAGAGACAGAAAGCTGTAGGGAGGGGGCAAGGGCCAGCCCTGGAGAGACCTTCGCTTTATTTTCAGGTATATGATTCCCATTTAGGTGCCAGCTAATCCTATATTGCTCTCATTTGACCTTGCTTCTGGGGGTTTGATTTAAAGGAAGTCAGAGTGGCCTAGCATAATAAATACCTGTTAGAGGAATAAAAGCTGTATTTGCCCCCTTTGAGCCTCAACTCGAAGGTGTTTCAGATCAAAGGTGGGGAGGCAATGTAACATAGTCACTATGAGTTTGGCCTCTGGAGTTAAGTCCTGACGTGTTAGCTTACTTGCTTTCTGATACTGGGCAGGTTACCTAATCTCTCTGGGCCTCAGTATTCTTGCCTGCAAAATGGGAGTTATACAGACTTAAAGGTTGTTGGGAAGGACTGAATGAGATTAAACACATAGATAATGCTTAGAACAGTTTCTCACACATACTAAGTATTCAATACTTAGTTACTGTTGTTATTTCAAGGACAATCTGGTGGTAAAACCTTCCTTGTTAGAAGCATTGATGTAGCCAAACACAGGGTCATTAACAACTAGCAATGTATGTAGGGTCCTTTCACACACTCATGCCTTATGGCAATGTGGAAAGAGGGAGGGAGAAAGGCTTGAAAGCCCTTTTCTGTGATGGCCAGCTGCTTCTCCTCCCTTCATTATTATCCATCCACCAGGATTAGCCCTGGTGTCCTCCTGACCTCTTTCTCCCTTGTTTTATTTAGAAGCAAGGTAATAGTCGAGTTAGAGAAACTGAGTCTGGGAGTCGGGAGAGGATTTGACTCGGGTTGGATATCTAGGCAGTGGCCCGGGTTAAAAAAGCCAAATCTCATGGTATTTTCTTATTCTGAAATTTTATATTACTGGATATTGTTTGAAATCAATGGGTTATTAGAATTTGTGTGTGATAGAGATTTGGACTACACGTAATGAGATTTGCTGTAATAGTATTTGACTAGTATTAGAATTCACAATCCCTGGGTTTCTCGTGTGTCCTTAGATTTTAAGTTATACAGACAGTTTTACCCTCTTGCCTATGTGAGACAAATCTGTGAACCTTCCCCCATCTGTGTGTGTCACAGTCCCACAGCATGATGGATTGTCTCTGCTTGGGGGAAGCTTAGGACGGGGCTTGAAGGGGCCTTGTAGGTCAGAAGAGAAATACAGCAGCAGGACTGAGATGGGGGGGCTGCCTGGGGAGGGATTAGCAGGGGGAAGGGGAGGGCAGGGTTGGGCGGGGCATAGTGTCTGTGTGCATTCTCCTAGGAGTAAAAGAGGGCTGTCCATTACCCTGAACGCACAAATAAACTCAGTGTTTTTCTCTTTGTAGAGAAAAAGCCCCATGGGACTTGGGAATACCAGAGAATGACTCTGCATGTCAGTGGGAGAGGTGGGGAGTAGGAGGATGGGAGTGGGGAAGACTGACCCTGTGCCTGAGGACCTCGGATTTGAGTCTGTTATTTAAATAGAGTAGCTCATATTTGAAGAGCCTCATGCCCACACATGTTTGTAGCAGAAATAGCTGTTGGCAGCCAATCATCTGATACCTCAGTCTCTATCAACTCCTTCATGGCTCCATTTAAAGGAAGGGTTCAGCTCACCTTTGGAAGTAAAGTGTCACTGAAGGTCATGCAGCACCCAATTCTCCTCCCTCTCTGTCCTCAGCCCTTCCCACATATAGTCACAAAGGTGTGTACTAGGTAGGAAGGGAAATGCTGAATGTTCTTAATTTTTGGTTCTTGAAGGAGAAAGTCTGGGATTTAGGTCCAAATGCCAAAATCATGGTTCAGAAGGAATTCTAGAAAAGGAGCGGAGTCTGAGAGGTCGCTGGAGTGGTAAGGGCAGTGGCGCATGCTCGGCTGAGGAATCAGCAGGACTGCAGTTAGGGCCTAGGCTTCAGCTTCCTTCCTGAGCAGTAAAATTAAAAAAAAAAATCCTTAGAACAACAAAAGTCTGGACGCATGGGCTTCCTTCCTGACAGGCCAACCTGGTGGGGCTTCATTCAGACTGAGCAGCAGTCAAGGCTGATTTACGGGGAAAAGAACCCAGACATGGGTTTAACCCTTTCCTAACCACAGAGATGCTTCATTGCAAATGCTGCCTTCTCCTTCTAACTTACCATCATGGTATGGGGAGATTTTTATTGTCATTTCTTCTTTATTTAAAGTGAGTGCCTGCTGCTGAAGTACCCACTGTCCTCTTCATGAGAAAGCTGAGCCTATGAGAAGTTGAGTGACTTGTAAGAAACTCAAGTCTGTTGCTCATGGCCAGAATAGCTCTCAGGCTCTTGAGGACATTATATTGACTCTGTAGTATTGAATCCATCTTTGATCGTGGGAAGTGCCTCCTGGAGTCTGTACTGGGGTGCTGCTGTGAGCCCCAGTTTTACCTCCATAAGATACTGGTCCCACAGAAGGAATAGTACTGCTTCATCTTAGCTGTTTGTTGGTGGCAGTGGATAAAACTGTCGCAGAGTATGTGAGACATGACTCAGTTGCCATATCATTGGTCAAATGTGATGCACTCATTGGTTTAATCATTCAGCTGTATTTACTGCATACCTACATTGTTCCAGGCACCATGCGAGGTACTGGGAATAGACTGATGTGCAAGATAGATTATAGCCCCTGCCTTACTGGACTTCAAAGTTTAGTTAGCAATTGTAGGATGCTGCGAAAAGTGCTGTCATAGGGGAAATATAACATGCCATGAGACTTAGAAGTTGGAGCATCTAATCTTGTCTAAGAGTCAGGGATAGCTTTCTGGAGCAAGTGACCTTTACGCTGATATCTGAAAATCAAGAAGGAGTTATTTATTCAAAGGAGCTAGGGGTAGCAGTTGGCTTTTTTGGACAAACTGTAGTATCTGAGAGTGGAAGAAAGAACTCCAGAATTGCCAAGGATTGCTCACAGTGAAGTGAGAATAGAATTGTTCCCTGGCAGGGCCTGAGACCTGACCTTGGATGTCTATAGCACTTCATCCTATAACCAGGCATTCTTGAGAATATCCATTTGGTGCTTATGTGGCTCTGAGGCTCATCATCATCTAGGGTCCTGCTTTTAAAGTAACTTTCTAAAGATATGTCACTAGAAAATGCTTTCTGATAACATATGCTATCTTAACCACCAGAGGACCCATGAGCACCCAGAACCATGCTTGGCACAGAGTAGATACTCTGGAAATATTTGCTGAATGAAGGAGGGCCATTGCCCTGCTGATGTTTAGTGAGTTAGATTAAGGGTCCTCATCTTTTTACTAAAGTTCAGGCTTAGCTCTATCCTTTGCCCTACCCGGAAACGTGACAGGTCTCAGGGCCTAGAGTACTCGCTTGGCCGTTAAACTAAGCCACATAGCACCCGGGATTCTTGGCAGAGTTTCTTGGCAAAGTTTCCTCTGGGAGGTGCATTGCTCAGGCTTGACTTTCGCGAGGGAGGTTAGGCATGTAGTGCCAAGAGTATTGAAGAAGGAAAAAAAGAAAGCGAAGCAAACCGTTGTTCTAGCCTGGCACACGTCGGCATGCTAAAAACAGTTCCTTCCAGGCGGGGCCTCTGTACTCCACCATCCCCGCTGTGGTTTTCCTTCCCTGGCCTCTTATCTTCATCATCGCTCTACATCCACGAACATTTCCTGAGCTCCTGTGTGTAGAGCGTTGTGCTCGGTGCTGTTTGCAAGGGAATCAAAGAAGTAGGAGATGATACTTCCTCTTCTTGACAGCCTTATGGTTAAGGTGAGTAGCTAAACTGTATATATGAAAAAGAAATGATAATGTAAAATAACAGACAGTAAGGGCACTAGGATTTCAAGAGAGAGAGAGAGTCATCCCTGAGGCTGGCTTTCCCAGAATGTGATCTAAGGACTGCCTGTTTCAGATCACTTGTGCTGGTGATAGTGGAGGATGGGGACAGGGATGGGGGTGGGGTGAAGAATGTTATTTATAATGCAGATTCCCAGGGCCCACACTAGACTTCATCTTCAGAATCACAAGGAATACAGCCTAAAAACTGTGTATTCAGCAAGTAGCCATCCTAGGTGATTCTTGTTTTCCTTAAGGTTTAGGAATCACTCATCTAGGGTGAAAGTCTCGGGGGAAGGTTTCACCGAGGTGTTTGGCCTTGCAGAAAGGGGAGTGAGGACTAGTGGGGAGGAAAGGAGAGGATGGAAACCCACTGAGGAGTCTGGGCAGGCAGGGGAAGGGTGAAGACCCAGCATCTGCTCACAAACAGTACCTTCCTCATCCAGTCTCCTGTCTTGGGGAGGATCTGTCCACCTGTCCCGGCTCCCCCTCTGCCACTGCTCCTCCTCGGATTGCCTCCCTCTGCCTGTCTTATTGCTGATCAAGTGACTGTATGTGCCCAGACCTCCCCTTCTTGGTGCAATATTATTATGATGAGGTGGCCCAGCGGAGGGTCTGGAGGTGCTTGGCCAGATGTGAGGGAGGCCGGTGTGCGCTGCGGTGCCCCTTGGGCTCCAGCCCGCTTATCTTCTCACTGCTGTTGCTCTGCCGAGAAGGGGCTGGAGAGGGTTTGGTGTGTATGCTTTGCCAGCCTCCTCTGTCCTCTTCCGCAACCCTTGAGCTTTCATTCAAATGCTCATTTGTAAAGAAATAAAAGTTGGAGGGTTAGAGGAATCTGTCAGTGTCAGAATTAGTCACCAACACCTGCAGATTGGCTTTCTGCTTTAAGCTTTAACCCTTCCAGGGGGCAGCTGCCACCGGGTAGAAGGTTCAGTGAGCCGTGACTAGGGGCTTGCTCTGAGAGGTTCAGGGGGTTTTGGGTACCTGCACAGTAGGGGATGCTCTCGTCAACTTTGCTTATGGAGTTGGGGATGGTATTTTTCCCCCAACATAATTCCCCCTTTAAAAACACTCATCACATTAAATTGTAATTATTTGCTTAATTGTGCCTCTCCCATGGGCCCATGTCTGTCTCCCTATGTGACTCCATCTAGCGTGTCCCCTCACGTAGTGCCTAGCTTGGTAAATACTTGTTGTTAAAGTAAATGAACCCAGGATCACTGTTTCTTCTGCTGAGTTTGCAGAGTTGCCAGCTGGCTCTACTCACTTGGACATAGTCTGAAGGGCCACACAGGATCCACCACAACACTGGGCACCTCCTGGCATGTTTACAAGTGGGAGGTGGTGACTAGAAATAGAGGAACGGTTCAGCAATAGGGCAACAGCACAGTCAGAAGCTCTGGGCCTGTCATTTACTAGCCGTGTGATGCTGGGTAAGTCTCTGTTTCTCTGAGCCCCAGCTCCTCATATATAAAATGGGAGATGGTAGATAATCCCTGCCCTACCCTACAGGGTTGCTGAGTAAATAGATAATCCAGATGTGTTTTGTAATCTAAAAGTAACCGTATAAATGCCATACCCTCACATACACATAGGTACATGCAAGATGTCTATCTACGTCTGTCTCAAGAGCAAAATGGTCTTTGGGGGCTAAAATAGTTTATGAAATGCCTGAGTGTTCAACCTAGAGGGAGCCCTCTGACATGCCATTCCCTCCTTGAAGCTGAGCTACAGAAGACAGTCTGTGTTCCCTGAGACCGACCGCAGCACTATTTTTCTAGGTGTTTTGGGGCAAAAGTTACCCAACTCTTGTAGACTTTTTGTGAATGTAAGTTGGCAGGCTGTTTTCTATACAGACATCTCAGCTGAAATTTTATTGGCTAAATCCCCACTGAAAGAAGTTTACCCTTTGCCTTTCTTCTCAGCAAAGCTCGGAGCATCTTTATTTTTCTGTTTCCAGGGCCAGTGACTCTATTCCTATTTTGTGGAGGGAGATGTTTTGGCTCAGAGGCACAGTGCTTTGGCCTGAGGAATGATAGGCAGAATCAAGTCGAAGAGGGCTTTCTGCCCTAGAGATCTTTCCTAGGCTGCAAGAATAGCCATGCTTTATTGGCCAGTATGACAAGATGAAGAGGTCCCTGTCAGATTTGGAAGGGCCTGCCCCTTAGGCAAGATCTTTAGAAGTTAAAGCTGGGCCAGGAGGATTGGAAAGAGCAAGAATTTGAAAAAGGCTTTACTAGGCCAGGTGTGGTGGCTCACGCCTGTAATCCCAGCACTTTGGGAGGCTGACGCAGGAGGATCACCTAAGGTCAGGAGTTCGAGACCAGCCTGGACAACATGGCAAAACCCCATCTCTACTAAAAATACAAAAATTAGTCAGGCATGGTGGCACACACCTGTAATCCCAGCTACCTGGGAGGCTAAGGCAGGAGAATTGCTTGAACTCGAGAGACAGAGGTTGCAGTGAGCCAAGATTGTGCCACTGCACTCCAGCCTGGGTGACACAGCAAGACTCTGTCTCAAAAAAAAAAAAAAAGAAAGAAAGAAAGAAAAAGACTTTACTTGTGCGGTAAACTTCATTGTGTGATTATTTAATAGACCAGTAACAAGCAGATTCATTAACAAGATCTTAATTAACAAGTTCCAGGGTTATTCCTCCAAGTTCCCAGGGGTCCTGTTCTCCTCCCATTTAGTCCCAGAGACTTCCTATCCACCTTAAACTAACCAAGCCAGATGCATTTAAATTCAGTCTTTTTATTGCAAGTGAAATGACTGCAAGCAAAGAGAAGAACATAGTATCACTCCTAATAATAATAGCTGACACTTCAAGCACTTTCTATATGTCAGGCACTATTCTGAGTGCTTTACAGGTAATAATTGATTTAATCCTCATAAAATCCCTACGAGATAGGTGTTATCTCCATTGTACAGATGAAGAAACTGATGCACAGTGTTTAAGCAATATGCCCATTGTCACACAAGCAGGTGTGAGAGAAGAGGTTCAGATCCAGGCAGTCTGACTCCAGAGTCAATGAGAAGGAAGGACACTCCAGGAGAGGGAGACCTATGGGTCAGATTCACGAGGTAACAAGAATAATACTTGTATTTGTTCACTGTGTGCCAGACACTGTTCTGAGCACTTCATATATGTATGTCAGGCTGTCTCCATACTCGAAAAATTGATAGGAGCCTTTTGCAGTGTGGCAGCCCTTAGGCACAATTTATTTTGGCCCACTCACAAGCCCTTTTCACCCTCCCTGCACTGTGAGTTCCTTGAGATGGGAACTGTGTCTTATTCTAAGATCTCTGTTCCTAGTACCCAGTGCGTTGCCTGGAACTTACTAGTTATGATCTAAGAAAAAAAGTTTGTCAAACATACCCTTTGGTGGGATGGGAGAAGATGATTTAGTATCTGCTAACGCCCAATGTGCTTTACAGACATAGTAGTTTAAGAAGAGCTAAATCTGTGAGACGAGACAGATGCACCTACTCTTTCTGTGCCTCCATTTCCTCAGGATAAAGTGGGATGAACACTAGTATCAATCTCTTAGTGGTGTTATAAGGATTAAATGAGTTAATAGAAAATACAAATAAAGTCCTAGGAACAGTGCCTCGCACAAAGTATGCCTTCAATAAATGTTAGCTATAATTAATATGATAAGGGGTTGGGCACAGATTTGAGGTCTCTTAAACCAGGCTCCTCCAACTCTTACCTCTACTCCTAATTGCATTATGGGGACAGTGACTCCAGCAAGCCCTGAACTCTTATAAGTCTGTGCAGTTTATGACAAGTCTTCCTACGACTGAAAAATCTTCCAATTGATATTCAGGAGTTGGTACCTATAATGTTGTTTTTCCTTCTTGGCTTCAGTTATATGGGGGCTGGAGCAGGGATGAGTTTAGCACCCACCCAATGACCACCTTTTTAAAATACCCGAAAAGGCACAGAGTGGAAATGACTAGAATTCTACACTAAACTCCTACCCGAGGAAGGACAGTAAGCCAGAAGGAATTTTTTCTGGGTTTAGTAAAGGGCTTGACGAATCCTGTTCTATGCCTCTGCCTGGTCAGCCAACTCAGATAGCAAGTCTGTGGACCATTTACTGTTCACCAGCTATTTTGAGGAGAGGATGAGGAGGTGACAGAATGCCTAGAATCACTGGGAAATTTGAACTGGGAAGGAACCATTGCAGGCTGCTTTATTTTTCCAATTTTCTAATAACTTACATAATGCTTAAGACTGTGTTTTCCCCTTTAAGGGGAAAAAATTGCTTTTGCTCTATTTAGAGCTCATCACATTTGTACATTCTACAAATACTCTTCTCCTAAATCTCAACTTGATGACTTCCAAGCGCCGTTCTCACAGCTGGCTGCTTTCGCTCCCACTCCACTATCCCACCCCGCCCCATCATCTTTAGTTAACGATGGATGCTCACAAACCCCCAAACTGGCCTCCCTCTTTCCGACTTCGCATCCTTGTGTTCTTTCTAAGTAGCTCGGCCATAATATCACTTTTCTTTAGCAGCATTCTAACTTCTAAGAGGCTTAATAGGCAAGGAGATTGTGGGGTCTTTGACTTCCTCTGCGTCTTAGCCCTAAGTGGTTTATTCTATTAAGCTGATTCTTGGTGGTGGATAGAGCTTTGCTGGATAAGAAGTTGGGGTCGGGGAAAGTTGCAGTTGGAGGAATTGGATACTTTCACTCCCCCTTCCACTGTGCCCCACCCTCCAACCCACTCCTGCCCCATTCTGTTTTTAGAGCTTTTGAATGAAGGAAGTGGTGATGAAATTAAGTAAAGAACTCTTCTTAGAGGACTTAAGAGGTTGACATTTTCCCCAAAACTGTCTTTTGCCTCCTCACCTCTTCCCTCCCTGCACTTTCATTCCTACTCTTCAGTCTGCCACTTGTGGATTTTTTTTTTCTTTCCTTCCACCTCTACTTTTGCCTCCACTCCAACACTAGCTTAAAAAAAAAGCTGGGGGGAGTAATGAATAACAATTTTGAGCAATTGTTTTAAAGAGAGGAATCCTATCCAGGTATGGAATGTAGAAAAAAAATAACAGATAAGATTTTAACAAAAGAAACAATGCAAATTCTTCCAGATGTTTTCTCCTAGCATTACACCAAGTTAAATATATTCCTTCTAATATTCTGACCCAGATGAAGGATTTTCAGGTGTCCCTATTAACATTCTCTCTTGGTTCAGGAGGGCCAGCAGGCTGGGAGAGCAGAGGAAGTGTCTCTTCTTTATTTAATCATGCTGAGCTGCAGAGGAAATCGTAAGGGACATTTGTGAGCACGAAGAATGATATTAGAGAAGTGAGAAGGGGAGTCAAGAGTGTAAGTGTAGAAAAAGAAAAGTACAGGACAACCTTCACAGGGAAGGTGGGAAGAAAACCAAAAGTAGCCAGAGAGCTGAAAAGAAGGAGGGAAAACTTGAAGATGGAGGTGGGAAGATGGCAAATGTGAAGCATTTCAAGGAATTGTTAGTAATTTGTTTGATGGCCTACAGTTGTTGATGAAGGAGTGGGGAAACAGGGTGGGGACGTGTGGTTGGTAGGCCTATAAGGCAGCAGCAGAGTCTCTTTGGAGGGCCTTTCAACAATGTCTGTCTATGAAAAATTTAAATACAAATATCCTTTGATGGGATTCAACTTAAGAATTTATCCTGCATATATTGGGTTAAGTACTTAAAGATGTATGTTCTTTATAATGTTGTTTGTAATGTGAAAAACAAACAATCTAAATGTACATTGATAAGAAATTGGTAAAATAAATAATGATATATCTATGTTATAGAATACTACATAGTGGTTAAAAAAATGAGTTAGAGCCGTAAGTGCTTATATGTAAAACAAGATACAGAGAGAAAAAAAAAAAAACCTCATAGAAAAAAAGATACATTCATGTCTATCTTTATATATGCATATAAAATGTCAGAGAGATACATATGAAACTGTTAATGCTAGTTTCCCCTGGGAAGTATGACTAGGTAGGAAGAAGCGAGTAAGACTTTTTCTTGTATGCTCTTCTGCGGTATTTGAATAGTTAACATGTGATGTATTATTTCTATAATTAAAAAATTTAGTTTATGATTTTAAAAAGTTAATTTGGAGATGCTGGAACAGGAAAAGGATATTAGGAAAAAACTAAGGAAATCTAAATATAGTTAATAATGTATCAATATTGGTTCATTAGTTTTGATAAATCTACCATATTACTAATATATTAATAATAGTGACAACTGGATGAAGAGTATATGGAAACCCTCTTCTACTATCTTTGCAATTTTTCCATAAATCTAAAAACTATTCCAAAATAAAAGTTTATTTTTATTTATTTTTATTTTTTATTTTCTGAGGCAGAGTCTTGCTCTGTCTCCCAGGCTGGGGTGCAGTGGCATGATCTCGGCTCACTGCAACCTCCGCCTCCTGGGTTCAAGCAGTTCTCTGCCTCAGCCTCCTGAGTAGCTGGGATTATAGGCGCCTGCCACCACACCTGGCTAATTTTTTTGTATTTTTAGTAGAGACAGGGTTTCACCATCTTGGCCAGGCTGGTCTTGAACTCCTGATGTCGTGATCCGCCCACCTTGGCCTCCCAAAGTGCTGGGATTACAGGCGTGAGCCACCACGCCCAGCCACCAAAAGTTTATTTTTAAAAGATGATTCAGAAGACTGTATTATGGGACAGGCTTATAACCTAGCATTTATGATTGAATCTTGGAGAGATGAATTGATAAAACTGAATGATTCCTCTGGTTCTGTAATTACTACTTGGTTCTATTTCTTCCAAATGGTCAAGTGGATGGGATTACAGTCACAATTGCTGGGAAAGTGTCTGATTTGTGTGTGTGCGTTGACAAAATTAGTTTTCTTTTCTGAATTTGTTTTTTCTTCTGAGTTAGTTTGTAAAAAAGGTTAACTGATGGTTATTTCAGTTTTACCGTCCAAAAAGCACAGACTGGTCTAGGAGCTATATAGTGAAGGTAGTTTAAAAATGAAATAAGACGGCCGGGCGAGGTGGCTCATGCCTGTAATCCCAGCAGTTTGGGAGGCCGAGGTGGGTGGATCACAAGGTCAGGAGTTCCCAGCCTAACCAAGATGGTGAAACCCTGTCTCTTCTAAAAATACAAAAAGGTAGCCAGGTGTAGTGGCCTGCGCCTGTAATCCAAGCTACTCGGGAGGCTGAGGCAGAGAATTGCTTAAACTTGGGAGGCAGAGAGATTGCAGTGAGCCGAGATCATGCCACTGCACTCCAGCCTGGGCGACAGAGCAAGACTTCATCGACTTCATCTCAAAAAAAAAAAAAAAAAAAAGAAGTGGTCAAATGCTTGCTGCTTTCTTCAAGTGAGCAAGATGGGGTAAACAGCAGATGTGAGTGCTAAATGGAATTCCATTTAACCAGCTCTGTTTGTGGCTATATCTATGAAACTTTTTCTCCACTTAAGTTGGCGCTAGAGCCACATAGGAGTGGGCAAGAAGACTACATCCCTGGCCATCTTCTGAGTGGAGTCTCTTCCCTCCTCATGCACCAGCAGGCCTGGTGGTGGCCATCGGCTCTGTTTGTTGCAGGATCAGAGTCTGGAGAGCACAGAGCCATTGGCTCAATATGATATGTGCTCATTGATCCTGCTGCTGATAGTAAGGCATGGCTAAGGCCAAATATAAGGCATTTTCCCTTTGAATTAATTCACATCTCAGCCAGAGGAAGGCACCTGGGTTTTACCTTCTCATGTAGTAGAAAGGGAGATCTCTGGGTCCTGCTCCCAGTTGGCCCTGGCACCCAGCTTGAAAAGAGGGATCCTCTGTAATATTGGCTGCAACCAACTACTTCATCCTTCTTGGAATTCCCCTTACCGTGGCTTCTGCGACATTATACTCCTATTGTTCTTCCACTTCTTCAACCATGTTTTTGCTGTCATAATACCCTGTGTTTCCCCATGTTAAAGCACTTTGAATTTTTTTTTTATTGTGATAAAGTATGCATTGGGGAGGGGAACAGGATCCTGCTACTCTGTAGAGGCATTTTAAAACAACAGTCAACTAAAAGTTGGTCTGCTTTTGTTTGTTTTATTTATTTTTTTGAGATGGATTCTTGCTCTGTTGCCCAGGCTGGAGTGCAATGGCGCGATCTCGGCTCACTGCAACCTCCACCCCCCAGGTTCAAGTGATTCTTGTGTCTCAGCCTCCTGAGTAGCAGGGATTACAGGTGCCCGCCACCATGCCCAGTTAATTTTTGTATTTTTAGTAGAGACAGGGTTTCACCATGTTGGTCAGCCTGTTTCGAATTCCTGATCTCAAGTGATCCTCCTGCCTTGGCCTCCCAAAGTGCTGGGATTACAAACGTGAGCCACCATGCCCGGCCTGTTTGTCTGTTTAGAAGCAGGGTCTTGCTATGTTGCCCAGGCTGGAGTGCAGTGGCTATTCACAGGTGTGATTATAGTACACTACAACCTCAAACCCCTGGGCTCAAGTGATCTTCGTGCATTAGCCTCCCCAGTAGCTGGAACGACAGGTGTGCACCACCACAAAACGCTCTGGTCTGCTTTTTAATATCATCATGTGCTGGCAATTTTAAACAATGTCACTTGGAAAATATTTCTCCCCACAGAAATATTTTGTTGGTATAAGTTTGAAAAAAATGCTGTGGTTACTCTTGAGTTTTGGTATGTATGTAAGTTTCAAATTGGCTTTTCTTTTTTTTTTTTTGAGTCTTGCTCTGTTGCTCAGTTTCAATTTTGAGTCTCTCTCTGTTGCCCAGGCACTGTACCCAGGAGTGCAGTGATGCGATCTCGGCTCACTACAACCTCCGCCTTCTGGGTTCAAGTGATTCTCCTGCCTCAGCCTCACAAGTAGCTGGGACTACAGGCGTGCGTCACTACACCTGGCTAATTTTTGTATTTTTTGTAGAGATGGAGTTTCACCATGTTGGCCAGGCTGGTCTCGAACTCTTGACCTCAAGTAATCCACCTGCTTCAGCCTCCCAAAGTGCTGGGATTACAGGTGTGAGCCACCATGCCTGGCCAAATTAGCATTTTTAAATTATTTGTCCTTTAATGAACATTGTCATCTATAAGGGAGAATTTGGAGAACTTCCAGTTGTACTGTGGGCCCCTGACATTGGCAAATTCAGCTTGATTTGGGTAAAAGTACGTAACAGTTCAGAATCAGTTGAGCTTCCACAGGAAACAGTTTGTGTCTCCAACTCCGGTGACACAGCATATTCCTTCCTGCATTCATGCAGTATATTCAAAATAAACAATGACAGCACATGAACTGTAAAGATGAAGACATGAAAATTGGAGTTTTTTCCAATTCTGCAGTTCTTTGTGACCACTTGGAGTTCTTATATGTGTTTAAGTTTTAAAACAGTGAAATAAACTGTGAACTGCAGGGTGTAATATTTTTGTTTGGTAAGTGCAAATTTTAGTTTGCCCAGTAAATAGTTTACTAAATTTGAACATCTTTAAAAATAAAACATAATGGCCAGGTGTGGTGGCTCATGCCTGTAATCCCACCACTTTGGGAGGCTGAGGCCTCCTGAGGCCAGGAGTTCAAGATCAACCTGGCCAGCATGGTGAAACCCCATCTCTACTAAAAATACAAACATTAGCTGGTGCAGTGGTGCATGTCTGTAGTCCCAGCTACTCTGGAGGCTGAGGCAGAAGTATTGCTTGAGCCTGGGAGGCAGAGATTGCAGTGAGCCGAGGTTGTGCCACTATTCTCCAGCCTGGGTGACAGAGCGAGACTCTGTCTTAAAAAATAAAATAAAATAAAATAAAACATATTTTTAAAATCATTAACTGCTTATATTAAAATTAAAGAATCAAGAAAAGTATTATGACTGATTATTACATGATTAGTTATTTGTCATTTAAAAAATGACCTGCTGTGTCAAATATGTTCCTTGGAACATATTTGAATTGGAATGCCCTTGGAATGATGTTTGAATTGAAATATGAAATGATGAGCCAGGCACAACTATGTAAGGGTTTGGGAATAGGGGGTCCTGGAATGTTTGAGGAGGAGAGAGAAGGCCTGAGGGCTGGGACAGAATGAATTTGGGAGAATATGGTAGGAGATGAGATGGAGAGGAGCCAGACCTCTGTAAATCTTTTAGGCCACGGAGAGTTGGATTTTATTTTGGGTTCATCAGGAAGCCACAGAGTGTTTTAAACATAAATCACCATGTTGTGATTTATCACTTCAAAAGATTACTTTGGGCTGGGCGCGGTGGCTCACCCCTGTAATCCCAGCACTTTGGGAGGCCGAGGCGGGCGGATCACGAGGTCAGGAGATCGAGACCATCCTGGCTAACACGGTGAAACCACGTCTCTACTAAAAATACAACAACAACAAAAAATTAGCCAGGCATGGTGGTGGGCGCCTGTAGTCCTAGCTACTCGGGAGGCTGAGGCAAGAGAATGGCATGAACCTGGGAGGCAGAGCTTGCAGTGAGCAGAGATCACACAACTGCACTCCAGCCTGGGCGACAGAGCGAGACTCTCTTAAAAAAAAAAAAAAAGATTACTTTGGCTGTTGCGTGACTAACAGATTGATGTAGGGAAAGTGTTAGTAACAGAAGACTTGTGAAAAGGCCATTGCACAGTAGTTTGAAACCACCTGGGCAACATAGCAACACTCCATTTCTAAAAAAAAAAAAAAATTAAAAATTAGCCGGATGTGGTAGCACACACCTATAGTCCCAGCTACTCAGGAGGCTGAGTGGGGAGGATCGCTTGAGCCTAGTAGTTCAAGGCTGCAATGAGCTATGATTGCACCATTGCACACTAGCTTGGGCAACACAGCAAGATCCTGTCTCTTAAAAAAAAAAAAAAGACGAGGAAGGAATAATGTCTTAAAGTTTTTGAAATATCCACAGTACTTTTCCCATAGTAGGTACTCAATAAATGCCAAATAAATAAATTTATAAAACGTGAAGTGCCTAAAAAAACACCAAAAAATCTGCAACGGAGTGCGACATGCTGAGCAACATGGTGCTAGTCCAAGAACATTGACTTTGGAGAGCAACAAATTGGGCTTTAATTGCATTTCTGATACTTCTTAGCTATGTTGCTTTGGGGCAAGTAATTTAAACTCCCAGAGCTTGGGGCTTCCATGTCTGCACAATGGGAATAAGATGACTCACTGTTTTGTTTTAATGAACAAATTAAATGAGATAATGTATTTATAACATGGTGCCTGATTTATGGTAAGCCACTCAATAAATAGTGACTATTATAGTTAGCAGGACATGAGGATACCTTGAGACTGTGGTCAGTGAAACTTCAGTGTGATTACAGCCATGGGGAACAAGGCACCAGCGTTCCTTGGGATAAAGAGGAACACTTGGGACCTTTTCACAGTTGAAACTCTGTCTCCTGAATCTAAACTTGTGCTGGCCTTCAAATAATTGGATTTTCAAGTCTAAAGAGGAAGAAAAGGCCAGGCATGGTGGCTCACGCCTGTAATCCCAGCACTTTGGGAGGCCGAGGTGGGCGGATTACTTGAGGTCAGGAGTTTGAGACCAGCCTGACCAATATGGTGAAACCTCGTCTCTACTAAAAATATAAAAATTATCCGGGCATGGTGGCATATGCCTTTAATCCCAGCTACTCGGGAGGCTGAGGCAGGAGAATCACTTGAACCAGAGGTTGTAGTGAGCCAAGATCGTGCCGTTGCACTCCGTCTTGGGTGACAGACTGAGACTCCATATCAAAAAAAAGAAAAAAGAGGAAAAAAAAAATGGAAGAAACCTTTGGATAGGTTAGGGTTAGAATCTTTTCTCTCAGCTCAGTTCTTCCCTCTGATTTTAGGAGGAGTCAAATCCCTCTCCTTCCATTTCCAAGTTTAACAGAATCGTCCTAATGTATATGCCTCCTTGACACACAAAGTCCCTGAAGCAAGTTTCCACTTTTCTCTGCAAAAGCTCCCTGGAGCGCAGGGAGCTCTTGTCTTGTATCTAGTTAAATGCCTCGATTAAGGATGTAATCATAGTTGTTTGGCTCTGTAAATCATTTGACCCTCACCTAAAGCAGCCTGGGCCTCTGGGGGGCCCAGCAATGACCATTCTGAATCTGGGAGGACAGAGTGGAGCTGGAGATGGCTTTCACCCTTAGTGGAAAGACAGCCAGTTTTAGGGGGGGTAATATATTTTTCTTTTTCCCTAGGTTTTCTTGTCGAGATCGTGTGTGTGCTCACACACACACATGTGTGAGCAAAAGAGAGAATAAAAAGAAAGAGGAAAAGGCCCAACAGTGTACAGCAACTGCTAGCACAAAGGCCAGGGGAGGGACTTGCAGAGAAAGACAAGGAAGTGATTTTGCCCAGTTTAAATCCCACTTGAACCATGTGGTTTCTGAGTCCTGAACCTTTTGAGGTTCAAGTTGAGTGCACTCTTGACAAAACATGATTTTCTGGTTCACATCAAAAAGGCTTTAAAAGACTTCGAAGTCTTTTCCTTAGGACATCAAACAGTCCACAACAAAGCAGGGTGCTGATGAGATGCGTGCAAATGAACAGATTAAATTCTCTCCTGAGGATTAGATTCTCCTTAAGAAGCATGTGAAGTTGGAAACTTGGGAGATGGGGCAATGCCAAAACATACTCACACTCTTGGGACCCCAGAGCGCCCTCTCGTCTGTTTACCCCTGGCACCTCCCTGGGCCTGGAAGCTGACCTTATTTGTTATGAAGTTCACACAGAAGTGCCCAGGGAATTAGAAACTGAAAACAAACTCTTCAGGATTCTCTATCTTGCCTAAGGCAACACTTATGTCCCCCAGTAAAAGGTGTAAATTAACTTAGAAAAGATAGGTCATTCCTTTGAAAAACTGACAGTTGTTTGGGTGGCTTAGAGCACAATTTTGCTTATTGAACGAGCCTCAATCTTCAGAGAAGTAAGTATTTAGAAGACTACTACTGCCTTATGGCAAATGGAATAGCACGCTTTGGGAGTGGCATAGCAAACCAACCAATGCGGTAGACTTTCTGTTTCCAAGTGAGCAGCTAAAGCTAAAGTCGATTGCATAGACACAGCTGTGGGTGGGCCAACTGCATGAGCACAGTTTCTGAGCCAAGCCGCTAAAATATTAATGATTAGCTTTAAGGAGGAGCAATTCTGATTGAGGCCACTCTCCTGTTAGAAACCATAATTAGCAATTAAAATATATTCTAAAAACTGTTCCAACCAGCAGCTTTTAAATAAATAATTGTCACTGCTGATTGAACTTGTTTTATTTCCCTGTGATTTTTCTTATCTTCCCCCACCCCACCCCGCATAACTTACAACCCTGTAAATGCTCAGTAGCTGTTAATATGAGTCTGTCAATACATTTACCATGGTGACTTGGGCTGTATTTGGCGAGCATTTGAAGAAATCAGTCACTGGTTGGAGGGAGGAAAGACAAGCTGTCGATATCCAGGGAGAAATGCTAATAACCCTGGTGACAAATCGTCCTCTGGATTCTCTAAGGGTTAAGAAAAAGCACCTCTTAGACCTGGGAGCTCAGGGGTAAGGGATGGTGACTTGTTAGGAAGTGCAGACAGTAGCTGTCATGATCTGCAATGTCCTTTTCATTGTCTTGCTTTCAACCTCTCAAAACCACAGATGAGTTCTGGAGACAGACAGGCCTGGATTTGAATCCTGATTCAATCCACTGTGTAACTGTGTGATCTTGCAACCACTGAACCTTCATTTTCTCATCTGTAAATTAAAGATTGTAATACCTGGCCTCATGAGGGGTTGGGAAAGGCCTTAAACAGAGACACTAACTTACTGTTTCTCAAACTCTTCTGGGAAAATACACATATAGAAGAAAACTAACTTCTGCCCTCCAGCATTGCAATCGTGTATACAAAGGATCAACTATTAGAAGTCTTGTTTTTAGCTTAAATTTTTGTAAATTTTGTACTTTAGTTTGTTTTTTTGTTTTTGAGACAGCATTTTGCTCAGTCACCCAGGCTGGAGTGCAGTGTTGTGATTGTGGCTCACTGCAGCCTCAGACTCCTGGGCTCAAGTGATCCTCACACTTCAGCCTCCCAAGTAGCTGGGACTACAGGCACACACCCTTACACCTGACTAATTAAAAAAATTTTTTTGTAGAGATGGAGTCTCACAATGTTGCCCAGGCTAGTCTCAAACTCCTGGGCTCAAGCGATCTTCCTTCCTTGACCTCCCAAAGTGCTGGGATTATAGGAGTAAGCCACTGTGTCCGGTCTGTACTTCAGTTTTACTTTGTCAAAATAATGTTTTAATATGCCTATCATTAAGTAAAATTGGTACTCTGGTACGATTCATTAATTCGAGTACTTATTGAATACCTACTAGGTGCCAGGCAATTTTAGGCCCTCCGGATACAGTAATGAATAATACAGGTAAGGTCTAGGCTCCCATTGAGCTTACAGCTACATCAGCCAGGGAACCTAGTACTGGATGTTTCTTAGGTGGCCTGTGACCCATTTAAGGAGACAAAAACCCTATACCAGAGAATCCTATGGACAACCTCCCGCTGGCTATCTGCCATGATTTTTAGAGGAGAAAGAGAATAAAACACATAGACAAAAATCATTAGTATTTTGGTATGTATCATTCCAGCTTCCTTTTAATGAGTAGATAATAAGTAGATCAGTGTGTTTTGATATAAGTAGGGTCATACCAAATGCTGATTTGTTACTTTCTTTTTCACTTTTTCATTTATTACAGATACTACTGTATGTCAACATAAATCTCCATCACCATCACTACTCTTAAAAGCTTAGTATTCCATTGCAGGGATGCATTACATTTTATTTAACCAATCTCTGGTTGTCTAATTAGGATGTTTCCAGCTTTTCAATATTAGAAACAACATTACAGAGAACATCTTTGTGAATTTACTTTTGTCAAGCGTCTGATCATTTTCTTAGGATATATTCTCGAAAGTAGAAATGTTAGATAAAAAGGTAGGCATATTTAAATCTTTATGCCGCTTGCCGGATTACCTTTTTCTTTATGCTGTTATCAACACATTATGATAAATATTTTTAATCTTTGGCAATTTAGTAGACAAAATGGTTTCTTATTTATTTAATCTGTATTTCTTTAGTTACTAGTGAAGCTAAACATTTTTTAAAACACTTATTGGGATTAGTTTATCTTCTTTTTTGAATTGCTTATCCATGTCCTTTACAGGGTTTCCATCTTTTTCTAATTGATTTTAAGAGCTCTTTTTAATAGGAAGGATATTAATCTTTTTTAATCTATAATATTTGTTGCATTTTTTTTCAGTTTATCATTTGTCTTGGTACTTTAGGGTGGTGGAGCTTTTTGTTGTTGTTGTTATTTGTTTTTATTTATTTTTATTTTATTTTATTTAGTTTTATGCCTTGTGGAGCAGGGCTACCCCATAGGCAGTGTGTCCAGAATAGCCTTAAGTTTTTACTTTTTAACAAGGCATTTTATCATTTTTTTTTCCCTTTTGGCTTATCCTTAGAAAGCTGTAAGGCCACTTCTAATGAATCCCTAAAGCTATTCAAATGTGCAGTAGTTATCTCAAAGATAGTCCCCAGTTTTGGAAAAAAAATCTAGATCCTAAGTTCCTGTGGATGTCCACTCAAAGGGAAGATGAGAGGTACCAAGACCTGACAGAGGAGGGCCATAGGGTTTACAGCTAGTGGAAAATACAGACAGACCAGTCGTTGAAATAAAATGTGATGAGTGAGATAAGAGAAGTGTAGATGCTAGAGACGGGAACAAAAGGGAAACCTAACTGATCCAGGGACACAGGATATGCATCCTGGAGGAACAGATGCTCAAGTTAAGGTTTTGTGACTGAGTAGAAGTTAGCTAGGTGAAGAGTGGGGAAATACATTTCACGCAGGTAAGTAGCAAATGCAAAGACTTACAGTCTAGAACTATAAGTCATGGTAGCCACTGGCCATGTGGGTATATTTACATCTAAATTAATTAAAATTAAATAAAATTAAATTTTTATTTCATCAGTCCCATCAGCTACAGCTCAAAGGCTGACTACCCACATGTGACTAGTGGCTACTATATTGGACAGAGCAGGTACTGAACCTTTTCATCATTGCAGAGGGTTCTGTTGGACAGCTCTGTCCAGAAAGAGCTTGATGCATTCAGGGAACTGAAAAGGGTTCACTCTAGCCAGGTATGCAGTGTGCAAGGGTGGAGAGTGGCAAAAGATGAAGAGGACATGGCAAAGAATGGAGGGACTTAGTCAAAGCTGACCCTGGCATTGGGGCTAATGTTCCTAGCCAGTTGCTATTACAGAGAAAGTAAAGAGGAAATAAATTTAAAATTTACTGTTTAACAGCCCTGCAGGTAGACATTGTCTCCATTTTATATAGTGCAGCTGAGACTCAGAGAATTTAAGACATTTGACCAATATACAGCTAGTTAGTGGCAGAGCTGGGATTCAAAGACAGACCTGTCTGATGCCAAAAATCTGTGCTCTTCCCTTTTTGTCACTCCAGCAGACTTCAGAAAGCTCTACCCAGTGATCTCTTAGATCAGGATGGAAAGAATTCTGACTAAGAACAGACACCTTCTCAACTTGATGCTTTTTCTGTTGAGGCAGTATTAATCATGGGTGAGCTTGGGACCCAGCATGGAAGTAAAAGAGCTTAGAGCAGAGCTTTCTTTGGAGCTGTGCCTCCTGTTCCCTGAGTCTCAAAGAAAAACTCCTCCAGGTGCTCCAGAGGCCTTGACATTAGCCAGATTCAAGGATGAGCTCTTCCCAGGTGCTAACCCTCAGATCAGGACTGCATTGCCAAGGAGAGCCGCTGGCCTGCGGAGTCCCATGTGAAGCCTGTCAAGGGGGACCCCTGGACATCAGAATATATGACTTGGCTCATCCCCTCACCTAGAACCTGTTGTGATGGCCACTTCCAAGATATTATCATTGGAAAGAAAGAATGCTGATCCCCAGTTAAAGGGGGGAAATCCTTGCCCTAGTGCAATCCCATCTTGTCCAGCAGTTGAGAGAATAGTGTGTCAGGCCGTGCCTCCCCATCCCTAAGCAGCCATAGGGACTGAGGCTTTTAATTTGCTGTCACAGCTCCAGGCATTTTTCTGAGCCAGGAAAGTCATGCCTGGCAGGATGTTAAGGAGAATATTACCATCTGAATGTGAACTCTGGATTAGTCAGTCTCCCTAAATTCAAGATCTAGTATTTTCTAGGGTAAATATGGTACCTTCACATTTTCTAAGCTGGCATGAGTGAATGGCTATGTGGGAAGATAAAATGCATGATCATACAGAACAGGAATAATAAAGGGTGTAAATCTAAGGAAGAAGTAAAAGACGCAGTCAACATGATAGGGAGGAGGATGAGCCTTGGAGATGAGCAATATTCTGAAAGAAGAGAACATTTTAAATGGATGAGGAGGGAGATACTAGTGGCCTCTGCCTTGAAAGTAAGAAACATTTGTGGAGAACTGGGGAGGAAAGAATTGAGGAGCAGCTGGAAACTTAGTGTATGAAGAAGGTTAGTGATCTCAGTTAAATGTAGTGCAGAGAATACTCAAGACATGATAAGAGGAGTCAGCAGCATTTCATCATTCATTCCACACATTTATTGAGTACCTACTATGTGCTAGGAGCCATTAGGTCATAAGAATCCAATGTAAAGGAGACCTGACTTCTACCTTCAAGCATCTTACAGTTCTTATGGGGAACACAGATATGGAAACAGCCAAATACGTTACATTGAGGTTCACATTTTAAGAGGAATAAGTTATATGGTATAGTTCACAGGAGTAGCACCCAGCCTAGAATTATTAGGTCAGGAAACCCTTAAATACTGTCTTTATACTAATGAAACCCAAAATTATAACTCTTAACCTTGACCTTGTCCTCTAAGCTCCACACTGGTGCACACAGTTGCCTACCTGATGTCCCCAGTTGAATGTTGAAAAGACATTTCTTTTTTTTTCTTTTTTGACACAGGATCTTGCTCTGCCACCTAAGCTGGAGTTCATGGCATGCTCATGGCTCACTGCAGCCTCGGCCTCCCTTCCTCAAACTCCCTAGGCTTAGGTGATCCTCCCACCTCAGCTTCATGAGTAGCTGGGACTTCAGGTGTGCGCCACCACGCCTAGTTAATTTTTGTATTTTTGGTAGAGATGGGATTTCGCCATGTTTCCCAGGCTGGTCTCCAACTCTTGGGCTCAAGCAATCCACTCTCCTCAGCCTCCTAAAGTGTTAAGATTACAGGTGTGAGCCACCGTGCCCAGCCTGCATATTATCTTAAAAAGAGTCCAAAGGAGAGCTCTTGATTCTTTGCCCCGCTGCCGCACCACTCACACTCTTTTTTTTTTTTTTTTTGAGACAGGGTCTCCCTCCTGTTGCCGAGGCTGGAGTGCAATGATGTGGTCTCGCCTCACTGCAGCTTTGACTTCCCAGGTTCAAGCAATCCTCCCAGCTCAGCCTCCTGAGTAGCTGGAGTTACCGGCGTGCACTACCATGCTCAGCTAATTTTTTTGTATTTTTAGTAGAGACAGGATTTTACCATGTTGCCCAGGTTGGTCTTGAACTCCTGGGCTTGAGTGATCTGCCCATCTAGGCCTCCCCAAGTGTTGGGATTACAGGCATGAGCCACCATGCCTGGCCTACCCCTCTTTAAAAATAAACAAAGCCAGAAATAATCTTGCTTCTTTATGTCTCCCCATCTCAGATGATAGCACTGTTGTTCACCCAATTGCTTTGGCTGAAAAGTTAGGAACCCTCCCTGTTTGCTTTTCCACTCTTGTACCCAAGGGCCCTCTTACTCCACCCTCTTGCCTAGTGGAAATAAGACTTCTCAAATAACTGGTAGTGGCCCAAACCACATTGAACCATTTCACAATTTTGAGACCTAGATATTGAATCATTAGGATCCAGAACAAATATCTCTGCTGCTGAGCTTCACTCATGTGTATCTGGCTGCCTTCTAGACTTTTATTCTTGGATGTCGTGTGGGCACTGAATACTCAGCAGGACCAAAACCAGATTTACCATCTTCTCCCACTAAACCTGTATCTCCCTTTGTATTGCCTATTTTGATTTATCATGCTAATGTTATTCAAATTAGAAACAGGATCCCTCCATTACCTCACCCCTTATAACTAATCAATTTTCATGGCCTAACAATTCTGCTTAATAAATACCTCCATCTGTCCCTACTTCTTTTCCCATAGTTCATACTCTCCTGCTGTCTTAGCACACTGTTGCAGTAGGCTCCTAACATGCTCTGGCATTAGCATCTGCTGTCTTCCAGTTCATTCCGTATACCCTACTGATAAAGGTCTTGCTAACATGCAGACTTGTTCATGTCACCTGCCTACCTAACACCCCTCATTCCTATCACAAAAAAAGCCCACAAGTCTTCAGCCTCCCGTTCCAGGCTCTTTTCTCACCATTCTCCTCTTAGCTTTTCATTTATAAGCATATCTTGCAGTATGTAGCTGTTAATGAGTATTTTGGTTTTTTCCCCAAGTACATTTTTTTCTTTTATATTTTGAAATGTTGCATACATACAGAAAGGTGCACAAGACATGTGTACAGTTAAAAAATTATATGATGAACACTCATGAAACCACATCCAGCTCAAGAAATAGAGCATTAGCCAGGCACGGTGGCTCACACCTGTAATCCCAGCACTTTGGGAGGCCGAGGCAGGCGGATCGCCTGAGGTCAGGAGTTCGAGACCAGCCTGTCCAACATGGTGAAACCCCGTCTCTACTAAAAATACAAAAATTAGCCGAACATGTTGGCGCATGCCTGTAATCCCAGCTACAGAGGAGGCTGAGGCAGGAGAATTGCTTGAACCCGGGAGGTGGAGGTTGCAGTGAGCCAAGATGGTGCCACTGCACTCCAGCCTGGGCAACAGAGCAAGACTCCGTCTCAAAAAAAGAAAGAAAGAAAGAAATAGAACATTTCCAGCATGTGAGAAGCCCCTTGTATGTTTCTCCTTGATTATAACCCATCCTCTCTTACTTAGGTAATCACTATCTTGACTTTTATGATGATTACTTTTTTGCTTTTTAAAATAATTTTATCACACATGTAAACATCCCCAAACAATATAGTTTTGTATTTTGGGACGTTCAAATGAGAGAGATCATGTTTTTTTTTGTACTGTTTGTGTTTTGCTCTTTCTGTTCTTCACTAAGTTTGTGAGATTCATCCATATTATTGCATGTAGTTAGAGTTCTTTCATTTTTATTGCTGTGTAATGCCCTAATTTCCTTTCTTTTCTTTCTTTCTTTTTTTTGAAATGGGGGTCTCACTCTGTTGCTCAACTGGAGTGTGGTGGTGCAGTCTCAGCTCACTGCAACCTCCATCTCCCAGGCTCAAGCGATCCTTTGTCCTCAGCCTCCTGAGTAGCTGGGACTACAGCCACGCACCACCACGCCAAGCTAATTTTTGTATTTTTTGTAGAGACAGGATTTCGCCATGTTGGTCAGGCTGGTCTCAAACTCCTGGACTCAAGCAATTTGCCTGCCTCAGCCTCCCAAAGTGCTGGGATTACAGGAGTGGGCCACCATGCCCGGCCTACCTTGATTTCTATATCCATTCTGATGGTGATATACATTTGGGTTATTTATAATTCTTTGGTTCTTATGAAAAATGCTGCTATAAACATTTTTATGTGTATCCTGGTGTACAGGGCCTGAGTTTCCTGAGGGTAGAGACCCAAGAGTAGAATTGCTGCCTCCTGGGGAAAGTGTTTCTTCAACTTTACTAGCTAATGTCAAACTGTATTCCCAAGAGGTTCTACCAATTTGTTCTATTTTTAGCAGTATATAAGAATTTTTGTTGTTTCATGTTCCCACTAGTACTTGATATTGTCAGACCTTTTAATATTTAATCATCTTTCTGGATATATAAATTTAGTTTTTGTCTACATTCCCGTGGTTACTGATAAGCTAGAGCACCTTTTCATATGTTTATTGGCCATTTAAATGTTCTCTTTGGTGAAGTGCCTGTTCAATGTTTTGTTCATTTTTCTGTTGGGTTGTCTCTTTCCTAATTTCTTCATGTAGGCTTAGTATTTCTTCTGTTCAACTATTACAACTCATTAATATCTCCTATAAATATATATTCTAACTGATCTCTGTATCTCCAGTCTCAAACACTTTGATTCCATCGTCTTCATAGCTACCAGAGTTCTAAGAGAAACCCTGTTGTTGTAATTCCCGTCCCTAAAACCCTTCAATGACTCTCCATTGCCCTTGAAGTTAAGAGAAGGACAACATGGGCTGTGAGATCCTTGATCATCTACTCTCTAATTTCTTACTCCGGCTCTTGCTAGATCCTCTCAACTCCCTCCCCCTTCTTTACTGTAACCCCCATCTCTACCAATGCTTGTTGCTCCTTAAACACATAAAATTGTTTTACACTTGCATTTGCCATGGTTACCCTTTTTCTTCCCTTTACTCTTAATTGGGAGAATACCTGCACATCTTCTGAAACTCAACTCAAAGGTCCGCTCCTCTATAAAACCTTTACCAACTCTCCTTCTTATCCCGCCTCAATCCCTCCATCTTGTATTCTACGAAACACACTGTCTTTATTTCTAGCAAGGCACCTGTTTATTGCATTTATTGGTTAATATGCCTGCCTCTTCCATCATATTATACATGAGTCCTTTCAAGCCATGGGAAGCCCCTTGAAGGTAGAGGAATTGCTTCATCATCTTTTTGTTCTTGCGCCTAGCACAGTGTCTGGCACAGAGCAGGATATGATAAATAGTAGTAATTGTTATTAATGTTATTACTGGTATTGGGTATGATTGGGTGCCAATCTGTTTTCCTTATTAGACTGTAAATTCCTTGAGGAGCCTGGTACTTGGGTGGCATGTGGTAACATTTGTCTAGTGAATTAATAACTTATGAAAAACTTCTGAAAATCACAATTGCTTTAAGCAGTATTTGGAGTAGGAACATAAAAACATGAGTATTAACTTTGCAGAGAAAAAAAAGCTGGTTTACATCCATCTCATGAAGATGAAATCTTAGGCTCAAACTAGTTCAAAGTAAAATTTTATAAGAACAAACGTAATGTTTTATGCTTCGGTTAAAAAGTAAGGGGTAAAAGTGGGGAAAGCCTAACTTGTCAGTTCATATAGAAAAGAAGCTCAAATCTGTTATATGGTATTGTCTTTCATCTAAAAAATTAAGTTTTGCAGTGAACTGTAATTTGTGTGTGAACGTGACTGGGAAAATAAAAATTCTGCTAGAGAGAGTATGATTTGCTTAGCACCTATGTCTGCAGTCTGAAGAGCTTGTCACTGTTAAAGTGAAATCTTATAGATGTTTCAGCTAAGACTGTCTTTGCTCAAAAAGAGGGACCGGGCCGTTCCTTGGAGTAACCTTTTTTTTTTTTTTTTTGAGATGGAGTCTTGCTCTGTCACCCAGGCTGGAGTGCAGTGGCGTGATCTCGGCTCACTGCAACCTCCACCTCCGGGTTCAAGCAATTCTCCTGCCTCAGCCTCCCAAGTAGCTGGGATTACAGGCACATGCCACCACGCCCAGCTAATTTTTGTATTTTTAGTAGAGACGGGGTTTCACCATGCTGGCCAGGCTGATCTCAAACTCCTGACCTCGTGATCTGCCCACCTCGGCCTCCCAAAGTGCTGGGATTACAGGCGTGAGCCACCATGCCCAGCTGGAGTAACCATTCTTAAACTGTTTTCAATAAGGCATAATGGGTGAAGTTACGCAGATAACACTGTTTCATAGACACACCTGCAGCGATGCATAATTTCTGGTCCATGAGCTCTACCTCCACTTCTTTCTATCTCTCCCTTAAGAAGATGTATTGTAATGGAAATGAGCAATAGTGAAATTAATTATTATAGTGATAACCTTGATCTGCTCCACATTTTATTTCCTAAAAAAGCAAATCATTTTTCTAAAGTTCAATACTTTAATTATTAGTGTTAAGAAATTACTATATTCCTGACAATTGACATCTTGTTGAGAACGATATGTACAGCAGTATATTTTGTTTGTAGGAAGAAGAGAGGCTTTGGAGTCACACCAGCTGTGATTCATATAGCAGTTCAGTCATTGCCCTGTGATCCTGAGCTAGTTGCTTAATATCTCTGACTTTCATCTAAAAAATAGGCACCTACTTTACAAATTGCTGTCAGGACAATAAATAATTACGTAAAACAGCCAAGATAGTACCTACCCCCTAAATATCTTTCAAATCTATATACATATCTCTGTTCTCCCCGCTACAGCCCTATTTTAAGTCACTAGCATCTATGTTCTGGATTATTTAGCACCCTTCTAAATGGTCTTTTGCTTCCAGTCTTGCCTGCCCTAGTTTTGTTCAGAGCAAAGGATGTTGTAAAAGCTGACTTGAACCACTAACAGGTGTGTCCCTGGTATGGAGATGAATATGTAGCCGCCATGGATGAATGTGTGGTATGGAGATGAATATGTATCACATGACAGGGACTGGTTTAGCATTTTATGCATTATCTCATTTAACCCTCACCATAAGCCAGTGAAGTATTATTCACCCTTTAAAAACCGGAGTTTAGAGAAGGTGAGTGACTTGCCCACTGCCACTCTGCTGGGACGTGAATAATTCTATGTGTGTCCAGGCCTCTCTGGTTCCAAAGCTGATGCTCTGCCCCTGCTTCATGCTGCCTGTGCTGTTCAGTGTTCTAATCCTATTTCTAAGTCCCTGCCTTCTGGGCTTACTGTACACTCCTGGTAACAGCTTTGCGCGTCGCTTAGCTACGGGGAGATGATGGTGGATGCAAACATCTGATTTTCCTGACAGTCACATTCCCTTTAGTATATTAATAAACTGACATTGGCCGGGCAGTGTCACGCCTGTAATCCCAGCACTTTGGGAGGCCAAGGTGGACGGGTCACTTGAGGTCAGGAGTTTGAGACCAGCCTGGCCAACATGGCAAAACTCTGTCTCTACTAAAAATACAAAAATTAGCTGGGTGTGGTGGTGTGCGCTTGTAATCCCAGCTACTTGGGAGGCCGAGGCACGAGAATCGCTCGAACCTGCGAGGCAGAGGTTGCAGTGAGCCGAGATTGCCGCACTGCAGCCTGAGTTGACAGCAAGACTCCGTCTCAAAAAATAAATAAGTAAATCGACATTCTGGTTTTATACTTCAGTTTTTTTCAGACTTAGATGCATGTGCCTGCCTGGGTTCTCTGGACTCTGACAGGATTGAGTTTCTGGACTAGCAAGGCTGAGGGCCAGACTCTGGTCTTTGATAAATTTGATAAGGGCAATATCATGTGGCACAAGCCTTCTTGCAGCCAACCTGCTGCTCCAAGCTGCAACTTTCTGATGCCTGCAATTAACCTTGATGACACTGATGAAAAATCTTATTTGGTTTGAAACCTTGATGCTTTTATAGACTTTTAGATAGTAACAGAAATGAAGACTGTCTACACTTGGTTTCCTTGAGATTTAGGAAACTTCTCAAGCATTTAATCAACAAACATGTCTTGAGACCTATAACAAGGGGAATACAAAGAAATTTAGTGTCTCGCCCTTGCCCTCAAGATGCTTCCAACGTAATTGAGAACATTAGAGTTTTTTTAAGACCCACAATTCAAAATACCGGATTACAGTACTTTCACATAGTAAACGTTCTGTGTGTCCAAATGGGTTTCAAGTGAATGCTTGATATACCTGAGCCTGACTTTTATGTGGAAGCTTGATAAATATTTGTTGAATGATTATTGAGTATTGGCCTCCCAGACACTGCTCTCTCCTAGGCTTGACTCTAGCTCTGTCCTCTCCAAGACGCTGCAGACTTAGGATATTTAGCTACTCACTGTACAACCACACCTCAATGAATCTTCCGTCAGCACCTCAAACTCAACATGTCAAAACTGATTGTATTAACTTTCCATGTTTGGAGAGGCAGCATAACCTCAAAGTTAGGAGCATGGAGTCTCGGATATTGGTTTTAGTCACAGCTCTAGCTAGCTGAATGACCTGGAGAAAGTCTCTAAACTGTTCTTTCTTTGTGTGAGGAAATATAGGTTTACTCTTGGGATTCGATGAGATAGTGGATACAGCACATTCAACACGATACCTGCACACAGTCAGTAATCATTAAATGTTAGCTATTATCATCCATAATTGCCCCCAAAACTTCCAATTTTTCCTGTCTGGTAATGATACCATTATCCACTTGAACCCTCTTCTTCACGCCATCTCAGCTAAAGAGTTAGCAAAAACTGTATATTCTACCTTTTTTTTTTTCCTCACCCTGTCACCCAGGCTGGAGTGTGGTGGTGCTATCACTGCTTACCGCAGCCTCAAACTCCTGGGCTCTGGTGATCCACCTACCTCAGCCTCCCAAGTAGCTGGGATTACAGGCATGTGCCACCATGCCCAGCTAATTGTTTTATTTTTTGTAGAGACACGGTTTTGTCATGTTGTCCAGGCTGGTCTCTAACTCCTAGACTCATGTGATCCGCTCCCCTAGGCCTCCCAAAGGGCTGGGATTGGGGTATGGGCCATGGTGCCCCTCCTATTCTACCTTTTTATTTTCTCTCAGATTATGATTCATTCAACATACACTTATGTGACATCTACCGAATACCTAACACATTGCTAGGTACTGAAGTCACAGAGATGAATACTTATCAGTTTCTGTATCTGTAGAAGCAAATACATCTGTACCTGCAGACTTCAGATGATCCACGTAACGGAGATACAGAAAGTATGTTTAAAAAAGAAAAATTTCTGAGCTGGGCGCAGTGGCTCACGCCTGTAATCCCAGCACTTTGGGAGGCCGAGGCAGGCAGATCATCTGAGGTTGGGAGTTCGAGACCAGCCTGACCAACAGAGAGACCCTGTCTCTACTAAAAATACAAAATTAGCCAGGCCTGGTGGCGCATGCCTGTAATCCCAGCTACCCCGGAGGCTGAGGCAGGAGAATCGTTTGAACCTGGGAGGTAGAGGTTGCAGTGAGCCGAGATTGCGCCATTGCACTTCCAGCCTGGGCAACAAGAGCGAAACTCCGTGTCAAAAAAAAAAAGTCTGAAAGTGATTTCCCGTCCTCTTTTCAAAACCAGTGCCCTTGCGAAGCCTGCATTGCCTCTTACTGTAGATATAGCAGGAGGTTGGGTTTTTTTAATTGGTTTTGAAATGTATAGGTAAAACATAAATTCATGCCCATTGCAAAAAAAAAATAAATTACAGAAATAACTAAAAAGTAAAAGCTTCTTACTCCACCTCTTTAATCTTACTCCCTTCCACAAACGTAAATAACTGCGCTGTTTACTGTTTAATAGGTACCCTTGAAGACCTTTTCTATTTATACATGTATACATTTATGTATATTTATGTAGATAGAAATATAGTTTTTATACAAATGGGATGATAACCATAAACGTGCTTCTTCCTTTTTTCACTTAACTATGTGTGTTTTCAATTTTTCCATGTCAGTACATAATAGAATTACCTTATTCTTTTTAACTCCTAAATGGTATTCCATATTTTGGAACTACCACAATTTATTTGGTTATTTTCCTGTTGGAAGCCTTGTAATTTACTTCCAGTTTTTCATAATTGCAATCAACGCTGCAGCGAACTTTTGGCACATAGGTTTTTATAGACACATCTAGTTATTTCTGCAAGTTTCTAGAAGTGGAAGTACTGAGTTAAGAGGTGTTTTTGTGAGGCTGTGCTAACTTACCCTTAAAAAAGACTGTACTTGGCCCCACGTGGTGGCTCACGCCTGTAATCCCAGCACTTTGGTAGGCCGAGGTGGGCGGATCACGAGGTCAGGAGATCCAGACCATCCTGGCTAACACAGTGAAACCCCGTCTCTACTAAAAATACAAAAAATTAGCGGGGCGTGGTGGCGGGCACCTGTAGTCCCAGCTACTCAGGAGGCTGAGGCAGGAGAATGGCGTGAACCTGGGAGGTGGAGGTTGCAGTGAGCCAAGATCGGGCCACTGCATTCCTGCCTGGGCGACAGAGTGAGACTCCGTCTCAAAAAGAAAAAGAAAAAAAAAAAAAAGACTGTACTTGTTTACATTCCCATCCAAAAGAGAGAATATTCATTTACATAATGAGAATAATCATTACACATCTCACCAACACTGGATATTATCAGTCCTTTAATTTTTGCAAATCTAATGAATAAAAGTATATTGTTCTTTTATAGATTTTCTGTGGCTACTAATGAAATTGAGCATGCTTTCATATATTTATTGATTATTTCTATTTGTTCTGTGAATTGCCTGTTTATATTGTCTTTTTCTCTATTAGATTGTCTTATTCTTTTTAGTTTGAAGGTTCTCTCCATTACATTATGATATTAATTCTTTCTCTGTGATATGTGTTGCAAATATTTTTTCCTGGTCTATTGCTGGTCTTTATTTACATTGTCTTAAATCATACATAAGGTTTTAATTCTTTTTTATTTTTGATTTTATTTTATTTTTTTTTGAGACGGAGTCTGGCTCTTGTCGCCCAGGCTAGAGTGCAATGGCATGATCGGCTCACTGCAACCTCAGCCTCCTTGGCTTAAGTGATTCTCCTGTCTCAGCCTTCCGAGTAGCTGGGATTACAGGCATGGGCCACCACGCTCAGCGAATTTTTGTATTTTTGGTACAGATGGGGTTTCACCATGTTGGCCAGGCTGGTCTCAAACTCCTGACCTCGTTATCCGCCCACCTGGGCCTCCCAAAGTGCTGGGATTACAGGCGTGAGCCACCGCGCCCAGCCTTAACTCTTCTGTCAGTCTTTTCTGTTATGGCTTCTGAAGTTTGTGTTTTGCTTAGGAAGGGTATTCCTACCCCTTAGAAGACGTTATATGTTTTAAATTTTCCTTTCAATAATTTGATAGTATGTAGTGTGAATTAGGTTTATAACTTTAAGAGAATTTCCAGTAGTCCCAACACAATTAAATAGTCCATCATCCTTTTCCTACTGATTTAAAATGCCAGGCTGTACATGGGTTTGCTTCTGAATTCTGTTCTACTCCTTGGATTTTTTTATTTTTGGTCCATTTGTGTGCAAACACCACACTGTTGTGATTATTGTAGCATTATAGAATTTTTAAAAAACCTTATGAGGCCAGCTGGGTGCGGTGGCTCACGCCTGTAATCTCAGCACTTTGGGTGGCTGAGGTGGGCTGATCGCTTGAGGTCAGGAGTTCGAGACCAGCCAGACCAACGTGGTGAAACCCCGTCTCTACTAAAAATACAAAAATTAGCCGGGCTTGGTGGCGGGCGCCTGTAATCTCAGCTACTCAGGAGGCTGAGGCAGGAGAATTGCTTGAACCCGGTAGGCAGAGGTTGCAGTCAGCCGAGATCGCGCCACTGCACTCCAGCCTGGGCAACAGAGCGAAACTCCATCTCAAAAATAATAATAAAAATAAATAAATAATAAACCGTATGGGGCCAAAAACTGTGTATTCTACCTTCTTTTTTATTTTATTTTACTTTGTGGATTTTTAGTAGAGACGGAGTTTCACCATGTTGACCAGGCTGGTCTCGAACTCCTGACCTCAAGTGATCCACCTGCCTTGGCCTTCTTGAAGTGCTGGGATTACAGGCGTGAGCCACTGTGCCCAGCCTCTACCTTCTTATTATCTTTCCTTTTTCTTTGCCTCAGTAGTTTTTGTTCTCATACTTTTCTTGACTGCTTTTATACATCTTCTCCCAGGTGAACTTTAGAATAAATCTGTCAGTTCCATAAAATATCTTATAAGTATTTTGATCAGAAACTCATTAAATTTATAGTTTAATTTGAGTTTCATCCAGGAATATGATGTGTTCCTTATTTATTTTTGTCTTCTTTTAATGTCTTTCAATAAAATTTACAATTTCTTCATATAAATCTTGGACATATTGGTGAGTTTAGTTGCATGTATTTTACAGTTTGCTTGCTATTGTACATCTTCCACCATGTCTTTCTATTTGGTTATAGTTGGTGTATAGGAAAAGGATTAATTTTTGTGGCTGATCTTTTATTAAGGCTTTACTAAAATATAGTATTAGTTTTAAATTTTACAGTTCTTAGATTTTCTAAGTTGAAAATTAAATCACTTGTAAATAGTGATGGTTTTATGTATTTCTTTGTGATGGTCTTTCTTTTTCTTGTCTTATTGCACTAGTTAGGACTTCCAGTGCCATATTTAGTAGTTGCAACTATAGCAATGAAAGCTGCCATATTTATCTTGTTCCTGACTTCAATAGGTATGGTGAATATTCTTAACAAATTAAATAAATTTTCTTCTATTACTGGTTTTGCGAGAGTTTTACATTTTTTATTTTGTTTTTTATTTGTTTTCCTGCTTGCCTCTTAAAATCAGGAATGGATATTAAAATATATATAACTTTTTGAAGGATCTTTTCATGGTGATCATGAGGTTTTACCTCCTGTAAACTATTAAGGTAATGGATTATATTAATAGATTTCTAAATACAGAACCATCCCCTGCATTACTAGATAAATTTTATCTAGTCATGAAAATTGTTTTTTTAAGAACAGTTAAGTCTAAGATATTTGCATTTATGTTCTTAAGTAAGCTAGTAGTCTTCTTTATTTATGCTATCTTTGTCTATTTTTTATATTGGAGCAATATTAGTTTAGTGCAATGGTTCTCAAATGTTTGGTCTTAGGACCCATTTGTCCTCTTAAAAATTATTGAGGATCCACAGAGAACTTTGTTTATGTAAGTTACCTATCAATGTTAGAAATTAAAATGGAGAAAATTTTAAAACACAAGAATATACAAGCATGCATTTTGTTATTAATAGTTGCCAGAGCAATGACATCATCACATGGCATTCCATTAGCCTCTGGAAAACTCCACTTTACACTTGTATGAGAGAATGAGAGGGAAAGAGTCAAAACATCTTAGTATCATTATCAAAATAGTTTTGGGTGTGTGGACTCCCAGATAAGTCTCAGGGATCTTCACATATCCCTAACCTACACTTTGAGATCTGCTGATATGGCAGAATGAGTTTACCATTCTTCCTATGTACTAAAATAAGTAACTTAGAAATTATTTATGTGTTGAAGGTAGAACTCATCTGTAAATTATTTGAAACTGATGGTTTTTGGAATGGTATATCTTTGCTTATCATTTCCATTTCCCCTACAGTTAATGTTCTACTCAGGTTTTATATCTCTTCTTGGGTCAATTTGTAAATTTATGTATACTGGAAAATCATGGAATTTCATGTAGATTTTCATTTCTTTAAGAGTAAAGTCATGCTTACATTACAATTTTTAGATTTTCTATTGAAAATTAAATCCCCCTTTTTTTCCTTCTAATACTATTTACCTGTGTATTTTCTCTTTTATTCTCATTTGGATTTGCCTTGGGTTTAACTATTTTATTGCTGTGTGTTAGTGTGTTTTAAAGAACATTTTTTGGTATGATTACTCAAGTTTATTGTTTTTTTGTTTGTTTTTCAGTCTATCTTTACTAATTCATTTATTTTGGTGGGTTTTTTTTTTTAAGTCAGATTTATTGAGGTATAATTCATATATAGTAAAAACCCTTTACAGTGTACAGTTCTGTGAGTTTTGACAAATACATATAATCATTTAACCACCACCACAATCAGGGCATAGAAGAGTCCTACCACCCTCAAAAATCCCTTCATTCCCCTTTGTAGTCAGCCTCTTCTCTCCTGGCATCTTGTTTCCTGTTTTGGTAGTTTCTTCCTTTTTGTTACTGAGTAGTATTCCATTATGTGGATATACCGCCATTTGTTTATGCGTTCACCAGTCAAAGGACATTTAGATTGTTTCCAGTTTGGGGCAGTTATGAATAAAGCTACTATAAACATCTATGAACAAGTTTTTGTGCAAACGTAAGTTTTCTTTATTCTTGAGTAAAGAACAATGAGCAGAATTGCTGGGTTAAATGGTAAGTTTAAGTTTGACTTTATAAGAAATTGCCAAGCCATTTTCCTGTCATTCTCTGTTCACTAGATTTGCTTACTATTTGTTTTGCTCTTTCCTTTGCTTCTGTCAAATCTCTGTTTTTGGGATGTGAGTTTAGACTCCTTACTATGATTCCCTTTAGCGAGGGCATAGGACACACCAAAATGCCTCAAGCACAAAATGCCAAGGAGGACACCTCAGTGACAGGATGGGAAAATGGAATCATAGGAGGGAGAGGAGAAAAATAAGAAAGAGGAAAACGGAGAGCAAAAGAAGGGGAAGAAAAGAAATGAAAATAAAATGATGCATAGGAAGGCAGCGGTGAGTGCATGGAGCTAGCAGTGAGACTTTCTAATAGTCTTGTTGCCAGTCTCCTGGGGGCTCATGGGGCTCTCAAAGAAAAATTTATGGGATGGAAAAAATGTGGTAGGGATTTAATAAATATTTGATTAACTGATTGATTAATTCATTAAGGAGCTTGGTATTTTAAGTAGGTTATAAGAAACAAGTTTGTTAGAACTGCAAAGGCATGAACTGGAGACAGTAAAAACATTGAAAACCACATGGAAAGATGAATAAGTTGAGAGAGAAGAAGAACCCTGAAAACTGATCTAATGGTCTGGAATAAGAAGAGGGGTCGGCACTGGAGATAATCAACTAGTCATAAAACTACATAAATACAACACAGATTGTTTTGGAATAAACACGGGAACTTAGTGAAGATCAAGGGTGACCTTCTGAGTTCTCTAGCTCTAGCACGTGCCATCTGTCCCTGACTGACACCTGAACCGATCTCAGAACACCCTGGGGCCAGACAGCTAAGTGATGAGGAAGGAGTGGTACTGAGGGAGTGTAAGCTTTGGGGTGGGAGTAAGGGGTAAATTAAATGCCTCCAAAGATCCCTCTAGCTTTCAGATCTTGTGATGCTTGTGAAAATATTGCTAGAGTGTCATATTCTTAGAATAAGGATTCTCTTAATTTGGAGAAAGGCCCTAAGACCTTCAAGGGGAAAGAATACACAAAAGCCATTGGGTAATCCAAGCCAAGACAATTACCATTAGTCTCTGGAGGTGTTTAATTTAAGAGAGAAAGAAGTTCCTTTCCACTGAAGAATTAATGGAATTATTTGGTTACCAAGGGTCCAATGTTCCTATTATGAAGTAAGGTAACTGCATGTTGTAGAAGAAGGAAAAAATGGTAGCAGGACAGATGTCTTTTCCCTTCAGATTATATGAATTTTGTGCATGGCTTTCACATTACATTAACTATGAGTTTAGTCCTTCCCTCACAAGAAAGATCATTCACTTTTCAGAGTGCCGGAAAGCCCATGGAGTTGAGATACTATATAAATGTCATGTGAGAAATGACATTAAAAAGTTGCACTATTTAAGAAACATTTATTAAGGACCTACTAAGCACTGGGAACTGTTTTAGGCACTGGGAATACAGCAGTGAACAAAACAGACCAAGTCCCTGTCCTCAAGGAGCTTCGTAAGTTTTGGTAGGAGCACATGGGGTCAAGGAAGTCTTAAGAAAGGAGTGACATTTGCTGCACTTCCTATCTGTTGTCTACGTGGCAGCCAGAAGATTTCTAAAATCACAAACCTGAAAACGTTATTCCCTTGCTTAGGTCTCACCAATGGCTCCCTTTTGCTTTTCTGATGAAGATCGAACTTATATTGCCATGGCCTGCACAGTCCTGCAGGGTCTAGCCCTCTCCCTCTCTGGCCTCATACCCCTCTGTCTCTTCCATCTGGGGTAGGACATCCTGCAATCCCATCACACTGGACTTCTTTCAGTTTCTCCATCATGTCACCCTTCCTTCTGCCTCAGTGTCTTAGCACCCGCTGTTCCCTGGATCTGGAACACACGTCCCCCCAACCCCTCCTGCTCCTACCTATCCCCAACTGCCGCCAGTCTTGCCCAGTTACACCCACGTATCCTTCAGCTGTAGCTCCAATGTTAATTCCTTAGAGTTTTCCCAACCGTTTCCCCTTCCCTGCAAGCTATATATACTCTCCCAACACCCTCCCAACACTCTACCTTCCTCTCTCCTCTTCCTCCTCTTCTCTGCCCCTTCCCTTGAACACTAAACAAATGAACACACAAATAAATATAAAATAGTAAATTGAGATAAATGCTTCAAAGGAAAAGAATAGCTTATCATAACATTTCAATAGGGAAACATCATTTTATATATATTATAGAAATATATTAGTTCATTCTTCACTCAATAGGTGCCCAGAACTATTTGTTGAATGAATGAAAAAATGAATGAAAAAAATTATGAGTAAGATTTCTCCAATTAGAGAGGGAGTGAAGATAATTCCAGGCAAAGAAAATGACACAGAGATACTGAAGCATGAATGAAGTAACTGGCAGATGACTAGAAAGACGGGCAAGAGGGACTGGCTCCTTTACAATAAGATGGTAAAGGTAGGCGGGATACTACTTATAACCTTGGATTTTTTTTTTTTCTGGTTGAGAGTAGGGGTAGATGGTGGAAATTAAAAGTATTTAAGCAAGGAAGCGTTATATTTAGATCTGCGTTTTAGGAAGATAGCTGATTCTTCATCTAGGGCTGTTCCATGTCTGAAATTTTAAGTTCTGAAACAGAGAAGTCCTTCTCATTCAGCATTGCTACTAGGTTGCTTAATCAAAGTCAGTTAAAGTGGTACATCATAAAAAGTACCACATATACTACATATATACTTTCAACATTGCATTCTAACTTAGAAATGCACAACCACTTGCTAGTCTTTGGGTAGAGTGTCAGGGCCTTTTATCAAGTGTGGAGTCCTTGATTCCTGAACAACCATATCCATATTGACTTGTCTACGGATTTTGGCTTCGGCTTCTTTACAATAGAACAAGAAAGCCAGGTGTGATGGCTCACGCCTGTAATCCCAGTGCTTTGGGAGGCTGAGGTGGGAGGATTGCTTGAGCCTAGGAGTTTGAGACCAGCTTGGGCAACATAGCAAGACCCTCCCTCTACACAAAATAAAAAATAAAAAAATTAGCAGGGCATGGTGTAGGCACCTGTAGTTGCAGCTACTTAGGAGGCTGAGGTGGTAGGATCACTTGAACCCAGGCGTTACAGTGAGCTATGATCATGCCACCGTACTCCCAGCCTGAGCAGCAGAGTGAGACACTGTCTCTTAAAAAAAAAAATAACAAGAAACTTAAATATTCTTATGAAATAGCCTCTGCACAGACTCCATTGTTAGGATTTTTCCAGTTTTTTTTTTTTTTTTTACTAATATCATAATGGTTAGGACAGTCTCTCAAGCCAGACCACCTGGGTTCAAATCCTGGATGTACCATTTCCTAACTTGGGTAAGTTGCTTAGCCTTTTTGTGCCTCAGTTTCCTCAGTAACCACTTCAGAGAGTTATTGTGAGGATGAAATGGCTATTTTATATAAAGCCTTAATATACTGCCTGATACATAGTAAACATTCAATAAATGTTAACTGTTTTCTAGTTGTCTTACCCACACCCAATTCAATAGCATTTAAAAAAGAGATTTACCTTTATGAAACTTCCCAAAGTATCTGATTTAGTGTTCTTAGAAACAACAGTTCTCTTTCTTTTCGCACGATTGGTTTACATAATGTTTAATTAAATTATGTAAATGTAATAACTACTACCACAGGAATAAAGAAATTTTGGAACAATCACAGTGACTTACACTCAGCTGGTAAAAGTGGAAGTAGTATATGTGTGTGGAAGAGTGGCCTGCCAGCCGTGAGCATTCAGAGCACTGTGTCCATTAACTGGAACATATTACAGCTGGAATGGAAAGTTTTAGTTAACCCAGTAAGTCAGTAGGGAAGAGGCTGGTTAAGAGAGCATCCACTCTTGGACGACAGCCTCTACCTTGCAGCTTCCTCTCTCCCTTGCTCCTGTTATAACTGTGCTTTCATCTCATTGACTGCCTAGATCCAAGCCAGACCTTTAATGTCCCAAAGCACCAAAAAAGAGAATGTTCCCTTATGTAATTTAAAATGAAAACAATTCTAACTTGTAAAATAAGTGTAAGGAAGTTCAATAAATTTCTGACTTTTACCATGGTGATTCTTTTGGTGGGTTTTTTTTTAATTTCAAGGTTTTTCTAAAAATATGTTGTGGGGGTTCACTTTGCTTTTTGGATGCCCTAAGAATGTGTTTATCTATTGAGTAATCCAGCACTGCCTTTGACGCTTCCATTTCTTCCCAACCTCTCAGCCTTCTCCCAGAATTACTTCCTTTCCTACTGAGCCTACATCTCATGATCCACCACTTTTAAATGCTGTCTTGCCAATGTCTTCTACCCAATTTCCTTACACACTTGTCCTCACACAGAACCCCCCCTAATAAACCCCCCAAAACTGGTATACTGCATTTGAGATAACTTTGTAGCTTCCAGGTAAAAATGTCCAAAAAGTAGTCAGACACAAAATCTGAAACCCAGGAGACGAAGTAAGGGTAGATAAAGGAATTTGGGGATCTTCGAACAAAAAAGTGAGATTTGATCCTGTGCAGGTGGACCACATGGCCAAAGAAAGGCATGTAGAGTGGGAAGAGCAAGAGCTGGACTGAGAACTCTGGGAACACCACTGTGTAAGGGGTAGGTGGAGCGGAACTGCCGATGAAAGAGGGAATATCCACATGCAAGGAAGCCTGAATCCAAGGAAGGAGAGCTTCAGGAAGGAGTGATTATGGATGTCAAGTGTATTAAAGAGGTGAGGTCAGATTAGACAATACCTAGAACCTAGTAGGTTCTCAATGCATACTTGCTAACTGATGGATTCACCAAGACCGAAACAGTCAGGAAGTCACTGATGATCTTGGTGCTTAGTTTGAGTTTTCCTAAAAGTGGACCCTGAGACGAGGATTAGTCTATTTGAAAGATGAAGAACACTGGTGTGTGTGGGAGAGGGGGATGAACAGGGAGGGGACGGCCAGTAAAGGGTGAATTAAGCCAGCAGCCACCCTGGGCAATTATAGCTTAATCCCAACGGGAAAGTTCAGGGAGTCAGTGCAGAACACCCACCTCATCGTTCCTCGTCTCACGGGGTGAGGGAGCTCTTTCAGGTCATTGGTTGAGGGCTGTTCTTAGAGGGCATTAATTCACTGACATTTCCAGCCTGCTGCTTGGGCAGCAGAACAGACCCCGGCTGTGAGAGAAATCCCTCAGGTGAATGAATGCAGGTACCAGCGCCTGGAAGCCTGGGGTTCACTGAAGTAGTAAGGGCAGGGGATACTGGTAGGGCAGTGACATCCTCTAACACCTGGTACCTGCAGTTTCACTGGCAGAAGCTAGACTGCTGTGGAGCAGTAGGAAATTGGAAGTGAGAAGTGGAGGAAATGGGTGTAGGTAACTATTTCAAGATGTTTGGCTGAAAAAATAAGATAAAAAATATGTCAGTAGGCTGATTCTGCGAAGGGTAGGAAAAAACAGGGTAAAATGGGAGATCGGAGAGTTCTTCGATCATTGAGGGTTCATTGAGGGTTCTCACAAAACTTCCCTGTTTTTAGTTAGGGGAGAGGAGGTCAGCTGCACTAACCACTTCTTACTTCAGGATCCTCTTTTAGCTTCCCCAGACAAGCGCCCAGTGTTTCCTCTGCTAGACTTTGGGTCCTGGGTTCCCCAGCTAAAGAGGCCGTGCTGGTACAGCCTCACATGCTAGCAATTCTAAGCCTGAAGTGCCAGAGGAATAGATTGAATATAGCTGCAGAGCAGACTGGGACACGTGTGGAACACGGTGGCCAGATTCTGAACCCTAGGAGAACCACAAGGTCAGAGGAGACCTTCTGAGGGGTCTGCCGCTGCTGAGGGACTCCTTGCATTCCTGGCCTTCCCCCTTCCCTGTCAGCACATCTCAATAATTAGTTTGGTTTGGGTGTAACAGACCTGCCCCATAGAAGGAACCTTCCTGGGACATTCATCTAAATAACTCTTTGATTGATGTCTCTCTCTTAGCTAAAGCTTAAGCTCCCGGGGGCAGGGACGGTATTCATTTCAGCACTATTGTATCCCTAGAGTCTGGTGCCTAGTCAGTACTCAATAAATATTGCATATTTAATGCAAAAATACCCAGCAACAGGTAATGCTGTCTATTGATGGTGCCTACACCAAGAAAAAGGTAAAACCAGGATTTTTATCCTTCTAGAAGTGGATTTTCTATGCAGTTAATGAATTTAAACTTACAGGTCCCTTACTTGCATGAACTCCTTTAAAGACCCTGGAAGAGGCCTTAGTGATATTTTTACATGGTTACATTTTTTCATGTTGCAAAAATAAAATACTTTAATCAAAATTAAGACTCTTGTTTTCCGTCTGAGTTCATATTTCCCCTCCTGGAGCGGCGTTGGAGTGGCTGTGGATGTTTTGGTGATCTGTTTCAGGAAAAGCAGAGTTGGGAGTATATTTTATATTTAGTTTATTTGAGTATATTTTGTATTTAGTTGATGCATCTGTTTATGTGGTTTGCGGTCTCTTCTGTGTAGAGTTAACTTACTCCTGCCTGTCCTGGTATATAAATGGCTCTCAGGAGTACTGCTACTGCCTACTATGCTAATTAACTGGGTCAGGCCATGAAGGTGCATGATGAGAGCTTGTCAGGGGACATGAATGTGTCCTATGATGCTCTGCAATGGAAGAGAAACAAAGCTTAAAATGTATGGATCCAGAAACTAGTCCTCACATATGTAAAATTGTAAGTGAAAATTTTAGTTCTTGTTAATGGCTGGTCAAAATGAAACCTCGCATCTGTCAGGAATACATCTTAATGCAGTGTATACAATTGTAAATGTATCATATTTTTTTCTTTTCTTTTTTCTTTGTTTTTTTTTTTTTTTTTTTTTGAGCCAGAGTCTTGCTCTGTTGCCCAGGCTGGAGTGCAGTGGTGCCATCTTGGCTCACTGTGACCTCCATCTCCCAGATTCAAGCGATTCTCCTGCTTCAGCCTCCCAAGTAGCTGGGATTACAGGGGCACACCACTATGCCCGGCTAATTTTTTTTTCTTGTATTTTTAGTAGAGATGTGGTATCACCATGTTGGCCAGGCTCATCTCAAACTCCTGCTCAAGTGATCCGCCCGCCTCGGCCTCCCAAAGTGCTGGGATTACAGGTGTGAGCCACCACGCCTGGACATATATATATTTTTTAATGGGAATCACATGAAATGGAATTTATTAAAATTCCTGTGTTTATAGTGTATAAGTCTGTAGCAATACTACTAACAATGAGTGCATTCTTATGTGAAGTATATACACATCTCCAAAATATTGACCAAAGGTAACATAAAACTCATAATATGTCGCTATAACCAGGACACCAATAATAAGCTGTAAAAGAGTATCAATAAAGTCTGAGAATATTAAGGAAAATTTGAAAGGCCATGAAATCTTACAACTCCTATATGAAAGAAACTTGATAGAGGTTTCCCCAAATTTCACATTAATCCTTGACATTTATATAACAGTACTAGTAAGGGGTTTTGAAGTGGAAAGAAATTCTCTAAGCTATCAGTTATAAACAAATTTTGGTCAACAATGGTAGAAAAAAGACAGGATTTTCTATTTTCTTTATAGAAAAATGAAGTATAGATGCTTCAAAATTGTTCACATGAAGAGTCAGAGTCCACAGCTTAGAAAATACAAGAAAGGCCGGGCACGGTGGCTCACGCCTGTAATCCCAGCACTTTGAGAGGCCGAGGTGGGCAGATCACAAGGTCAGGAGATCGAGACCATCCTGGCTAACATGGTGAGACCCTGTCTCTACTAAAAATACAAAAATTAGCCAGGTGAGGTGGCAGGCGCCTGTAGTCCCAGCTACTCAGGAGGCTGAGGCAGGAGAATGGCATGAACCCAGGAGGCGGAGCTTGCAATGAGCTGAGATTGTGCCACTACACTCCACCCTGGGCCACAGAGCAAGACTCCATCTCAAAAAACAAAAAAAGAAAATACAAGAAAGGCCGGGCGCAGTGGCTCACGCCTGTAATCCCAGCACTTTGGGAGACTGAGGCGGGCAGATCACCTGAGGTCGGGAGTTTGAGACCAGCCTGACCAACATGGAGAAACCCCGTCTCTACTAAAAATACAAAATTAGCCAGGTGTGGTGGCACATGCCTGTAATCCCAGCTCTTGGGAGGCTGAGGCAGAAGAATCGTTTCAACCCGGGAGGCAGAAGCTGCAGTTAGCTGAGATCGCACCATTGCTCTCCAGCCTGGGCAACAAGAGCAAAACTCTGTCTCAAAAAAAAAAAAAAGAAAGAAAGAAAATACAGGAAATAAGCACTTAGAAGTGTATCAATTAATTTAAAATTATGTCATTGGAATATTTTTATGATGTTTCTCATTTTCCTCAACCTTTAAAATTTTGTAATTGTTGTGAAATGATTTGTCGTTCTAATAAATACTCACTTTTGAACCTAATTTTATATTTGTAATTTTGTTTCTTTTTTTTTTTAAGAGAGTCCTCAAAGTCATATGCTAAGCTTCGGATGCCACAGAATGTGAATCTGCCCCATATCCTCCTTATCTGCCTGGCTTTAGGTGGTTTGGGCTGTAAAGCAATATCATCTCGAGTCCAAACTATAGACAATTGGTGTATAATTGGCTTCCATGTAGACATTTTAGATGTCTCCTGACCTCTTTCTTTGTTTTTAGACTAACTTGAGTTTCCAGAATTAACCAGGAGCTGAGAGCCACTCCCTTCTAATTCACTCATGGAGTTTGAGCTTTAATCTTCCTGAGCCTCCTCATTCTAGACTCACCCTGAGCCCAGGCTCCAGGGACAGAGTCTTTCCTTTTCCACAGGGTAACCTCTAGAATGGAGACAGTTGAAGAGGAGAGGAAGAAGGTCACATGTGTGCAGAATTCTAATCTGGTGATTCTTTGGAGGGGTGCCTCCTAATTGGTTCAGTTGGCATATCTTGCAGAGAAATCTGACAGAAATAAGAAAGGAGGGGGCATACTATGAACAGTTGCAGAAAATAGGGATATTTAGCCTAGAGAAAAGATACCACTTTTAGAGTCCTATGTCAGCAGCTCTTGCCACAACAACATTGTATAACAAACTTACTCAGAATTCAGTGTCATAGATGATGGATGTATATTTCTTGAGTGTACAGTTGTATAGATCACCTGAGATTCAGCGAGTCTAGGCTGAGGTCAGATGGGCCTGACTCTAAGCTGTGGATTAGGTCCAGGTCTGTTCCATGTGTCCTTTATTGTCCTTGAACCAGCAGCTGCCAGAGGCATGTTCTTCTCATGGTGAGAGGCAGAAGCCCAAGAGACCAAGGCAAACTTTGCATGTGCATCTTTTTCTTTTTCTTTTTTTGTGCATATCTAAAATCTCTACTTGCATTATATCCGCTAACATTCCACTGGTTAAAGGAAGTCGATGGCCAAGCCCAAAGTCAGAGGGTAGGAATGTCACTTCATCCTGCTTTGAAGACTAAGCAAGTCATATGAGTAAAGCACATCTGTGTGGCAGAGAAGATGGGAGGCAGAGGAATGAAGGGAATGGATATTTGATGAGCTAATATGCCACAATAGCTATTATATCAAAGAAACAGCAACTTTCCTCATCTCTCATTCAGTCCTCAACCCACGAAAGCCTATCCTCACTCCCCACTCTTACCAAAATCATTCTCTTACTGACTGCCTCATTCCATCTAGAATCTGATTTCTCTTCTTCATTCTCACTACATTGCTTGCCTAGATTGCCGCTATAGCCTACTAACTGCTCTCCTTGTCTCTGGTCTCATCCTTTCCTGATTCATCATTCATAGAGCTGCCAGCTATTATCCGTATCTCATCAGCATCCACATCATCATTATTGTTACCTATTTTGCATTATACTTACTGGTTTATGTGCCTGGCTCCTTCATTATACTGAGAGTGTCTGGATGGCAAGAAATGTGTTTTATTTACCTTTGAATCTCCAGCACCTTACACAGGGTCTGACACATAGTAAAACTTCAATAAATTAATGTGAAAAGAAAGAATCAAAGAAAGGAGATGGGGTTTCAGTTCAAGTCTGCGTGACCTGAAAACCCATACTGTTTCTACACTATCATAATATATCTTTAGTCACAGCTGTGTTGCTGATAAAAATAAGGACACAGCTCAAACCCTCCCACTGCGACACCAGTGGAAAAGCAGGTTACTGAATCTAGATTAACTAAAGATTCTTCCTCCCATAGTCACAATAATCCTTCCCAATCCTAATTCCTCTCAAATGGAAAGGTCTAGAAGCCATAAAAAAATTTTAATGGCCATAAATATATTAAATATATTATATTAAATATATAAAAAAATGATCAACTTTACTCTTAGATAAATCCATGTGCCATTTTTTTTTTTTTTTAGGTGGACCCTCGCTATGTTTCAGAGGCTGGCCTCAAACTCCCGGGTTCAGGTGATCCTCCTGCCTCAGCTTCCTGAGTAGCTGAGATTACAGGCATGCACCACCACACCTGGCTGCAATATGCCATTTTTTACCTATCAGATTGGCAGAGATCAAAAAGGTTTTAATAGTGCACAAGTATACCTTAGAGATGTTGAAGATTCAGTTCCAGGCCACCACAGTAAGGCAAATATCACATCAAAGCGAGTCACATGAACTTTTGGTTTTCTGGTGCATATAAAAGTTACATTTATGCTATATTGTAGTCTATTAAATGTGCAATAGCATTATGTCTAAAAAACAATGTACACACCTTAACTTAAAAATATTTCATTGCTTAAAAATGCTAATGATCATCTGAGCCTTCAGCAAATCATATTTTTGCTAGTGGAGAGTTTTGCCTTAATGTTGATGGCTGCTGACTGATCACGGTGGTTGCTTAAGGTTGGCGTAGCTGTGGCAATTTCTTAAAATGAGACAACAATGAAGTTTGCCACATTGACTTTTTATGAAAGATTTCCCTGTAGCATGTGATGCTATTTGATAGCATTTTACTCACAGTAGAACTTCTTTCAAAATTGTAGTCAGTCCTCTCAATCTCTGCCACTACTTTATCAACTAAGTTTATGTAAGATTCTAAATTCTTTGTTGTCATTTCAGCAATGTTCACAACATCTTCACCAGGAAGTGGATTCCATTTTAAGAAACCACTTTGTTTGCTCATCCATAAGAAGCAACTCCTCATCCATTCAGGTTTTCTTATGAGATTGCAGCAATTCAACTACGTCTTCAGGCTCCACTTATTGTAATTCTCGCTATTTTGACCACATTCGCAGTTACTTTCTCCACTAAGGTCTTGAAACCCTCAAAGTCATCCATGAGGGTTGGAATTAACTTCTTCCAAATTCTTGTTAATATTGATACTTTGGCCCCCTCCCATGAATCATGACTGTTCTTAATGGAATCTAAAATGATGAATCCTTTCCAGAAGATTTTCAATTTACTTTGCCCAGATCCATCGGAGGAATCACTATTTATAGCAGATATAGCCTTACAAAATGTATTTGTTAAGTAATAAGACTTGAAAGTTGAAATTACTCCCTGATCCATGGGCTGTAGAATGGATGTTGTGTTAGCGGGCATGAAAACAACATTCATATTCTTGTACATCTCCATCAGAGCACATGGGTGACCAGGTGCATTGTCAATAAGAGAAATATTTTGATAGGAATCTTTTTCTCTTAGCAGTAGATCTCAACAGTGGGCTTAAAATATTACGTAAACCATGCTATAAACAGATGTGCTGTCATCATGGCTTTGTTGTTCCATTTATAGAGCATAGGCAGAATAGATTTAGCATAATTTTTAAGGGCCCTAGGATATTTGGAATGGCAAATGAGCACTGGCTTAAACTTTAAGTCACCAAGTGCATTATGCACCTAACATGGTCAATCTGTCCTTTAAAGCTTTGAGGCATTGGCTTCTCCTCTCTAGCTTTGAAAGCTCTGAATGGCATCTTCCAATATAAGGCAGTTTCATCTACATTGAAAACACATTGTTTAGTGCAGCCACCTTCTTCAATTATCTTAGCTAGATCTTCTGGTTAACTTGCAGCTTCTCCATCAGCACTTGCTACTCCACCTTGTAATTTTCTGTTACAGAGATGTCTTCTTTCCTTAAACGTCATGAGGCAACTTCTGCTAGCTTCAAACTTTTTTTTTTCCTCTTTTCTTTTGAGATGGAATTTCGCTCTTGTTGCCCAAGCTGGAGTGCAATGGCACAATCTCAGCTCACTGCAACCTCCACCTCCCAGGTTCAAGCGATTCTCCTGCCTCAGCCTCCCGAGTAGCTGGGATTACAGGCATGCGCCACCACGCCCAGCTAATTTTGTATTTTTAGTAGAGGCAGGGTTTCTCCATGTTGGTCAGGCTGGTCTCGAACTCCCAGCCTCAGGTGATCCGCCCACCTTGGCCTCCCAAAGTGCTGGGATTACAGGCGTGAGCCACCGCACCTGGCTGCTTCAGACTTTTCTTCTGCAGCTTCCTCACATCTCTCGGCCTTCATAGAACTGAAGAGAGTTAAGGCCTTGGTCTGGATTAGGCTTTGGCTTCAGGGAATGTTGTGGCTGGTTTGATCTTCTATCCAGACCACTAAAACTTTCTGTCAGCAATAAGACTGTTTCATTTCTTATCATTCATGTGTTCACTAGCATAGCATTTTTTTATTTCTTTTAAGAACTTTTCCTTTGCATTCACAGCTTGGCTAACTGTTCAGCACTAGAGGCCTGGCTCTCAGCCTGTCTTGGCTTTTGACATGCCGTCTTTACTGAGCGTAGTCATTTCCAGCTTTTGATTTAAAGTGAGAGATGTGTGGCTCTTTCTTTCACTTGAACATTGAGAGGTCCTTGTAGGGTTATTAATTGGCCTAATTTCAATATCGTTGTGTCTCAGAGAATACGGAGGCCCAAGGAAAGAGATGGGGAAATAGCTGGTCGGTGGAGCAGTCAGAACACACACAACGTTTATTAAGTGTGCCATCTTATATGAGTGTGGTTCATGGCACGCCAGATCAATTACAATGGTAACATCAAAGATCAAGAATTACCAAAATGTGACGCAGACACAAAGTGAGCACGTGCTGTTAAAAAAATGGCACTGATAGATTTGCTCAACACAGGGTTGCCACAAACCTTCAATTTGTAAAAAATGTAATGTCTACAAAGTGCAATAAAACAAGGTATGCCTGTACCGGTGAAAGGTGTGGAAAGAGACATTCGCATATATTGCTAATGAGAGTGTAAATTGGTTCAACCTCTATGGAGGGCAATTTGGCAATATCTATCAGCTCTTCCTGTACTGATATGGAAAGGTCTCTGATATATCTTGTGTCGTAAGTGAAAATGCAAGACGTGGAAGCGGAGTGCATTATTGCCTTTTGTGTGTGTTGTAGGAAGATAAACAGCTATATATATAAGTTATTGCTTAGGCAAGCCCTGGGAAGATATACAAGAAACTTTAATAGTACTTGCGTTTGGGGAGGGGAATTGAGCTGGAAAACAAGAGTGAAGGAAGATTTATTTTTCATTATATAATCTTTTGTATCTTTTAAATTTTGTTCCATGTAGAATAGAATTCTTTAGGCCAGGCGCAGTGGCTCATGCCTATAATTTCAGCACTGTGGGAGGCTGAGGCAGGTGGATTGCTTGAAGTCAGGAGTTTGAGACCAGCCTGGCCATCATGGTGAAACTCGGTCTCTACAAAAAAATACAAAAAAATTAGCCGGGCATGGTGATGCACACCTGTGATCCCAGCTACTTGAGAGGCTGAGGCACGAGAATTGCTTGAGCCTGGGAGGCGGAGGTTGCAGTGAGCCAAGATCACACCACTGCACTCCAGCCTGGGCAACAGAGCGAGACTCTGTCTCAAAAAAAAAAGAATAGAATTGTTTAGATGCCAAAAACAATATCAGAAGATCAACAACAAACTGGAAAACATATTACAACATAATATGACAAAGGGCTAATTTCTTTAATCTACAGAGAGTTTATAAATCAGTCTAAAAAATTAACAGAAGAGGGTAAAGGATATGAGAACTCATTTTAGAAAGAAATATAAATGGCCAATAATCATATGAAAAAGATGCCTAATTTATATATTATTAAAGGAAAGAAAACCCACAGGGAATCCTTTGGAGAAGAATTGAACTCTATTATTAGATGTGTTTAAGTAGAGAATAAATAACCAATTATTAAGGTTGTTGTTAAGGAGTCTCTTTGAATCATCTGATAAAGGAAAGGTTTCCAACATCTGAAGGAACTAATTCCTTCCAATCCGTAGGGTCTTTAATTCTTTATGGTACCCAGTGGAGGTGTATAGATAAGGCCAGGCAAACCAGCCTAAGAAAAGGAAGGGAAGGAAAATAATAGAAGTTCACCTAGAAAGCACAAATCTCAGAAATGGAAGGGATCTTGGAGTTCATTTTTCAAACCTCCCCCCTAATACATTTCCTCTTGGGACACAGTCCCAGATCTGCCACTTAACACCACTGAGCAAGTTTATTGGTATATTATTCATTCATTCATTCATTCACTAAATATTTACTGAGTTCCTTCTATGTGTGAGGCACAGTCCCTGTCCTCATGGAAACAGGCATTAGTCAAATGTAACATTGCAACTGTAGCAGGCACTGTGAAGAAGAATTATGCAGTGCTATGAGAGCCTGAGTATGATATTACCCAGACAAAAATTTTTGCAAAGTTGAACTGATTAGGATGAATAGGCGTTTAGGCAACAGAGAGGAAAAACAGTAGGCAGAGGCAATCGCAGGTGCAAAGGCCCTACCAGGAGGGATAGTGACAAGCACTAGGTTGAAAAAGACTGAAAATAGTATGAAAGTATAGTACGAGGTGAGGCTGCAGAGGAGTCTGACATTAAGGAGTTCTTACTCTTAAGAACAATGGGAATCCCTTAAAGGGTTTGAATGGGATGAAGGCGTAAAGGACACACATCCTGATCAGAGTCACATTTGAAACTATGTCTCTGGCTGCAGAGTAGAGAATGCATTGCAGGGAAACAAGAGCAGATGTGCAGAGGTGAGTAAGGAGGCAGATAAAGTAGACAGGAGATGATGGGTGCTTAGACCACCATGGTAGAAGTAGAGCAATGTGGACATAAGTGAGAGATGTTAGGAAGTAAAATTGTTAAGACTTGATGATGGATTCCATCTCAAGAGTGACAAAGAGGAAGGAAATATGTCAATAATGCTTCCTAAGATTTTGGCATGTGCAGTGGAATAGATGAGACAGATAACAATGGAAGAGAACTAAGTTTGGAAGGGAATCACAGTTCAGTTTAGAACATGCCAGCTTTGAGATGCTTTTGAGAGTACACATCAGTCAGTTGGCAACATTTATTTATGGAGTGTCTACTAAGTAGCTAGTAGTGGAATATACAGGTTTATTTATGTGTAAAAAAGAAAAATAAAATGGATACACACAATTCCCCCTTCTTCGAGACCCTTGCTGTTCCACTATTCTACTGTCTTCTCGCTTCTGTCATTGTCTGTTCTCTGACAGTCTCCACTCCTCCTCATTTGTTGGATGGAATGATCTGATCCCTCACATTTGTAGTTTCTTGGCCTGTTAATTTCTATAGACCTTTACCACCACTCCACTTCACTGTCCAGTCCCATGTCCACACTGTGAACCTCATCACTAAGAACTCATCAACCTTAAACTTCTTGCTCTCTAGCTGGACCCTTCTGTCCTTTTGGCTCTCTCATTTCCCTCCCGTCCTCTTCCTGCATCCTCCTCATTTACTTTCCTATTTCTTCCCTTCCTATTATTTCAAAAGCTTGCTGGAAGGATTTCCTCTCTATCGTGGCCTGACAAATAGGAGACATTCAATGAATACTTGAGAAGGTGACCTTCTCCGCTTCTTTATCTCCCATTCATTCCCAACCCACTGGACTTCAGCATTGACCTCCACCTCCACTAAGGCTGAGGCAGGGGGATCACTTGAGCTCAGGCATTCGAGGCTGCAGTGAGCAGTGACCCGCTGCTGCACTCCATCCTGTGTGACAGAGTGAGACCCTATCTCAAAAAAAAAGATAAAATTCACCATTTTAATCATTTTGAAGTGTACAAGTCATTGGCTGAGTGCAGTGGTTCATGCCTGTAATCCTAGCACTTTGGGAGTCCGAGGCTGGTGGATCACCTGAGGTCAGGAGTTCGAGACCAGCCTGGCCAACATGGCGAAACCCCGTCTCTACTAAAAATACAAAAATTAGCTGGGCGAGGTGTTGGGTGCCTATAATCCCAGCTACTCAGGAGGCTGAGGCGGGAGAATCGCTTGAACCTGGGAGGCAGAGGTTGTAGTGAGCCAAGATCGTGCCACTGCACTCCCAGCCTGGGTGACAGAGCGAGACTCCATCTCAAAATAAAATAAAGTGTACAAGTCAGTGGTTTTTAGTATAATCACAATGTCATTCAACTATCACCACCCTCTAACTCTGGAACATTTTCATCACGCTATAAAGAAGACTCATACTGGCCAGGCACAGTGGCTCATGCCTGTAATCCTAGCACTTTGGGAGGCTGAGGTGGGCGGATCACCTGAGGTCAGGAATTCGAGACCAGCCTGGCTAACATGATGAAACCCTGTTTCTACTAAAAATACAAAAAATTGGCTGGGCGTGGTGGCACATGCCTGTAATCCCAGCTTCTTGGAGCCTGAGGCAGGAGGATCACTTGAGCCCGGGAGGCAGAGGCTGCGGTGAGCCGAGATCGCACCATTGCACTCCAGCTTGGGCAACAAGAACGAAACTCCATCTCAAAAAAAAAAGAACAAAAAACAAAAACAAGAAGCCCTGTACTTCTCAATTCCCCCTCTTCTCCATCTCCTGGCAACCACTAATCTGCTTACCATCTCTGTGGATTTACCTATTCTAGACATTGCACATAAATAAAATCATAAAACCTGTGGCCTTTTGTGTCTAGCTTGTTTCTCTTAATATAATGTTGTCAAGTTTTACTACTATTGTAGCATGTTTCAATACTTCATTCCTTTTTATGGTTTAATAGTATTCCATTGTATGGATGTACCATATTTGGTTTAGCCATTCATCAGTTGATGGAATGGATCTTGTTTCCACCTTTTGGCTATTATAATAATGTTGCTGTGCACATTGCTGTACAAGTTTTTGTGTGGACATATGTTTTCAGTTCTCTTGGGTATATATCTAGGAGTGGAATTGCTGGGTCACGTGATAACTGTATGTTTAACATTTTGAGGAACTGCCAAACTCTTTTCGATAGCCACTGCACCATTTACACCATTCCTGCATCAGCCTTGCATGAGGGTTCCAGTTTTCCTGGGTGCCACTTATTTTCTGGTTTGTTTTTTTGTTATGTTTTGTTTGGGATTTTAAAAAATAGCCATCCTAGTGGGTGTAAAGCAATATCTCATTGTGGTTTTGATTTGCATTTCCCTAGTGACTAATGATACTGAGCATCTTTTCATTTTGGGGCCGTTTGTGTATCTTCTTTGAATGTAGAGTCTTTTTGAAAGGCAATCTCATCAGGTTGCTTCAGTACTGAACATTTTGAATGGTTCCCAATTGCCTACAGGATAAAATAAACATTTCTGAGTGTGCCACACAAGGCCCTTCAGGATCTGGCCTCAGCCTTCCGGTCCAACAGCTTCTGTCACTCTCCTTCTCACACTTTCTGTTTTAGCTGTGTTGAACTGAGGAGAGGTGGGGATATTTTGCTTTTGTTTCCTTTTTTTGTCAAACTAGTCTGCAACAATAGAGGATGTCAACCAAAGTTAAGGAATGCAGTGAGCTGGGCCAGCAGGGTGACGGGATGGGTGCGCGTGCCTGTGGCTCCCTGCCACCTTGCCTTTCTCCCTCTGATCCTTCTTGCCTTTTGCTTCTCGGCAGCACTCACTTTGCCCTAACTAGGTCACATACGTTCCGGACAGGATGATATTCATGTCTCTAGACCATACTGGAAGGTTCTGGCTTTGAGGTTTTCCTGGGCTGTGAGGTGTGTGTTTCCCCACGTCCTCTGCTTTCCTGGGACTACACTAGGCAGGGCAGGAGGAGGCAGGTGGGCAGAGGAATAGCAGCCGTTTGTTCTGGAGGCCCCTTCCTTCTCCCGTCTTGACTGCAAAGGGCTGGAAAGTCAGCTTCTATTGTGATTAAGTTATAATTTAAGGCAGTGAACATGTGCTCTGCTGGCGGCTATAAAGATTCAAATCATAAAGTTTTACAGTGGAACGGTTTCTGTAAAAGCATCGTTAGGAAGTGGGAACCATGCCTTTAATTCTTATGACATATGGGACTGCCTGGTTTGTTTTGGTTTCAGTGGAGTTTAGTAGGGTGATGGTCTGACTAATTAAAGTCAGACCTTCTTCCTCTCCACAATGCGGTGCCCCATCACAGGACAGTGTAGAAAGGTGGAACTTTTCTCCCCATCTCAGCTCATCAGGGATGGCGGGGGCGGGGGGCGGGGCGGGTCTCAGAAATCAGGAGTAACTCTTTGAAAACTAAATAGTTTAAAATCTCTTCCAACTTACTAGGCTTCATTTCTTGGGGAGTCTATGTGTTCCTCTGTTCCTTTCTGGCCAGGGGCAAACCTCAACAGTGAACCAAGCCTGATTGAAGATAATTTCCTTCAGAGGGGTCAGCTGAGAAGATAATTGGGCTCTGTAACTAGGTCAATGGTAGAAACAAAGAGAATAATAATATCGTAGCTATCTCATCCAACTTCCACCTAACTTACATGCCTGGTTAACCGACACTCTGTATATCCTGTATAAAACATTCTAACTGATGCCCACGACATACTATTGGCTGATGGTTTTGCTAGTATACAGTATGGCCACTTACTGCCATTCCCATGCGTTATCTTGTGTGCTTACCATAACTCAGCTGTACTTGTTTCTAAGCCTCTTTATACCAGTGCTAGTTATTATTGCAATTACCTAATTTCATTAAGTACAGTCGGCCTTCTGTATTCACAGATTCCGCATCCACAGATTCTACCAACCACGGATCAAAAATATTCAAGAAAAAAAATAAAAAAATAATAATAATAGACCGGGTGTGGTAGCTCACGCCTATAATCCCAGCACTTTGGGAAGCTGAGGCAGGTGGATTACCTGAGGTCAGGAGTTCAAGACCAGCCTGGCCAACATGGTGAAACCCCGTCTCTACTAAAAATACAAAAATTAGCTGGGCCTAGTGGTGTGTGCCTGTAATCCCAGCTACTTGGGAGGCTGAGGCAGGAGAATCGCTTGAACCCGGCAGGCGGAGGTTGCAGTAAGCCGAGATCACGCCATTGCATTCCAGCCTGGGTGACAGAGCGAGACTCTGTCTCCAAAAATAATAATAATAATAATAATAATAATAATAATAATAATAATAATAGGCTGGGAGTGGTATGGCTCACACCTGTAATCCCAACACTTTGGGAGGCCAAGGAGGGAGAATCGCTTAAGACCAGGAATTCAAGACCAGCATGGGCTGCACAGCAAGACCCTGTCTCTTCAGAAAATTTAAAAATTAGCTGTGTGTGGTGGCATGCACCTGTAGTCCCAGCTACTTGGGAAGCTGAGGCAGGAATGTCACTTAAGCCCAGGAGTTCCAGGCTGCAGTGAGCTATGATCACACCATCGCACTCCAGCCTGGGTGACAAGGCGAGACCCTGTCTCCGAAAAAATAAAAACAAAAACAACAATACAAAAATAAATATAAATATAAATATAAGAACTATTTACATAGCATTTGCATTATGTTAGGTGTTGTAAGTATCTAGAGATTATTTAAAATATACAAAAGGATATGTGAAGGTCATATGAAAATACTATGCCACCTTATATAAGGGAATTGAGCATCCAAGTGTTTTGGTGTCTGGAGGGTCTCCTGGAACTAATCCGCCATGGATACGAAGGGACAACTGTATTTTGTAAACGCAGTGATATACAATTGGAGAATTTTTTTTTTCTATGAAAGCCAAGTTGAAAATTATGGCGAATCCCTAAAATAATTGCTGTTGAAAGATATGTGGGTAAGACTGAGGAAAAAAAAATCACAACAGTCTAGGAATTTGCACTCTAATTGCTTTAAGTTCTTGTTCCACTAAAAACTAAAATTGTAGACAATGTGTTTTGGGTGTGATTTATGCAGGAAAGATCTGAAAAGCCAGTCAGCAGACACATACCTTTGGCCCTACATCAAAAACTTGGAGAATGAATCTATATTTATATTTTTTAAGTTAAAATAAAATGTTCAGGCTGGGCGCGGTGGCTCATGCCTGTAATCCCAGCACTTTGGGAGGCCGAGGCGGGCGGATCACTTAAAGTCAGGAGTTCAAGACCAGCCTGGCCAACATGGTGAAACTCCGTCTCTACTAAAAATACAAAAATTAGCCGGCATGGTGGCGCATGCCTGTAATCCCAGCTACTCAGGAGGCTGAGGCAGGAGAATCACTTGAACCTGGGAGGCAGAGGTTGCAGTGAGCCGAGATCGAGCCACTGCACTCCAGCCTGGCAACAGTGTGAGACTCGGTCTCAAAAAAAAAAAAAAAAAAAAAGTTCAAGGTAAGTATATATCTCTGTTTAATGATATACAGGACTTTTCAGATTAATCATCCAATGCATTGAATAAGAGAGTTTCTCTGTAATAGGATTTATCATCTATTGGGTGCCATTATTGAGTGTATTAATCTCTACAGAGGCTGGGCGCAGTGGCTCACACCTGTAATCCCAGCACTTTGGGAGGCCGAGGTAGGTGGATCATGAGGTCAAGAGATCAAGACCATCCTCGCCAACATGGTGAAACCCTGTCTCTATTAAAAATACAAAAATTGGCTGGGTGTGTTGGCGCACACCTGTAGTCCCAGCTACTCAGGAGGCTGAGGTAGGAGAATCAGTTGAACCTGGGAGGCAGAGGTTGCAGTGAGCTAAGATCGCCAGCCTAGTAATAGAGCAAGACTCCATCTCAAAAAAAAAAAGAAAGAAAAAGAAAAAAGAAAATCAGTTGCAGAAGAATATATACAGTATGATATACATGCTTATAAAGTTCCAAAACAAGCAAAACTAAGCAATATATTGCTTAAGAACATATATATATATTTGGTAAGCTATAAAGAAAATAGGGACCTGAGGGGGAGAAAAATCTGAGATGCTAGTTCTGTGGGTGGGATGGGGAAGTAGGGACTTGGGGTCCAGAAGGAGCACATAAGAGATGCCAACTGTGAGTAGTCATGGTCTATTTCTTAAGTGGGATGGTGGTTCACAAATGTTCATTTTATTGGGCTTCATAACTTTCACGTAACTCATATATAATGTTTAATAAAAGTTTAATGCCTTGAAGAAGGAAAAGAAAATAGAAAAGTACGGAGATTAAAGTCAAAGATCTTGACTTGAAGAAATTTAGAGTTAGAAAAGCCAGAAAGCCAAACCTCCAGAAACAATGAGCTTAGCTGGGTAGTTGTACCGGGATCCATGCCCTGACTGCTGTTTCTACCCTGTCCTTAGGAGAAGATCTCCAGGCTTCCCAGGCCCTCTTTCTCTCACAGTGTGTGGTCTGTGGCCCTAGAAATATTGCAAAGACTGTTATTGAGACCTTGTAGTTGGGGCAGCAAATACTACAGGGAGGAAGCTTGAGAGAGCCTAGGGAAGGCAGATGTTAGAGTCACTGGGTTGTGGGCTTGCAACCATCAGGCTAGAGATAGCCTTGGGCTTCAGGTTTCTGTCACAGCCTTGAGGCAAGCTCTGTGTGTCTGTATGGGATTTTTGTGAGCGTGCTTGTGTTTTCAGGGTGGATAGACTAATCAAACTTTATGAAAAAGTTTGCTCTGGCCTTAGCAGAAACAGCAGATGGCCTGAGCTGCATCTTTGACCCAGAGTCCTAATGCTGGTCCAGAAGCAAGCAGGGAAAGTGTAAGCAAAGAGCCCATCAGTTATGTGTTTTGGCCAAATTGGTTGGTTAAGCTACCAAGCAAGCAACCTAATTCCTTGGGAAGCACAGCTCATTAGGAAGGGAACAAAATCATTCTTATTAAAAATAAGAGGAATGGAAAGAAATTGAATTACATTTTCTAAAGCTGCTCAAAGAGTATGCAAAGTGTTTCCTAACATATGCATATGAAGTTCATTCACTCACTTAAAAAATTCTTTCATTCAGTAAATATTTACTAGCAGTCCAGTATCCACCAGTCTTAATCCTACACTTTGGGAATGCATTGGTGAATAAATGAACATGGTCCCTTCCCTTGTAAGGCTTATAGTCCAGTGGGGAAAAGAAGTAAACATAGAATTATTTATTGTTACAAATGCGGATGAATGCTGTGAAATAAATCGCACAACTATCTAGAATAATAGGGTGATCTATCAAGAGTGGTCTCTGATGAAATGCATTTAAATTAAGAACTGAAGTTAAGGCCTGCAATGAGCAAGGACATTTCAAAAAGAAGGAACAGGTATTTTAATGGTCCTGAGGCAGAAAAATGCTTGTTTGCATTTGAAGAATGAGAACCAATCAGCTATTGCTACATAAAAAGCATCCACAAAAATCTCCTTTGCATACAACAGCACTTACTTCTCATGCATCTGTAGGTGATCTGATCTAAGCTCAGCTTGGCCAGGAACCTCTGCTCCTTGTAGTAGGTCTAATCCAAAGATGTTCATTCTGCAGCTTAGGCTGAATAGACAGTAGCTACCTGGGGAGAGCTCTTCTCTCCAGGAGGACCAAGCACACAAGTACATGCTTGGGTCACATCTGCTAATGTGCCATTAGCCAAAACAATCACAAAACTGAGTCAAAAGTCAAGAAGCAGGTAAACTTCTCCATGGAGGTAGTTGGGGAGTAAATGTTTTTGAACAATAATCTAATCTACAACAGTACATTTCTTTGTGAATATTCACATCCCTCCCACCTGCAAAATACATTCACCCACAATCCCAAGACTCCCCCAGTTTTTATTTCATTTATTTATTGAGACAGGGTCTCGCTCTGTCACCCAGGCTGGAGTGCAATGGCACAATCTCGGCTCACTGCAGCCTCTGCCTCCTGGGTTCAAGCGATTCTCCTGTCTCAGCCTCCCAAGTAGCTGGGATTACAAGGTATGCACCACCACACCCGGCTAATTTTTATATTTTTAGTAGAGACGGGGTTTCACCATGTTAGCCAGTCTGGTCTCAAACTCCTGACCTCAAGTGATCTCCCTGCCTCCGCCTCCCAAATGCAGCCTCCCCCAATTTTTACTCAAATCATGGTACTTGGCTTAAGATCCAGGATCTTATCATCTGTATATCAGGCCTAAATATGGTTTCTCTTGATCTGAAGACCTAAGAACTTAAAAAAATCCCATTCAACATACAGTGGTAGAATACAGGATAGCAGCAATAAATTATTCCATTCAAAAAAAAAAGGGAAGAACTGCCAGGCGTGGTGGCTTCTGCTTGTAATCCTAGCACTTTGGGAGGCCAAGGTGGGTGGATCACCTGAAGCTAGGAGCTCGAGACCAGCCTGGCCAACATGGTGAAAGCCCGTCTCTACTAAAAATACAAAAATTAGCTGGGCGTGGTGGCACATGCCTGTAGTCCCAGCTACTCGGGAGGCTGAGGCAAGAGAATCACTTGAACCTGGGAGGCAGAGGTTGCAGCAAGGTGAGATCATGCCACTGGACTCCAGCCTGGGCAACAGAGCGAGACTCTGTCTCTAAAAAAAAGAGAGAGAGAGAAATGAAATCAGAAATCGCCAGTCCATAGCAGTTCTGAAATTCTACTGGGCAAATGTTGACAGGTCCCACGGTCCTAGGGGTTGAGAATGCTCTCTGATTAGGCTCTGATTCTGGATCTCCCATCCATTGTTCCCCGTGGCTGTTGGTGCACTCCTCTGGAAGACCTTCCTTTTCTATCATCCTTGGACATCACCCATGGACACTTCTGAAAAAGATATTAAATAATTTTTGTGGGTGAGCAGCTTTTTTCAGCCTACTGCCTACTTGTAGAAATTTGGGGCCCCAGAAATCTTTTTACATCTTCAATAGTCTCTGTTTCTTTCCGTTGGAGCAGGCAGTCTTTCACCAATACAGCTCTCTCACAAACTTTGTGGATTTTTTTTTTTTTTTTTAGACAGAGTCTCACTCAGTCGCCCAGGCTGGGGTGCAGTGGCGCATTCTCGGCTCACTGCAACCTCCGCCTCCCGGGTTCACGCCATTCTCCTGCCTCAGCCTCCCGAGTAGCTGGGACTACAGGCGCCTGCCACCAGTGCCCAACTAATTTTTTATATTTTTAGTAGAGACAGGGTTTCACCGTGCTAGCCAGGATGGTCTCGATCTCCTGACCTCGTGATCCGCCCACCTCAGCCTCCCAAAGTGCTGGGATTACAGGTGTGAGCCACCGCGCTCGGCCAACTTTGTGGATTTTTATGTGTTTTATACTCATCAACTCTATGTACCACAAGCCACACCCACAATTTTTACAAGACAGAATCTACCGAGACTTAAGTACTGGGAATGTCAGGCTGCTGTAGAACCTTGCTCTTAAGTTTTCTACAAGCTTCATTTTCAGCTGCAAGAGCCTATTAGATGCCATCTGATTTCCTTCAGAGCTTAATACTCTTGATTTTGACTTCACCTGGAAACAGTATCGTTCTTGCCGCACTCTGGATTAGGTCTTTAGCCCCAGGATGGATCTTAATTTGAAAATCTCTTACTAGAGAGATTGGAGATGAGAAAGTTTTATTTTTCAACCCCACAAATTCTGGGTTCTCTATATTCCCACTGAATCCTGCTTGCAAACTAGCCAGTTTTCTGAGTTTATCACTTTCTTGTTAGTGCTTCATCAAATACAGCTAAAAGCAGCCAGCTCATGCTTGCAATGTTTTGCCTTAAGATCCCCTCCTTCACCTTTGCTAGTTTATAAGATACGTTTCCTGCCTTCCAAATTATTGTAGTTTAGTCACAAGTTTACCACTAAATAATACAAGTTGCTATTATTCCCGGCTTTTATACCAGCTTCCTTGCTGCCCACTTGCCTAGTCCCAAAGCCAATGTCACATATCTTTGTGTTTTGTTGTTCTAGTTATAACAGCACCTTGCTATTTAAAATGACTGCAAAGGCAGGGCACAGTGGCTCACATCTACTCCCAGCACTTTGGGAGGCCAAGGCAAGTGGATCACTTGAGTCCAGGAGTTTGAGACCAGCCTGGCCAACATGGTGATATGCCATTTCTACTAATAATACAAAAAAAATCAGCCAGGTGTGATGGTGCATGCCTGTAGTCCCAGCTACTCAGGGGGCTGAGGTGGAAGGAACGCTTGAGCCTGGGACGTAAAGGCTGTGGTGAGCCCTGATCGTGCCACTACACTCCAGCCTGGGCAACAAAGTGACTCTGTCTCAAAAATTAATTAATTAATTAATTAAGTGATTGCAAAAGATGAAATGAAAATGAATGGTGTAAAAGAGAGAAAATAAAAGGGCACAGACCCAAGCCCTGGATAACTCTAACATTTAAAGATGTGGTAGAGGAAAAGAAGAAAGGAGTCTGAGAAGGAATGGACAATAGAGATCATAAAACCAAGGAGGAAAAAGGAGTGTTTTAAAAGAGAAAATGGGCCGGGGGCAGTGGCTCACGCCTGTAATCCCAACACTTTGGGATCACTTGAGGTCAGGAGTTCAAGACCAGCCTGGCCAACATGGTGAAACCCTGTCTCTATTAAAAATACAAAAATTAGCTGGGCATGGTGGGGCACGCCTGCAGTCCCAGCTACTTGGGAGGCTAAAGCAGAAAAATTGCTGGAACGTGGGAGGCAGAGGTTGCAGTGAGCTGAGATTGTAACACTGCACTCCAGCCTGGGCAACAGAGTGAGACTCCGTCTCAAAAAATAAAGTAAAATAAAATAAAATAGAAAATGATGAGTTACGTCAAATGCTCCTGGGAGATCAAGGACAGAGATGTACATGTCTTCAGGATTTGGCAATATGGAGGGCAATAGGTCACTTTGAGAACAGTTTAGTGGAATGACAGGGCAAATTCAAGTTGACATGAATTGAAGAGCTAATAGGGGGTGAGAAAATGTATGCAGCAGATGTAGACAACACCTTGGAGGTGTCTGGGGATAAAGAAGAGCAGAAGACTGAGCGTGGTGGCATACGCCTGTAATCCCAGCACGTTGAGAGGCTGAGGTGGGAGGATTGCATGAGCCCGGGAGTTCAAGACCAGGTTGGGAAACATAGTGAGACTCCATCTCTGCAAAAGAATTTTAAAAATTAGCTGGGTTTGATGACGTGCACCTGTAGTCCCAGCTACTTGGGAGGCTGAGGCAGGGGGAATCACTTGAGCTCAGGAATTCGAGGCTGCAGTGAGCTGTGATCGCCCTGCTGCACTCCATCCTGGGTTGGCCATCATCCTCAGCAAACTAACACAAGAACAGAAAACCAAACACCGCATGTTCTTACTCATAACTGAGAGTTGAACAATGAGAACACATAGACCCAGAGAAGGGAACAACACGCACACAGGGCCTGTTGGGAGCTGGAGGTTGAGCGGGGGGTACTTAGAGGATGGGTCAATAGGAGCAGAAACCACCATGGCACACATACACCTATGGAACAAACCTGCACGTTCTGTACATGTATCCCTTTTCTTTGGTTTGTTTTTCTTTAGAAGAAATAAAGGGGGAAAAAAAGAAGAGCAGAAAAATATGATGGCAAGTGGAGAGGATGTGGAATCAAGAGAGAGAACTTTTTTGTTCTTGAGAGAAGATAGCAGTGCATGTGTGTGTGTGCTGGTGGAAGTGATCCAGGCAAAGAAAAAGACTGACAGTCAAGAAACAGAGATGATGAAGCAGTTTAAAAGACAAGAAGGGATGGAATCCAGACCACTTGTGAGGGATTAGACTTCAGTCGTAAGAGGGTCATTCTCTCAGTTGTAACAGGAGAGAACAAGGAGCAGATGAAGTTAATTCAGAGATAAGAAGCCAAAACAATGAGCACCCGCTTTTCCTGGGTGCCTGCTCTGTGTCAGGCATTGCACCAGAAGTTCTGCATGCAGTACTTGGGCCCCTTGATTTTGGTTTTATTTCATTCCCATTTTACAGACAAGAAAACAGAAGCTTAAAAGGTTAATTTTCCTAAAGTTTCTCAACTTACAAGTAGCAGAACTGGGATTCAAACCCCATCCATCTGACCATGAACCCATATTTGATTTCTATTCCAAACAGATTCATTTTTCCATAGAGAAATAATGTTCAAAAAATGAGACAAAACTAAGAATACACGGCCTGCAGACCAGACCTGGTCTAGTCTGGATCCCTGGGGCTCCCTTCTCAGGGGAGCAGGAGGGGTGGAGGGCAGTTGCTGTGGTGAAGACATTTGAAGGAAGTGGGGAGAGAAGACTGATACTAACTCCAGTCCGTTCACCTTTTAGATACTGCATATTTTTCAAAGAATTTTTGTGTTCCTTCTCTCAGTGAGCAATGAATAGCTTCAGTGGAGCTAGAAATCTTTCTGTAGGAAGAAAGGAGCTATGCTCTGGTTGTCATGAGGCATTTGAGTTCTAGGGGATCTGAAATAGGATTCTTCACATTTATCCTTGGCATAGTCTAGGGTAATTCAGTAAATTTTTTTTTTTTTAGACAGAGTCTTGCTCTGTCACCCAGTCTGGAGTGCCGTGGCACAATCTCAGCTCACTGCAACCTCTGCCTCTCAGATTCCAGTGATTCTCGTGCCTCAGCCTCCTGTGTAGCTGGGATTACAGGCATGTGCCACAATGCCTGGCTAATTTTTGTATTTTAATAGAGACAGGGTTTCACTATGTTGGCCAGGATGGTCTCAAACTCCTGACCTCAAGTGATCTACCTGCCTCGGCCTTCCAAAGTGCTGGGATTGTAAGAGTGAGCCACCACACCCAGCCTTTTTTTTTTTTTTTTTTTTTTTTTGTCCAGATGGGATATTGCTCTGTAGCCCAGGCTGGAGCGCAGTGGAACGATCGTGGCTTACTGCAGCCTCAAACTCCGGGATTCAGGCAGTCCTCCTGCCTTAGCCTCTGGAATAGCTAGAATTACAGGTGCACACCATCGCGCCTGGCTACTTTTTCTATGTTTTGTAGAGACAGGGTCTTGCTTTGTTGCCCAGGCTGGTCTCAAACTCCTGGGTTCAAGCCATCCTCCCGACTTAGCCTCCCAAAGCGCCAGGATTGCAGGCATGAACTACCATGCCCAGCCCAAGCATAGTATTAATACACACCTTTTAAAAGGATGAGTTCCATCCCTTTGCAGCCGGTTAGACCTGTTCTACCTTGCTCAATGTCAGAAGCCCAGCTTTTAAATACTGTTCTAGATCAGAAGGGAAACCAAATGAAAATGTGTGGAAGAACTATGTCCAGGCTCACAGCACTATTTTAGAAAGCATCTCAACAATGGAGTCAGGAAAGGGAGAAGTGCCATGCCCATATCAGAAAATATACTCATCATACTAACATGTACAGTGCTTTGTGCTCATTCATTTAGCAGATACTGAGCTAGTACCAGGTTCCAGGCCCAGAGCTAGCTAAAGGGGTATGGAGGTAAATGAGGCTCTTCTCCAGACCTTGAAGAACTCCTGAGCTAGTGGGCTAGCAGGTTACTCTGAAGAGGTGTTCAATGAAGATATGTCTGAGGAGCTATGAGAACATAGCGGTGGCAGGCTAGATAAGGGGTCAGATCAGAGAGGGCCAAAGAGTATAAGCAGTGGTGCAACTTGATCTGATTTGAGATTATGATTTATAGTTTGCTTTTGCATATTTCATTATTTTGTTTAAATCAGATGTTCATAGCCTTCCCTCTTAGGATTTTTTCTGCCTTGAGCCTTCCAAAACGTATCAGAATGCAGCTTGTCTGGTGTGTGAGAAACCCCTGAAGCTGTGAGCCCCCTTTCCAGGAGTCTGGGCTCACTGCTAGCCTTGGCCCTCCTAAGCCCCTTACCCTTGCTTTTCCTAGGCAAGCAGTGAAATGTCTCCAAAATCTGGGAATAACTGTTTCCCAGCCTTGGGCTGGTTCTCCTTCCTTCCTTGTTCTTCACAAGCTGTAGAGCCTCCTGAGGTGGGGTCGAGGCATCTCATTTTCAGGGTTTATTAGGGTAGGCTAATGACTACATCCAACAAATCCTTTTTAGAAGGCAGTCACATAGCGGTGCCTTTGGAATTCAGGTTGAGCCGTCCCCTAGGGTTCAGGATCCCCCTGCTGGATGCTGTAACTGGCATAGAAGAAAAAAAAGAGCATGAAGGGTCAAGTAGGAGACTTTTATTGGCCCAGGGGAAATGGCTTACATCACCTCCACCTACGATCCAGTGAGTGGAATTCCTATCTAACTGCGAGGGAGGCTGGGAATGCAGTCGAGCTGTGTGCCCAGGAAGAAGAGGAAGAAGTGAGCACATAGCAAACTGCCGCACAGTGGGTAGAACTGACAAAGACAGTAGACTGCTGAGCACCAGTGAGTACGAAGGCAACAGCCACAGGATCCCCCTGTGGCCGTGTCTGGAGACATAGCACGTACTTGGGGCTTTAGGTGGGAGGACTGGCAGAGGCCACTCCATGAACGAAAGGAGGCTGGGCACCAGGGGCTGAGTAAGAACTGTTTTGAACAGAATGGGAGCTGACTCACATCTGGAGGAGGGTTCTCAGGTGGGGTCCCTCGGTATTGCTGTAACTGGGTCAATCTGATTGTCTCTCTTCAACCTTTTTCAACCATGGTAAGCACGAATGCCCTAAGCCATTGACTGTAATTAATGAATTTCTCTCCTATGCATCTGGATTGTACAGTCTAGATGTACAAGTTGTACTATCCTTGGGAGAACTAAGAAAATAGTTGCTCTGACAGCCGGGCACGGTGGCTCACGCCTGTAATCCCAGCACTTCGGGAGGCCAAGGCAGGTGGATCACAAGGTCAGGAGATCGAGGCCATCCTGGCTAACACGATGAAACCCCATTTCTAGTAAAAATACAAAAAATTAGCTGGGCATGGTGGCACGTGCCTGTAGTCCCAGCTACTTGGGAGGCTGAGAATCACTTGAACCCGGGAGGCGGAGGTTACAGTGAGCTGAGATCGTGCCACTGCACTCTAGCCTGGGCAACAGATCGAGACTCCATCAAAAAACAAAGAAAAGAAAAGAGTTGCTTAGGTAATTGTTCTGTCTTTGTGGCTCAGTTGAGGAACCCTGGCTGAGAAACCCCTGCCTGAAGAGATGCAAACAGCATTTTATATTTGAGGCAAATGCTCTAGACTATTCTCTCCCTCCCCCCAATCTCCTGCGCCCTGAAAGGAAACAAACTGATGTCATGAGAAATTCCTTTCTAATAACAAAAACAAATGGGAGGTCTCCCGGGATTGTTCCTATGGAGAGACAGTGGTTGTGTAAGAATGAGAAAACAGTGACTCCTGCTCAGGGTTCTGGTTAAGTAGCAGGTAGAATTTTTCCAACATCATTTTGAATCAAGAGAGGCACCGAAATCACTGTAGTAAAATCTTCGAGTGGGAAAAATATAAAGAAAACAAAATCCAACTAAGGCCGTTTTTCCCCAGGAAAGGCATTAGTCAGGCAGCCGCTGGAGCCAGCCACCTCTCAAGAGCCTGTTTTTCAGTGTCACTGCGGTGACTCTCCATGCTCTGGGTTTTAATTCTAGCCTCTAATCTCAGTCGCTTCTGTGATAAATTAATTGTAATAATAGAGGCCCCAGTTACGAGGTCTGCACCGTTTGCTTGTAATGTGAGCGACAGGTTTAGGGCCTGCTTTATTTAAGATGCTGGGGTAATTACATGGGAGTTAGCATATGCAGGCAGAGATATGATTCATTCTTCCAGCCACAAGCATGACACAGCTGTTTGCGGGATAAAATAGGGGAACCGTGTTGTTACAAAATGTTCCCCTTATTATACCTCATTAAAAACAAGGCTGTGATAAGTCAGGACTGGCAATGAAGAAAATCTATTGCCCCTCTGTAAAACCTGATAGGAGAGGGCTTAGAGCTATGCTGTGTCATTTTATTTTTTATTTATTTTTACTTTTTTATTTTTTTGTCCTTTCTCTGACTCTTTTCTCCCTATTATTCAGCAACTCTCTGAATACTTGGGGAAGGAACAGTCTCCCAGACCGTCTTCCTTTCTTCTTATGAAATAGGGGCTGCCCTTTCCTTGCTTAGCTAAAGCTGAGAATGTTCAGAAAGAGCATTCGCCCAGAACAAAGTGAAAGGGGGGGGCCTTTGGGCGACCTGTCCCAATTTTGTCCTCATCACCTTTAACAGGAGCACATAGGCTGAGAGAGCTCAGAGGCTCCAGCAGGGGCCAGAGCTTCAAAGTCAGAGAAAATCACGGGCAATAGACAGAGGCTCATTCCTTTCAAGAGACAGACATATGTTCTCTTCCCCCGTCATCTTTCTTTTTAAAAATAACTTTAAAATTTAAAATGAATTTTGGCCTCATTTTTCTTCTTCTTTTCTCTCTCTCCAAGGTTACTAGTGAGAGCTTAAACCAACATGCAGATTAACATTGATCTATGGACCCAGGGCCAAATAAATCAGGCTGGTTTTTTATCAAAATGGTTGGTTAGGAAAAATAAGCATCACAGTATAGAATAGTCTTCAGCAATACCTACCTAGGGCCATTCCAGAAGAGCTGTTCCATGACACGTCCATGTGTCTGTTGAACGGTAAAGCCCACTTGGGAAGCCATGGAGCTTCATGGCTAAGAGTGGGCTGGGAAGCTTGACTGCCTGGGTTCAAATCTTAGCTCCACCACCACCTCCTAGCTGTGTGGACTTGGGAAGTTGAGCCAATGTCTCCAGGAGTCAATCTTCACAATCTACCAAATGAAATTGGCAATAATATTATCCACCTCTAGGGTTGTTCTAAGGAATAAATAAGATAATCCATGCAAAAAGCCTAGAACAATGCCTGGCAAACAGCAAGTGCTCAATAAATGTTAACTATTATTATAAGTAACACAATTAACAGCAGCAAACTGCTTTAGCCCAGGTTGTGTGTTAGAATTAGAAGGACGGTTTAAAAATTGTCATCCAGGTGCGGTGGCTCACACCTGTAATCCCAGCACTTTGGGAGGCTGAGGCGGGCAGATCATCTGAGATCAGGAGCTCGAGACCAGCCTGGCCAACATGGTGAAACCCTGCCTCTACCAAAAATAGAAAAATTAGCCAGGCATGGTGGTGCATGCCTGTAGTCTCAGCTACTTGAGGGGCTGAAGCAGGAGAATCACTTGAACCTGGGAGGCAGAGGTTGCAGTGAGCTGAGATTGCGCCATTGCACTCCAGCCTGGGTGACAGATCGAGACTCTGTCTCAAAAATAAATAAATAAATAAATAAATAAATAATTTTAAAAAATAAAAAATAAAATAAAATGGTGGTTGCTGCAACAGAAGTAAGGACTATACCCTGATTTGTGACCCTTTTGCAGAATTTGGGTTTTGAGAGTAAAGTCTCAAAATTTAGGATGGAGATAAAGGGAGAGAAGCCCCTGGGCATCCTTGTTTGTTTGAGTTATAAAGTAGGGACGTGGGCCGAGCATGGTGGCTCCCACCTGTAATCCCAGCACTTTGGGAGGCTGAGGAGGATGGATCACTTGAGGTGAGGAGTTTGAGACCAGCCTGGCCAACATGGTGAAACCCCATCTCTACTAAAATAATAATAATAATAATAATAATAATAATAATAATAACAATAATAATAATACAAAAATTAGCTGAGCATGGTGGCACACACCTGTAATCCCAGCTACTCAGGAGACTGAGGCAGGAGAATTGCTTGAACCTGGGAGGTGGAGGTTGCAGTGAGCCGAGATTGCACCACTGCACTCCAGCCTGGGTGACAGAGTGAGACTCTGTATCAAAAATAAATAAATAAATATAAAAATAAATAAACTAGGGACCTGCTCACTTTAGTAATAGGAGTATCTTAGAGTGGTAGCCTTTTGGCACTGCGATTTTTTTTTTTTTGAGACAGAGTCTTGCCCTTTCACCCAGGCTGGAGTGCAGTGGCATGATCACAGCCCACTGCAGCCTCGACCTCCCAAGGCTCAGGTGATCCTTCTGCCTCAGTCTCCTGAGTAGCTGGGATTACAGGCAAGCACCACTATGCCTTGCTGATTTTTTTTTTTTTTTTGAGACAGAGTCTCACTCTGTTGCCCAAGTTGGAGTTCAGTGGCACGATCTCGGCTCACTGCAACCTTCGCCTCCTGGGTTCAAGTGATTCACCTGCCTCAGCCTCCCGAGTAGCTGGGATTATAGGCGTGCGCCACCACACCCGACTAATTTTTAGTAGAGGACAGGGTTTCACCATGTTGGCCAGGCTGGTCTCGAACTCCTTACCTCAGGTGATCCACCCGCCTCAGCCCCCCAAAGTGCTGGGATTACAGGCGTGAGCCACCACACCCGGCCATGCCCTGCTAATTTTTATATTCTCAGTAGAGACAGGGTTTCGCCATGTCATAATTTTTTATTTTTACTAGAGATGGGGTATTGCTGTGTTTCCCAGGCTGGTCTTGAGCTCCTGAGCTCAAATGATCCTCCTGCCTCAGCTTCCCGAAGTGCTGAGATTGCAGGCGTGGGCCACCATACCCAGCCTGCACTGTGCTCTATAGTAAGAAATATGTTTTACATCATGACTCAGTACACATGAACAACTGAAACAAAAGTTTCACAAAAATAGTACTTAGCCTTTTTCTTTTTCTTTTTTCTTTTTTTTTTTTTTTTTTTTTGAGACGGAGTCTCACTCTGTCACCCAGGCTGGAGTGCAGTGGTGCTATCGGGCTCACTCTAACCTCTGCCTCCCAGGTTCAAGTGATTCTTCTGCCTCAGCCTCCCAAGTAGCTGGGACCACAGGCGCACGCCACCACACCCAGCTAAGTTTTCCTATTTTTAGTAGAGATGGGGTTTCGCTATGTTGGCCAGGCCAGTCTCTAACTCCTGGCCTCAAGTGATCTGCCAGCCTTGGCCTCCCAGATTGCTGGGATTGCAAGTGTGAGCCACCACTCCTGGCTCTATTCTATTGTATTTAATTAAAAAGTGCTCATTACCACTCTAGGTTGATATCATCCTTCAATAATGGATCTCACTTTGCAAGCAAAAGGCACTTGGTTAGTAATTGAGTTGAAGCGTTCTTGTATTCTGGAGGAAAAGGAACACATGAACATGGCATGTTCAGGGTACAGCAAGTTCTAAAACACTGCTGGAGCAAAAAAAGTTGTACCGAAGAGGTAGGTAAGGGGCCACGTGATATAAAATCTTATATAGACTACAAATAAGTAGCATCAGACAAGCATTTGATACTAAGAGATAATACACATTTCCGTATAACTATACATACTATGAAGCAGAAGATGGTAAACACTGTAAGAACAATTCGATAAGCTGTCTTGGGAGTTCAGAGGAAAGGGAGATGGCTTTCAGCTGGGAGCTCCTCGTATTCTTTGAGATTCTGTTATACAATTGTTCATGCATTCATGTATTTAGTGAATACACATTGAGTTCCCACTATGTGCCAGGCACTTGCCCTTGGCTGTCATCCATCTACCTGGTTAAAACCACATGAGGATGACTTAGATTTTCAGCTGCCTGTTGCACATTTTTCAGCACGAAAAAGCAAAAGTCTTTTTCTCGAAATCTCAGGGAAAGTCCTGGTGCATTCCTTTGGCTTTGATTCACGCCCATTCCTGAACCAATCATTGAGGCCAGGGAGAAGTCATCCTTCAACTGTGTAATGCCTGGGTCACATTCATGACCCCGCAGTTGAATGCAAGGGCAGAATCTGCTTCACCAGAATCCCATTGGCTGAAATAGGGGAAAGGGTAGTCTTGAATATCCCCTTTTGTCTCGCAGCTCTAAGTCTTTACTCAAGCTGTTTCTACCACCTGGGAAATGGTCTATCATCTCTTTGCCTAGCTGGTGTGTTACTATTTGTCCTTACAAACCCTGCTCAGTCGTTATCCCTATTGTAAAATGTACTTTGTTAGAACTAATTACTTTTTTTTCTATGTTCTTTTTTGTTTTACACATAATTCTATCTTTGAATTTCTATATTATTAAACTAAACCGTTCTTCGTAAGACCAGTTGAGTAGCAAAATATGAAATCAACTAGAAAGGGAAATACTGGATATGTTTCTTAAGGATAGTTAAAGATAATAAATAAGGTATCAGCCGGGCGTGGTGGCTCATGCCTGGTAATCCCAGCACTTTGGGAGGCCGAGGCAGGTGGATCACCTGAGGTCAGAAGTTCAAGACCAGCCTGGTCAACATGATGAAACCCCGTCTCTAGTAAAGATAAAAAAAATTAGCCAGGCGTGGTGGCGAGCGCCTGTAATCCCAGCTACTCAGGAGGCTGAGGCAGAAGAATCACTTGAACCCAGAGGTTCACTGCAGAGGTTGCAGTGAGCTGAGATTGGGCCATTGTGCTCCAGCCTGGGCAGCAAGAGCGAAACTTCATTCCAAAAAAAAAAAAAGAAATAATAAGGTATCAAAGGAGGAATCACAATAGAAATTGGTACCTTTAAATAGATAAAAATGAAAACACAACACCAAAACTTATGACATACAGCTAAAACAGCACTCAGAGGGAAATTTATAGCTGTAAATGCCTATACTTTAAAAAGAAGAAAGATGTTATATTAATAACTTAACCTTCCAATTTAAAAACTGAAAAAAAGAGCAAACTAAACCCAAAGCAAGCAGAAAAAAGGAAATAAAGATGAGATCATAAATAAATGAAATATAGAATTGAAAGACAAAGAAGAACATCAACACACCCAAAAATTGGTTCTTTGGAAAGATCAATAAATTGAAAAACCATTAGCTAGAATGAATAAGAACAAGAGAGAGGACTCAAATTACTAAATCAGGAATGGAAGAGGAGACATCACTACCAGACTTACAGAAATAAAAAAAGCATTATAAGAGAATATTATGTACAAATATATGCCAAAAAGTTAGATAAATCAGATAAAATGAACAAATTTCTAGAAAGCACAAACTGCTGAAACTGACTCAAGAAGAAGAAAAATCTGCATAGACCTATAACAATTAAGGAAATTGAATTGCTAATTTTAATATTTCCCACAAAGAAAAGTCCAAGTCCAGATTACTTCACTGGTAAATTCTACCAAACATTTTAGAGAACAATTAATACCAGTTCTTCACCAAGTCTTCCAAAGAATACAAGAAAGAGGGAACCTTTCCCAAATTATTTCATGAAGCCACTATTACTCTGATACCAAAACCAGGCAAACATATCACAAAAAAATAAAACTTTAGACAAATAACTCTTATGAACATATATATATATGTATATATAAATCTGCAACAAAATTCTAGTGAACCAAAGCCAGTGACGTATAAAAAAAATTATATACTGTGACCACGTGGGATTAACTCCAGGAGTGCAAAGTTGGTGTAAGATACAAAATAAATCAATGTAATATACCATATTAATACAAGAGAGAACAAAAGCTATATGATCATCTCAATAGATGCAAAAAAACCATTTCACAAAATTCAGCACCACTTCATGATAAAAACATTCAACAAACTAGGAATAGAAGGGGCCTTCCTCCATGCTTAATGGTGAAAGACTGGATGCTTCCTCCCTAAGATCAGGAACAAGACAAGGATGTCCACTCTTTTTTTTTTTTTACTTTTGAGACAAGGTCTCACTCTGTCGTCCAGGCTGGAGTGCAGTGGCATGATCTCAGCTCACTGCAAACTCTGTCTCTTTGGTTCAAGCAATTCTCATGCCTCAGCCTCCCGAGTAGCTGGGACCACAGGTGCACACCACCACGCCCGGCTAATTTTTGTATTTTTAGTGGAGATGAGGTCTTGCCATGTTGGCCAGGCTGGGCTTGAACTCCTGGTCTCAAGTGATCCACCCGCTTCGGCCTCCCAAAGTGCTGGAATTACAGGTGTGAGCCACTGTGCCTGGCTGGATATCCACTCTTACCATTTGTATTCAATATAGTACTGGAGGTTTTAGCTAGGGCAATTAGGCAAGAAAATAACAGTCATCAGATTGGAAAGAAAGAAGTAAAGTCAATAATAAACAGAATGACTCAATTTTAAAATGGGCAAAGAATCTGAATATTTATCTAAAGAAGATGTATGAATACTTGGCAAACCCACGAAAAATATTCAATATCTTTAGTCATCAGGGAAATGCAAATCAAATCCACAATGAGAGTCTGCTTTGCACCCATTAGGATGTATATAATCAAAAAGTCAGATAATAGCAAGTGCTGGTAAAAAATGTATAGAAATTGGAAGAACCATATGCTCCCGGGGGGGTGTAAAATAGTGTAACCACTTTGGAAAACAGTCTGGCAGTTCCTCAAAAAGCTGAAGATAGAGTTGCCATTTGTCCCAGCAATTCCACTCCTAGGTATATACCCAAAAGAACTGAAATTAGGTCCACACAAAAATTTGTACACTAATATGCATAGAAGTATTATTCATGATAGCCAAAAGGTGGAAGCAACCCAAATAGCCATCAGCTGATGAATGGATAAACACAAATGTGATTTGTTCATACAATGGAATATTTTTAGCCATAAAAGGAATAAAATACTGTTACATGCTATAACATGGAAGAACGTTGAATACATCATGCTAATTATAAGACATCAGATACAAAAGGCCATGTATTATATGATTCCGTTTATATGAAATATTCAGAACAGGCAAATTTATAGAGACAGAAAGTAGATTAGTAGTTGCCTAGGGCTGGGGTGAGGGGAGGATTGGGGGTGACTGTTTAAAGGTATGGATTTCAGGGGTGATGAAAATGCTCTAAAAGCCATTTGTAGTGACGGCAAGCCAACTGTTTTAATGTACAGGTTGAGCATACCTACTGTGAAAATCCAAAATCTGAAATGCTCCAAAATCTGAATTTTTTTTTTTTTTTATATATGGATGAGGTCTCATTATGTTGCTCAGGCTGGATTCACACTCCTGGGCTCAAGCATTCTTCTTGCCTCAGCTTCCTGAGTAGCTGGGACTACAAATGCATGCTACCTTGCCTGGCTATCCAAAATTTTTGAGCACCAACACGATGCCACAAGTGGAAAACTCCATATTGACCTCATGTGATGGTTCATAATCAAAACACAGTGAAAACTTACTTTCATGCACAAAATTATTTAAATTGTTGTGTAAAATTACCTTCAGGCTATGTGTGTAAGGTATATGTAAAACATAAATGGGCCTGGAGCAGTGGCTTACGCCTGTAATCCCAGCACTTTGGGAGGCCGAGGCGGGTGGATCACGAGGTCAGGAGTTCGAGGCCAGCCTGGCCAACATGGTAAAACTCCGTCTCTACTAAAAATACGAAAATTAGCCAGGCATGGTGGCGGGTGCCTGTAATCCCAGCTACTCGGGAGGTTGAGGCAGGAGAATCGCTTGAACCTGGGAGGTGGAGGTTGCGGTGAGCCAAGATCGTGCCATTGCACTCTAGCCTGGGTGACAAGAGCAAGACTCCGTCTCAAAAAATAAATAAATAAAATAAATAAATAAATAAATTTTGTGTTTAGACTTGGATCCTATCCCCAAGATATCTCATTATGTATATATAAATATTCTAAAATCCCAGATCCAAAAACACTTGTGATCCTAAGCATTTCGGATAAGGGATATGCAACCTGTACTAAAACTACTGAATTTTAGCTGGGCACAGTGGCATGCACCTGTAGTTCCAGCTACTCGGGAAGCTAAGGTTGGAGGATCATTTGAGCCCAGGAGTTTGAGACCAGCCTGGGCAACATAGGGAGATTCCCCCACCTCAAAAAAAAGTAAAAACTCAAATAAAATTATTGAATTTTATGCTTCATATGGGTCTCTGTATGGCATATGAATTATATGTCAATAAAGGTATCTATTAAAAAAGGAAAAAAATGGCCCAGGCACGGTAGTTCATGCCTGTAATCCCAGCATTTTAGGAGGCCAAGGCTGGTGGATGACTTCAGGTCAGGAGTTCGAGACCAGCCTGACCAATATCGTGAAACCCCATCTCTACTAAAAATACAAAATTAGCCGGGCATGGTGGCAGGTGCCTGCAATCCCAGCTACTTGGGAGGCTGAGGCAGGAGAATCGCTTGAACTCAGGAGGCGGAGGTTGCAGTGAGCCAAAATCACACCATTGCACTCCAGCCTGGGCAACAAGAGCAGAAACTCTGTCAAAAAAAAAAAAAAAAAGAATCATGAGGACTTGAACTGGAGCAGTAATGGTGGGGATGGTGGAGAAGGGATGAAGGGATAAACTTAAGAGACATTACGGGGCTAGACAATCTATTAGACTTGCTAAAAATATGATTGATGTACAAGCGAGAAAAAGAAATTAATTCAACTAGAGATATTCTCAGACATGCATGAAATAGCATTTGCAGCATTGTTTGAAACAGCAAAAGTTTGAGACAACCTAAATGTTCCTCTCTAGGGAGCAGGTTAAAAAAATCATAATTTTTTTGCATGGTACAGGCATAACATGGAGCACCAGGCAGCCACCAAAATGAATGAGACAGCTGTTTAGATTACTAATATGCAGTGACCTCCAAGACATATTGTTAAAAAGAAAAAAAAAAGATACAGAACACTAGATTTAATATGCCTCCATTTGTGGAAATGTATTTGTTTGCATATGAAAAAAATATCTGCAAAAGAAACAGATAAAATTGTTTCTTGGGAAGCAGACTCCAGGATCTGGGTAAAAAGAAGACTTTTGCTCTTTCTTTTGGTACCTTTAGAATTTTGAATCCTGTCAATGTATTATTACCTATCAAAAAAAGTAGATAGAATTTAATAAAAACAAATCTCTAACTTGTCTTTTAAAAAGAAGAATCACTTCACAATGAAATTTCTAAGATGCGTGCCTGGGAGTAATGAATAGCACCATTAACAGAAACAGGCCAAGCACAGTGGCTCACGCCTGTAATCCCAGCACTTTGGGAGGCTGAGGCAGGAGGATTGCTTGAGCCCAGGAGTTCAAGACCACCCTGGGCAACATCGCAAGACCTCATCTCTACCAAAAATTTAAAAATTAGCTGGGTGTGGTGGCACACACCTGTAGTCCCAGCTACTCCGGAGGCTGAGGTGGGAGGATCACTTGAGGCTGGGAGGTTGAGGCTGCAATGAGCCATGATCATGCCACTGCACTCCAACCTGGACAACAGAGTGAGACCCTGTCTCAAAAAACAAATAAACAAATAAAACCAGAAACAAAAGATACAAAAAAAAAAAAAGAATAGATTTGGCTGGCAAGATAAATATTTTTAGACTACCACAGTGCTTGGCACAGAGCAGTTGATAATTAAATATCTACTTAATTAATTCAGTAGTGCTAGGCACGAAGGTTACAGCAAGATGATCTCTAAGACTGCTTTCAAAGAATAGATAGTGTAATGGGAATACAGACAACTTAAAAAGTAGTTACAATGAAATGGGGCTGGTACAGATTGCTTTGGAAGCATGTAGTTAGTAAGGGAACGTAACCTAATTTAGTTAGGAGAATGCAGGAGACCTAAAAAATGAATAAAAGTTAGCCAGGGATTACAGGTGTGCGCCACCATGTCCAGCTAATTTTTGTATTTTTAATAGAGACGGGGTTTCACCATGTTGACCAGGCTGGTCTCAAACTCCTGACCTTGTGATCTGCCCACCTTGGCCTCCCAAAGTGCTGGGATTACAGACATTAGCCACAGCGCCTGGCCTGACAAAGAGCTTTCTAGCAGAATAAACTTTGTATATATTGGCCCAGAGGTAAGAGGGTAACAGAAAATAGATCGGGAGAGCTACAGCTCTGGGAAGACAGACATCTGTTTTGCTCCCTGCTGTATCCCAGCATTTAGAGTAGTGTCTAGCACCTTAGTAACCACTCAGCATATGCTTACTGGATGGATGAATGAATGAGTGAATGAACCAGTGGCAAGAGATGATGCTGGAGAGGTAGACAAGGGTCAGTTCGTGCAGGGCTTTTATATATATGCCTTGCTAAGAAGCTTACACTGAATCCTAAAGACTACGGGAAGCTACTGAAGAGGGGCAGAACATGCTCAGATCTGGGTTTTAGAAGGAGCCGTGTAGCTGCAAAGTGGAGAATAAAGAGTAGCTGAGGGATAGCCCAGGTGATGGGGTGGACAGGGGGACCATCCTCCAAGGTGGAAGGACAAATCAATTTGAAGGGGAGAATGAGCTCAGCTTTTGACAAACTGAATTTCAGGTGCCTATGGGAAATCCCAGTGAAGCTGGGGATACAGAGAGTTTTGTGAGGATGGAAATCAGAGGGATCTGGGCTGATGATAGAGAGTCAGAGTCACTAATATTTATAACTGAAGCTGTGGGAGTGAATGAGATATCTCTGGAAGAGGGATAGACAGGCATGAGAATGAATGAATTCATGAATGAATGAAATGCAAAGCCCTGCTCTGAACAGCTTTGGCTAAAGACCTGAGGAATGATTAATGCTAAGGAAAAAAGGGGAAGACTTAAATTAATGAACCACTGCTCCCTCTCAATCCCATGCTGCAGAGCTGAGTCCAAGGGGAAAAAGCCACATGCCCCGGCGTAGGAAAGGGTGACTTGTCACTTCAGCAGGTCCCACTTTTCACCCCTGCCCTTGGCCACCTCCACAGTGGCATGGTTTTCTAGTCCAGGGTGGTGCTGCTGTGTAGCAGATGCATGTGGTGTGGGCTGATGGCCCAGAGCACAGCTCTTCTCTAGCTCTTCCCCTCCCCCCAGCACTGAAACAGCCTCCCCGTCCTCCTAGCAAGTTGCTAAAATTAAAACTTAATCAAGCCAGCTCACTTGGGGATGTGGAATAATTTTGCAGCTCACCCCAGAGAGCAGGGAACTGCTGGGGCAGACAGTGTGAGAGCTGCGGGCGGCACCTCCACCTTCTTGTGGTCCTCCTCCAAACTCCTGTTGGATGGAAAAACTGTGCTGCCTGCCTCCTGCTGGCTTGGTGATTGCCTCAAAGGTGAAGAGTCCTGGCCTGTAATGTCTCCTCTGTGACACTGGCCTAGGGATGGGGATAGGACCCCTGGGACAGTTTCTTCTCTGGCCAGTTCTGCCATTTTCCCTAGATGCTAAGCAACGGTTACACTAGTGTCCCCTTTCCAATAAATTCTGGGCCTTCAAGCCTAGAATTCCCAAGGCATCTCTAGAGGTCCCGTTAAAACAATGCCATCATGACAGACATATTTGATATGTTTGTCTCATCCTTTCCAGTTGTGCCTACCCTACCCACAGTCCAGATACTTTCATAAGGGTCTTCATGGTTCTTGGCACGTATCTATATGATAATCTCCCCTTCCCTGACACACACACACACACACACACACACAGAGTATTGCATTGTTAATACCTGGTCATTCTGTGCTTAGAGACCAAGGTTTTCCTGTATAAAACAACCCTAGGAGTCTCAACCACCAGTGTGGGATAATATCCTCAAGTCTTGAGGGAACATCAGGTCTCATCAGGGTGTGATCAGCCCACAGTTTGTGCCAGTTCCTTTCATCCGCCTGTGGGTGACAATCCCTTCTTGTCCCATCACCACCATGTGATAATCCTCGCCTCCAGCCTTAATATTGTCTAATTGTATGAGACAATCTGTCCAAACAGGTCTTCCTGTGTTAAGGTCAGACCTCGTGAGTATGTGATCATCCCCATCCCTTTCCTTGGTACATGCAAATCTCTCCATTCCCCCAAGTTCAACAATTCCCCTCATCCCTGGTTCATTTACTAGCCACCTTATTGAGCACCTACTATACTGCTGCAAGCACCCCTTTTCTCGTGTCTCCCCTCTTTCTGCTGGAAGTTGCTTCCTAATTGTTAGGATAAATCTTTCTGCAAAGGTAATTATAATTCTTCTCATCTGAACTCCCGAGGGATCTGGACTGGCGCCAAAGGCAAAGGTGCTTGATACTTGGAAAGCTGCTTGTGCTTCCACGTTAAGCAAAAACCAGTGGGGAAAAGCCTGGCCTGGCCAAGTAGGCTGCTGGCTGGAGCCATGGATCAGCCATGGCCTGGCCCCGACCGAGCTCTGACAGTGGTTGCTTCCGGAGACCCAGGCGTGCCAGAAGGAAAGCAACATTTACTATGGGATATATTTGGTGAGTGGCGAAGGTCCCTATTTCTTTCATTTATAGATTCATCCTTCCAATCTACACTTTTTTCTGGGTTCCTAGAAAAGAAAGAACCATTGGCAGATGTGTGGTGTAACTCCAGAGGTCCACATGCTCTTGATAATACCGTCCTACCCCAAGCTCCAGCACACACAGCCTCACCACCCAATTCTGCCCAAGAGTGTACCAGGACCGATGTCACCAAGCTCTCCATTTGCTTCAGTCACTACACAAGCTCCCTGACTCCCAGGAAGCCTTCGTTCCTGTAGGGCTCTGTATACCCCATTATCTAGTGGTGCTCAACCTTGCTTGCATATTGGAACCACTAAGTAAACTTTCAAAAATACTGATATCCTTGAAGTCCCCCTCCCTGCCAGATCATAAGGAAATTGATTCTGGAGCGCAGGCTCACAACTGGGAGTTTTCATTTTCCTGGTGATCCTAATGTTGTGCAGCCGTGGTTGAGACCTGCTGCCCTCATCTGACCCCATGTCTGACCCCTCAACTGCCACAACCCATCAAAACCCTCTATACCAGGGATTCTCAAACTTACTATCATCAAGTCTTTCAACAGGACTTGTTAAAACATGGATCGCTGGGCCCCACGCCCAGAGTTTCTGATTCGGTAGGTCTAGAGACCCCCAAGGATGCGCATTTCTGAGAAGTTCCCAAGTGGTGCTGATGGTGCTGCTGTTCCAAGGGCCACACTCAGATAATCGTTTTCAATATCCTGCTCATTTGGTTCCTTGACCTTCTCTCCCCCAATAAACTTGTCCTCTATCCCACCTCAGTCACAGACTCTGATATTCATCCCGAAATCTTGTCATTACCAGTAATTATACCCCTTCCTAATAACCAACTTAAACATCCTGCTCTCCAACTGCCAATTTACTCCTGGTAGTGACCCAATTCCAACTCCAATGGGAAGGACTGCACCCTATTGACCCTGCCTGCCTTTCATGTCCCCCACCCCATCTCACCTAACTTCTTTCCTAATGTAGCTTAGATTATCTTCTAGTAATTGTCTCCCTGAATCTCACCATCAGAGCTTCCCTTTCTGCTGGAAGCTCTGATGCACACAAACGTGCAAAAATATTTACCATCTATTTTAAAAGCCTTCCATTTCCCCCTGTAGCTACCTCTCCATTTCTCTGTTCCCCTTTAGGTCACCCCCTCTCCTTTCATTCTCAGGTGAACCCTCACTAGTCAGATTTTTCCCTATCCTTCCTGTGAAATGGCTTTTGTCCAGGTCACTAGTGACCTCCCTATTGCCAAATCCAACAGCCAGTCCTCAGTGCATATCATACTCAATCTGTCACTCCCGTCTTCTAGAAACACTTTCCTCACTCCGCTTCTAGGACACACCCTCTGTTGGTTCTCCTTCTTCCTCACTGCTTGTTCCTCTTGCTGGTTCCTCCTCCTTTCAGTGATGCTAAACTTTGGAGTACCCTTGACTTAGTCCTCAGATTTCCCTTCTCCTTTATCCGCACTACCTTCCCAGGTGATCCCTCCAGGGCTTCATACCAGCTCCATGGTGACTCCCAAATTTATATCTCTAGCCTAGACCTCTCCCCTGAACTACAAATTCACCAACTCCACTGCTTACTGGACATCTCCAATTGGATGTCTAACAGGCAGCTCAAATGTTAAGTCCAAAACTGAACTCCTTATTCTAACTGCACAGGATCAAATGATTATGTCCTTTATCTCTACCCTGCCCGTCAATAGCCACTCCAGTCTTCCAGTTGGATCAGGCCAAAACATTGAAGTTATCCTGGACTCTGGTCTCCCACACCATTCATACTGCCTATCAGCAAATCCTGTTGGTTCCCAAATCTGACAGCTTCTCTCCATCTCTACCACATGACCCTGGACCAAGCCACTACTACTATCTCTCACCTAGACAATTTCAACAGAGTCCTTAGGTTTTCCTGCTTCTACCCTTGTTCCGGCCCTTTTAATACATAAATCAAATTCTGTGACTCCTCTGGCTTGCCATTCGTTCAAAGTAAGATCCAAACCTCTCTACAGGCATGAGAGACCTACCCTCTCTGGCCTCCCTGCCCTCTGGGCTCACAGGCTACACACGCTGCCCTTGGGTCTCCACCTTAGCCTTTTAGTTCCTTAATTAACAGCTTAGAGCCTTTGCTCTTGCAGTTCCCTTGGGCTGGAAGTCTCTTTTCTCAGACGCTCCTTCCTATGTCTAAATTCTGCCTGTATCTGGAGACTTCCCTAACACACCCCCGCTGCCACCCGCATCTCACATACTCCCCACCTGGCACTCTCTGGCTCCTTGTCTTGCTCTCTTTTTCTGGGTGGACTTGTGTCTGAAATATGTATTGATTTGCTGATTGTCTGTCTCACCCACTGGAATGTAAGCGCTGCAAGGAGAACTTTGTTCTGTTCACTGCTGTTTCCCCAATGAGCGTGTATGATAGGTGCTCAATGAGTACTTGTTGAATTAATTAATTAATGGAAGCGTGTTTAGACCTTTCCTCCCCAGCGGCTGCAGCTCTGTACAAGGAGGTGTCCCAGGCTGCCTGTCTCCATTCTCTAATAGCCTCCTGGCCACCACCTGGGCATCCCCCTCCCCAGAGCCTGCCAGACCATTCTAATTGCCGCTGCTGCTGAGGGAGGGAGTCTCTAAAGAGAGAGGAGGGAGGGAGGAGCTCCATCTGGTGTCCAGGAAAATAAGGGAGCCAGCTTTGGTCTGCGGCTCCAGGTCCACCCTGGAGTCCACAACGTGGGGCTCGGGAGCCAGGGGCGAAGCACCCTTCGGGCATAGACGGGCCCTTGGCTCTTCTGTCCTGTCAGAGAGTGGGCCTGGGGGCCCCATAGAGGCCCCTCGATTTGGCCAACTGAGCGGGACCCAGCACAAGGCCTCCAGGCTGCAGAAGGCTGTGGGGGTGGGGGTGGGGGTGGGGGTATCGGGAGACAATAGGAGAGCCCAGAGCCAGCTCTCCCTTTCCACCAGCCCGAGTGACACAGTGACACAAAGGGAGAGTCTTGTGCTTGGGGGAGGGGGTGGGGAGAGCCCTTTGTCCCGCTATTTTCTACATTGCTGGGGGTGGGGAGTGGGAAGGGTGTGGGGGGGTGACCAGCGGCTGTCAGTATGGGGAGGAGTAGAGAGTGGTGCAGAGGCCCTGGAAAGTTTTTGAATTTCAATCAGGTTGGCTTTGAAAGAGTTTGGCTTTTGTTGAAAGAAAGAGAAAGGTTAATGCTAGAGTTGAGGGGGAGGGGGTGGATTCTGCAGATAGAGTCCTGTTTGCAGGCCGGTCAGCTGTGGGACACCCAGGCTGGCAGAAAGGCTGGGGATGGGTGAGCAGAGGAGGAGCAGGCGTCCCATTTCCCTTCCCGGGCCCAGGTGGAGGAAGGCTGGGCAGAGAAGCATGGGGTTATTGGGTGTGGGCAGAACTGGTCAAGAAAGGAAAGCAATGCGGCCAAGCAGGACAATTTCTTTCTTCCTTTTGCATGCCTTACAGAGCCTTTGACTTTTTAAGCCAGGAAAGAATGAAGTTCCCTCCCTCTCTCCCCTCCGTTTCTACTCCACCCAAGCACAGCGGCGGCGGCAGAGCACTTGTCAGGGCTGACTTTGTGACAAGTGCAGGCTTGGTTGGTGCAGGAGAGGGGGGCTGGGTGGCTTGGGACCTCTTAGTGCTCAGGAATCAGCTGTTTTCTCCGCTCTTACCCTCTGCTGACCCTCCTCTGCACTCTAATTGCTCCAAAAAGAAGCATAAAAATGTGGAGCTATTATACTCTTTGAAATAGGCAGCATACTGCTTTCTCAATGTTGGGAGAAAAAGAAGGAGGAGGAAGGGAGCTACAGCCACGCAGCAGGCTAGAGATCTGCAATTCCAAGTTGGGGAGTGGGCACCTGGCATTCCCCAGCTGACTTCACACCACTGAAACACACACACACACACACACACACACACACACACACACACACACACACTTTGTAAGGCTCCTGGCTGCAGTATGATCCTTTGTCTCTCTCTCTCTCTCTCTCTCTCACACACACACACACACACACACACCATACACGCTCACACACACACATACACTTTATGAGGCTCCTGGCTAAGGCTGCCGCATGATCCAGTGTTCTGGGAGTCCCAGTGTATTCTGGGAGTCTACTGGGGCAGTCAGTTCTCTAAATGGCACCACTGTGTGTTCTCAGCTCTAGGGGTTCTACAACCATAAAGATAACTCCAGAACCAATCCCTGAATTCCAGCCTGAAAATATTTGAGAGGAGAAAGATCAGAGGAAGAGGGAAAGAGAATATAAAAATGGGATTATTCTTATTTTGACATGTAATAACCATCTGCATGGTATTAGGCCTCATCTTCCTGGAGCAAATATTCATGCACTAAATAATTTGCTCAGCATTCCTTGTGTTAGACATTGTGCCAGGCCCTAGGAGACACAGAGGAAATAAGAGCTGTCCCTGCCCTGAAGGAGCTTATTCTTAAACAGAAAAGCAAATGGAGAATAAATAATTCTAATCCAATGAGATAATATCACACATGCCACACAATACATTGTAACATACATCACATTTAACTTCATTTGACAAGCGAATACTACAGAAAAACGTGTGAATTATTATTATTATTATTATTAAATTATTATTTTAGAGACAGAGTGCTAACTCAGTCGCCCAGGCTGGTGTGCAGTGATGAGATCGTAACTCACTGCAGCCTTGACTTCCTGTGCTCAAGCGATCCTCCTGCTTCAGCCTCTCCAGTAGCTGGGACTATAGAAGCACGTTGTCATGCCTGACTAATTTTTTCTATTTTTATTTTTGGAGAGATGGGGTCTTGCTGTGTTGCCCAGGCTGCATTTTTTAAGATTTCATTGATATTTTTTACTTTAATGTTGGGTGCATTTGAAGTGTTTACCAAGGGCCAGGCGCAGTGGCTCACACCTATAATCCCAGCACTTTTGGAGGCCTAGATGGGCAGATCATTTGAGGTCAGAAGTTCGAGACCAGTCTGGCCAACATGGTGAAACCCCGTCTCTGCTGAAAATACAAAAATTAGCTGGGTATGGTGGCACATGCCTGTAATCCCAGCTATTTGGGAGGCTGAGGCAGGAGAATCACTTGAACCTGGAAGGCAGAGGTTGCAGTGAACCGAGATTGCGCTACTGCACTCCAGCCTGGGTGACAGAGCCAGATGCTGTCTCAAAAAAAAAAAAAAAAAAAAAAGAAGCGTTTACCAAGGAAAGCATTTTGGAGGTGAAAACGTGTCCCACCAAGCAAAAAGAGGATTGGACTCCAAATGCAGGCCAAGGGAAGAAAGAGGAGAATGTCCATGTGTGCATACATTAGTGTGCTGGGAAGACCTCCATGCCCACACTGCCCTCATCCAATACCACATTAAAAGTATTTTGCTGGTTTACTTGTCCATCTGATTTGCAGCCACATATAATCTCAGACACCCCCTGTTCCGCCCTCTGCCACATCACCTCCCACAGGAGAGAAACAGCTATCCCAGGCCATTCTGTTCCCCTTTCAAGGCCAGATCTGAGGTGAAGAGAAGGCATTGAGAAAGTTAACCCAAGGAAGAATTTTAGGCTAGTGTTTTCAAAGCTTGGACCAACAGCATCAGCATCACCTGGGAATTTAGAAATGCAAATCCTCAGGCGCCACCCTAGGCCTACTGAACTGAAAGCTCTGGGTGTGGGGCCCAGCCATCCGTGGGTTGTTTTTTGTTTTTTTTTTAGACAGAGTCTGCTGTTGGCCAGGCTGGGGTGCAGTGGCACAGTCTCGGCTCACTACAACCTCCACGTCTTGGGTTCAAGCGATTCTCCTGATTCAGCCTCCTGAGTAGCTGGGACTACAGGTGCGTGCCACCATGCCCAGCTAATTGTTTTTATTTTTAGTAGAGATGGGTTTCACTGTGTTAGCCAGGATGGTCTCGATCTCCTGACCTTGTGATCCACCTGCCTCAGCCTCCCAAAGTACTGGGATTACAGGCATGAGCCACCGTGCCCGGCCGCCATCCGTGTTTTAACAGGCTCTCAGATCATTCTGATGCTCCGTAAAGTTCTAGGTATGCTGATCAATGTTGCCACCCTTGGTTAGATCTTCCTGATGCACTTCAAAAATAACTTGCTCTGGTAGAAGCCAGGGGGCTAATGGGGGCCAATCCAGCCCAGCACCTAAGTCTTTTGGTTAGTTCTTGGGCTAATCTGCCCAAGGATGTGGATATGAATGGCTGGGACACGGACACTTTTAAGGACCCCGTTATCTGGGATGTCTGGGCCCTGACCCTTCTGAGCCTTGACTGGCCCCCTGTGCTCATATTCAGAGCATGGGACCTGGCAGAAGTTCGAGGGGCTGATCCAGTATGGCAGGTCCCTTTGAGAGTCCTCTTAGGGATCCGGGTTTGTGACAGCACATGACACGATTTGGCTCTCTGGAGCTTCTGGGTGGGCGGGTATAATGAAAGGATGGTTAGAATTGGAAAGAGCAGTGAGGGAGAGAGCAAAGTCCCCTCTTCCATATCTGATTTTGTAAGCAGCTTCTGATACCTCAGTGACAAGATCCCAGCACCTGTGTCTCATTGGCATCAGTATCTTTTTTGGCACAGACCGAGAATCTCTTTTTGGAAAATTCCCTTGCCAAAAGCACGTGACCATATCTGTCTTAAGAAGCTGGCACCTATCCTTTTTTTCAAATTTGTCTCTGGCCTCTCTTCCCTCTCCCAATGTTCCCTTTCACCTTGAGCTAGAAACATGTGGTATCCTCAGGGCCATTTCAGATTGATGCAACCACATCACTGGTTCTGACCTGTAAAAGTAAAGGCTAAGAATTCCTTTCAGAGGGGAAGAAAAACTATCATGAACTAGACATGAAATAGCCAAGCACTGTGCCCCTCGCTTTCCATGATGCTCCTCATTTATCGTTACAGCAACCCCATACACTATATGTTACTTCCCCCATTTTATAAGTAAGGAAGCTGGAGTTGGGAGAGTTTGTCCCTCGTGCAGCATCACACAGCTTCTAAGTGGCAGTCAGGATTTGAACCCAGATCTGCCTGACTTCAGAGCACGTGTTTGCTGCTCTTTACCACACTGTATCAGGAGAGATCCTCTAGGTCCTGGCTCCCTCCCAGGCAACCCCAAGGAAACAGGACTCTGGCCAAGTCCACGAGCTTTGTAGGTCCTGGCTGGATTCCCTCTTGGTTAGACTCTGGTCAGGCCTTCCCTGATTTCTCCTGGCCAGCTGGCCTCTCCGCCTCCTTGGCTCTACGTGGGCTCCTGAGGGAGAAGGCAGAGTGAAGCCACCAGGCCTCTGGACAGGTTGCAGTCAGCATCCGTTCCATCACGCGTTAACCCCTGCGGCTGGCCCGCAGCAGGGAAGCCCTCTTGCCTAGCTCTGCATGGACTGCTCGCTTGCCTGAGTTTGCATTATTTATTTAATGTCTTGTACCGTAAATAATGGTAACTTTATGGTTATTAGGAACGGGTTAAGGTACATGCGGGTAGCACCAGGCTGCCTTCAAAAGGAACAGTCCTGGCATAAAATGTTGCGATAATTGCTTCACTGCTGAGTGTTGGTCTTTATTTTGTGTCTGATTTGTCCCTTAAGCCAGCGTAACATTCTCCCCACGGCAGGAGAATGCAGAGAGCAAATTGAAGGGCTGAGCATGAACAATGCGACATGGCGCACTGCTGGGTTTTTCTTTTTTCCTCTTTCTTCGTTTCTCCCTTGACCTCCCTCCAATCCTCTCCGCTCCCCTCCCCCCATGCCCTGCCCCAGTCTCCGCCCTACTCTGGTTGGGAGAATCATTCTCCCCCATCCTTGACACCTCTAGAAGGTAGCCCATCATACCCCCTTATTTCCTTTTGTTGAAAATAAGGTTAATAGAGCACTCCTATTCCTTACCTCTTCTCTGGGCAGCAAACAAGACAAAACAAAAAGATAAACACATAAAAGATGCCTTCTTTTCATGGACCCGGTGCCCAAGCAATGCCCAGGCACTCTAGCCCAGAAGTTATTGTCCCTTACATTTCTTAAAAGGATGTGGAATCCTGGCCAGTGCCCAGCATCACAGTGGTCAGAGAGGGCTGGGTATGCAGAAGGACTTGGGAGGGTGGCAGGGTTGCTGGTGGCGGGTGTGGAGGGGTGAAGGGGGCAGAGTCTGCCAGCTCCTTCCTGATAGTGGGAGAGAGCGATGGTCTTCAGTGGCCAGTGGGACTCTTCCTCTTCTCTTCGGTCCATCACACCAAGGCAGGAAGGCCACTGGCACTGGCCGCCATGTGCCATACACATATTTCCCTTGTCTGCACAGGAGTGGAGTGAGGGCAGGGGTGGGGTGAGGGCCTCTCCACTCGGGGCAGCCTTTTGGTTTGCCAGAAGTGGATCCTCCTGGCCTTCATCTGTTTGCCCCTGGGGGTCATCTATCAGCCTCCAGCAATACCCTGCAGGCCGGATGGCCCAAGCCAAGTGAAACCTCTTCCCTGTAGCAGAAAGCAGGTCCAGCATCTCCCAAAACGGGCGCTCTGACTGGCTGGGCTTCTTCGATGTTCAGAGAGCTTGGCCAAAGCACGAACACTGGAGTAGGAGCCAGAAGTCCTGTGGTCTTGTCTGAGCTTCCCCACTGACTTGCCCGGTGTGGTAAATTCATAGACACAGAAGTTCCTTGGAAACGTTCTGCCTCGGTTTCATCTGTAAAATGAGGGCAAAAATCCCTGCCTTATGGGATTATTGGGGAGATCAAAAGTAGCTAATGAGTGACTACAGACTCCAGAACCAATCATAGATTGTTGATCACGGAGTCTCAAATAACCCATCATGCCCTCAGGCCAAAGGCCAATGACTATTTCTGGGTAAGTATGAGAAGCAGGTGGGACTGGAGGGGCAGCTGGGGTGGTACAATGACAAGGAGAAGAAGGAGGCAGAGATCCTCCAGCCCCATAGCTATCTTGGAGCAGAAAACCAGTGTTGCTGTCCTCCATGGGGCAGGCATCAGGGCAGACCACAGGCTGTAACCCACCTTAGAGGAATGCCTTCTTCTAGCGGCCGGATCTCTTCCCTCCCTCCAGCCAAAACCCCTTCTTCTGCTTTGGCCCTTTCTCTTGCCATTCCTCCTCTTCCTCTAGGGCTTCTCCTTGGCTACAATGGAGGGGACAACAAAGTCCAAGCAAGTTGATATCCAGTGGCTTTAAGCTACAGGAGGCTGAGAGGATTTGTGTGTCTCTCCACTTACTCCACCTCTCCAGAGCCTAGTAACTCATCAATAGCGGAAATTTGAACAAAGTGGAGAACCTGGGATGAAAGGAGAAATGCTGCGGTGATTGGGGGTGGGGTGAAGGGGGAAGAGGGGATGGCTTTAATTAGGGCTTCTTGGCCTCGTCAGTCCTGGGGTTGGTCGGGGTAATCCAGTTAGAGTCCCAGCCTTTCATCTCAGCTGGCCGGCCTCTCGGGGGCCCTGTCAGAGCCTTTAGGGGGCAACAAGTAGCGGGCAGGCTTGGAGTGGCGTGGGGGTTGATACCACACTTACTTCCAGCTGGACGCAGAGGGGGGTACGGAATGAAGCCCCGCCAGCACAGCAGTTGGTGGTGAGCAGTGAAGTGGCCGGTGTGGGCGGCTTGGGCGCTGGGCGGCTGTCTCCTGACACCAGAAACTCTCTTTATGAAAGGATCAAGTCGGTAGCATTGTTCTCTGGCCAGGGAACCAAGGGCTCAGAATGCTCTTTTGTGTGGAGGTGCCCCCCCCTCACCACACTCCCCCTTCTTTTTCTCCCTTTGAGCCACTGCTGGCTGTGCCTCTGCCCCCATGCTTGGGGCGGGAGGCGATGGAGTGGTGGAGATGGGCTCGGGACAGACAGTCCTGGGGGAGCCATCTGTGCTGGGGTAGGATCCACTGGAGCTGAAAAATTAAACAGCATTTTCAATTAACTTTTCCTCTCTTGTTTGGGGGTGGGCGTGTGGGGGTGGTGGAGCAGGCTGGTTGAATTTAACCTTTGAAAAGCTGTGTGGAGCAGAGGAGGAGGGAATGACCTTTCTTTCCCGAGGCAGGGTTGGGCGGGGGTGGGGAGCAGTGGAACTGTTTCCTCGGGCCAGGCGGGGGACCCCCTCCTGGTGAATATTCCAGAAGCTCTTGGTGTCCTTGGCCCCTGAGGTCCCATCTGTGTAGAGAGAGGGTTTGCTAGTGCATCTCCAGGGTGTTCGTTGTAAGGAGAGATGGGCGAGTCGTGTGGGGTCAGCAGGTGGATGAAGGCTTACTGCCGAGCAATGGAAATCTTTTTCACCTCTCCCTCAAAGGCTGCCCCTTTTCTCTACCCATCTTCCCTTCTGCTGCTCAGGAACGCCTGCATCTTAGTTTCCGCTCTTGGGCTGGGTGCCCCAAAAGATGGAAGAACATCCGTAGAAGGGACTCTGCTGTAGGTGGCGTTTGCTCTAAAGGCCTTTCTGTTCCTGTCTCATTGGCACCACAGAACGTAACACAACCAGAAGTCAGAGTCAGAGTCCAGTGTGTATCCTTCTCACATCTTGTTGCTGCATGCCCTGACCTTCTCCATTTTCCCTGAGAACTGGGAGCAGGTCTTCCTCACCCCTCTCTGATCTCTTTCTCACTCCACATAGTGACCAGAAGAGGGCTTTCACCTCTTCTTTAGACCCTCGTGGTGGAAAACTTCTGTCACCATAATGACTGTTTGTACCTGAAGAACACTCTGTAGTTTGCAAAGAACTCATGAGAGTCTTCTTTTAATCTGTGGGGACAGATGGAAAGGAGTAAGCCCTTTTTTATGATGAAGAAACTGGGACTCAAGAGAGATTAATTTTGAAAAATGGGGCATCCCCTGGAGGGCACAGCAGCATCACTTAGGGGTCTTTTTCAGTTGTCCATCCCACCCAGAGATTCCACGGTCCTCACTCCTCCTGCCCCTACCTTCACCCCAGAGTAGGGTTTCTTAATGAAATTATATCTTTTGCGTTTTCCTTTAGCTAAATACAGACAGTCCCATTTACGGGTGTGAAAAATCAGGAAGTCTACTCAAGTGAGCTGAGGCAAAAGAGGTAATAAAGCCAATGGTTTCATTTGGGTTTTCACCAGTCCTGGTGTTTATCCGAGCAACAAGGAGGATGGTATTAGAAAATAGGCATAGGCAGCCGGGTGTGGTGGCTCACGCCTGTAATCCCAGCACTTTGGGAGGCCCAGGAGGGCAGATCACGAGGTCAGGAGATCAAAACCATCCTGGCTAACACAGTGAAACCCCACCTCTACTAAAAATACAAAAAATTAGCCAGGCGTGGTGGTGGGCGCCTGTAGTCCCAGCTACTTGGAAGGCTGAGGCAGGAGAATGGCGTGAACCCAGGAGGCGGAGCTTGCAGTGAGCTGAGATCATGCCACTGCCCTCCAGCCTGGGCAACAGTGTGAGACTCTGTCTCAAAAAAAAAAAAAAAGAAATAAATAAATAAAAGAAAAGAAAAAGAAAATACGCATAGGCTGGGTGCAGTGGCTCACACCTGTAATCCAAGCACTTTGGGAGCCCAAAGCAGGCGGATCACTTGAGGCCAGGAGTTCAAGACCAGCCTGGCCAACATGGCAAAACGCCATCTCTACTGAAAATACAAAATTAGCCGGGTGTGGTGGCACACACCTGTCATCCCAGCTACTTTGGAGGCTAAGGCACGAGAATTGCTTGAACCCAGGAGGCAGAGGCTGCAGTGAGCCAAGATTGTGCCACTGTACTCCAGCCTGGGTGACAGAGCGAGACCCTGTCCAAAAAAAAAAAAAAAAAAAAAGGAAGGAAGGAAAGAAAGAAAAGGAAAAGAAAGAAAAGAAAATCAGCATAGAATGATTACAGGTTCAATGCCTGTTACCCCAACACTTTGGGAGGCCAAGGCGGGAGGATCGCTTGAGCCCAGGAGTTTGAGACCAGCCTGAGGTACATGGCGAGACTCTGTCTCTATTAAAAAATAAAACAATTAGCCAGGCATAGTGGTGTGCACCTGTAGTCCCAGCTACTCAGGAGGCTGAGGTGAGAGGATTGCTTGAGCCCAGGAGGTCAAGGCAGCAGTGAATAGAGATCACGCCACTGCACTCCAGCCTGGGTGACAGAGTGAGACCCTGAAAAAAAAAAAAGGAAAGAGAGAGAGAGAGAGGAGGGAGGGAGGGAGAAAAGAAGGAAGGAAGGGAGGGAGAGAGGGAGGGGAAGGAAGGAAGGATATGACATGAGCTGCTCCCTCAGCTACCCCAGGGCACAGTGGAGCAGCACCTTCCTCCCCAAACCTGTTCCTTGTCTTGTATTTCATGCTCAGTTAAGGACACTGCTCTCTAGCCTCAGCTTGGGGCACTCTCCTCTTCCTGGGCTAAGTTCAGCCAAACTGCTTTTCCTTCAGTTTGTCTAATACGCAGGCTTTGCTTTTCAGGACATTAACATCACCCTCCCTGACTCTTACCCCTCCTTCCTGTCTCAGTGAATTTTACTGCTCAAAGAAGCCTTTCTGTCCCAATGTACATTTTGTCTTCCGGTTACACTTTCTCATAGCATTCTGTCCTTCCGGGATGTAACGTATCATGGTTTCTAGTGGCACGATGAGGTGGGGCAGTAGTTACCATGTCTCCCCTACCAGTCGTTACGCACTGTGAGCACAGGTGTCCTGCTATTTTGTTCACTACTCTATTCCCAGTGCTTCTGGGAGGCACTAAGGGGCTTAATACGGTCAATGAATGAATGAAAGGAGAAAAGGGAAAGGTAGTAACTCACAGAGAAAATGAGCAAAATGAAAACCAAGATTTCCCAGAGGTAAAGGTGAGAAAGGGTTGTTGCTCCGAGGTCTAGGAAATTTCTTTAGGCCCCCAAAATGGAGGCCAGTTGGCCTGAATGGTGCAGAGAACACTCTCGCAGTGGGGGGATGACGGGGAGTGATGTTTGAGGACCTTTTGGTGAGGCAAGGAAGCATGCAGCCCACTTCAGCTTTCTCCTTATTTTTCAAAGGTGCCAGTCCATTTTTGGAGCCCTGAGGAAGAGAAGGCTAGAGGGAGAACACTAAAGACTACAGCCAATTCTGATAAAGAATAAGGGAAAAGAAAAGGCTTTGCCTGCTGGAATAGCTTTGGGTGAGGTCACCATAGTTTTCTACAAGATAAAGGGATTGGCTACAGGAGCCACCAGAAGAGAGATCCCCGGGCCTGCGGGCAAGAAGTTGAACCCTAGAGAGAAACTTTCACTAGCGAAGGGTTAAAGGGAATAAATATGTTTAGCAATATATTGAGGGTGAGGGGAAAGGAAAGGTGGGGGACAGACCAGTGAGCATGTAGACTGCTAATAAATGAAGAGAAGTGGGAGATTCATCTTACCTCCTACAGGGCAGAGATGCTCAGCTCATTTTTTAGATCAGTCTTTAAGAAGAAAAATGACAAAAAGGAATTTGGATAATTAGGAAGTAAATGCAGACTGTGCAAAAATCGTTCCTGATAGAAAGCAGGTAGGAGAATACTCAGAAAATGTAAAGGTTTCACAAATCAGCAAGCCAGGATGACATCCATCATGAGATATTAAGGCTAGTGTTCTGGGAACATACTAAGCGGGGCGCTGATTGAACCACTTATAATTATGTCTGGAAAATCATAGAAAGTAAAAGGGGCCATCAGGAGGCTGGAGAAGTGAAACGGATGTGACTCCTGTCTTCTAAAAAATGGTAAACAAGCCTAAAAATGTTCATCCAGTCAGTTTGGAACTAGATACAATGAAAGGGGGAAAAAATCTGTCATCTCCGGGAGGAAAGTAAAATTGAGAAGCGTGTGTGTGCGTGTGTGTGTGTGTGTGTGTGTGTGTGTGTGTAAGTATGCCTAAGGGCCAAACCACACCAAACAGAATAGCGCTAAGTGATCAAATTGAAAACAGAAAAACAGATGTGTTGTAATGGGTGTGCCACAAGTGGCTGTTGTTAAAACAGGTTCAGGTTTTCGCTGTGGTTGTAGGTATGTAAATGAAAACTGCACAGAAAAGAAAAATCGATGGCAGGGAATCATTCAGAGAGAGGGACACTCTCTGGATGAACAGAGTATTCTGAACCAATTTAACATAAGGTCTCATTTTGGATGGGGAGAAAGCTGCATGTAACTGAAAAAGCTGATAGGTAGGTGTGGCTGAGGAACAATTCAGGAACCTGAAGAAGTCAACAACCACATGAACACCTAATTATGGGGGGAGGCGGTGGGTTGAAACAAATGAACATATTTGGGAGGAAATCTCTGCTCATCCAAAAAAGCCATAGGAAGGCCCTGGAAGCTGCCTTGCTTTGGGGGTTGCATGCACACAATTTGGATGTGGAGCTCTGGGACCTAGAAGGGAGGTGACACACTGGGGTGGTTTCAAAAAGAATGGGGACGGCCCCTAAGGGGGTTAGCTGAGAGGGAGTGGCTCCTCATGGTAATGATCCTAACTGACTCCACAGCCCCAGCGCCCTACACACTTTTACAAGGTTAAAGCAACAGCTTGAACCTGTATGGGGTGAGCATTTGTTTCCTTTCCAGATTGCCAGCTAATGAGGAAAGATTAAAGGAGCTAAATCTGTTTAGCTTGGCTAAGTGACGACGGAGGCGGCAGGAGTGGAGAGGCATGCTGGGCAGCCTGGCCAAGCGGAGGGGTGTGATAACCGTCTGCAGATTTCAGGAAGGTGTAACTACGGTGGAAGAAGAGCGGCTGTCTCAGGTGGCACAGGGGCCTCACCCTTCGGCAGCGAGTTTCCCAACAGTGAGCTCGGTGGCTCCTGGAGCAGCCAGTTGACCTGAGGAAGAGAGAGCAAGGATTAGGAACATCCCGGCTGAGCCAAGGGAGGGACCAAGCCAACCCACCCAATGGTCCAGGCACTGTCCCAACAGACCAGCTTTCATTTTGCCTTTTGCTAGCAGCATCCTCAGCATTCCCAAGGGTCTTCTCTGACTCTCTGCCCCCACTGCAGCCAATCCCTTAAGGGATTTGGAGTCCAGAAAGGTTCCCCCACTTTCTGGCCTGTGATAGACATTCGCAGTAGCTGGTTTGGCAATTCAGAACCTGCCTGTTCTTTGATGATATCTTCAGATAGATTATTCCAAGGCTATGAGATCAGAACCTGTGCGAGGAGCTCTTCTGGGAATGGAAATAACTTACCCAAAAGGGGAAGCAAGTGGCAAGGCCCAGGGTGTGGCGTCCCTGGGGTCCCGAGCCTGGCCCATGGGGGCCAGCCAGGCTGCCTCCCGCATGCTTGCTGTTGGCAATCTCATGGTTAAACACTTAAACAATCTTTCTTTCTCCTCTTTTCTCTCTCCTCCTCTCTCTCTTTCACTCTCTTCTTTTCAGAGTTGACAGGGGCCAAATAAAGGCCCTTTTAAAAAAAAACACACAAAACAATTTTGTTCCTTCTGAAAGTGATGGAGCGAAAGTGAGTGCAGATTATAGGCCTGTGAGGCGAGGGCCTTCCAGACGGGGGGAGAAGCGGTGACATGATGGGAACCTAATGGCAGTAATTGGCCCTGGCTTTGACAGGGCCCATATCACAGCTCAGGAAAAGAGAGATGTTTAAAGTAAAAATTTACACAAAATTATATGTTTTCGGGGTGAAAAAGACTGTTTGGATTTCATTTTTTTTCTTCCTCTTCTTCCCCCCAGGGCATGTTTCATGGGTCATCCTCTGCATGTGTGCGCGTGTGTCTGTGTGCGTGTGTGCACACATGCCCGTGCAGCTGTCTCCCCAGGTATATGGGCATCTTATGCCACATCGCCAATGTCTTCTACTTCCGCTCTTCCTGGAATAGAGGCGTTTGTTAGCTTTGGAAGTTTCCCTTCAGGAAGCAGAAAGAGCCTAAGAGAAGAAGGGAGAAAAGAACCATTCGAGTAATAGATCAGGCCACCCTTCATAGTATCACCACAGCAGACCTTGTTTGGATTCAATATATAGTCGTGTAGCATCTTGTATTTATCCTTGTATCGCTTAGTCCTAAATATAACCAAGTAATAGATCAAGTAGCTATATTTGTTTAGTGTCTAACTCCCACTCCAAACTGTGAGCTCTTTGAGTGCAGGACCCTGTTTCTCTTGTTAAGTGCCATAATCTCAGCACCTAGCACAGTGCCTCCCACGTAGCAGGCTTGCAGGATTTGTTAAATGAGCGGCCTAAAATAATGGAATTATGGAGGGACAGCTGCGATGTTGGAAGCCCGTGCCTTCCTGAGTAGAAAATGCTGATCAATCAGACTTTCGTCTAACTAGACAATACTAGAATATTCAGATAATTGATTCTTCATTGCCTGTTGGAAATGTAGCCTGAGAGGAAGACTTCAGGGGTTGCAGTGAAGCTAGAATATTAGGCATTCGTCCCTGGTTCAGAATGGTTTAGGCTTCCTCCATTGTGAGCTTCACTAGAAGCTCTACAGTCAAACCCCAACTGACTCTTTAATGCTGATGACCATGCTAGTGTTGAAACGATCTCCTCTTCCGGCCTGCAGAATGTCCTGCTGCTCCCTGTTTTACTTGGGATTTAGGTGTTCTCTATGGACTAAGCTAAGAACTAGCCAGCTATTGGGCTACTTTTTAGATTTTTTTAAAAAAGATATATCTTTTGGCTAACATGATAACAAGACCCATAAATGAAACAAAATTGAATGTTTTATTCACATGAGCTCAAGGGAAGTACCCGAGTCACAGAACCACAGATTGGGGAGTGGCTTTAGAGGTTCTGAAGTTCATGCTTTACTAGTTGTGTGCATAACCTCTACAGTAACCTCTCATGCTCCAGATGCAAAGATTGGCACGTCCAGCAGGGCAGGTAGAGTTTAAAGTCAAGAAGCAAAGGGGTAGGAGCTGGGCTGAACAAGGACCAGTCCTTGAAAATGGGTCAGTCATGGGGGAACAAACACAGAAAGGGAAGACCTAGCAAGACTGTTCCAGGGAGTGGCTATGAAGGCTGGAAATAAGTTCTGAAAGGCAAGTCCAGGAGGCTGGTGTTGAATGGAAATGTATAGCTATCAGCAGCAGGGACCAAGCCAACAGTCTATTCCCTTCCCATTTTGCCTCAATGTTTGAAGAAAATCTCAGCCCAGACAAACCAGGAGGTTTCAAGACCACTAGGGGAATCCAGAACACGGGGTGGATGTCACTGGGGACGGGAGAAGGGTAGCAGGGTATAGAATCAAATGGAAATGGGGCTCTTAGAGCTGTGGCAGTTGCTGAGATTAACTGAGGTCAACACAATTGAGTAGATGGTTCTTGAATAATGTAGGTGTAGTTTGTGTGGTGATTATTGTGTTAGGTACAGTAATAGCAGATAAAGTTGTAAATGATCCACAGGATTGGCATGCTCTAGGAATGAAGAAGTCATTGCTTGTGGTGAGAATACAGGTTCTTAAAGAAAAACTGAGGCATTTGGGGTTTCAGAACCATTTATTTGTCCCAACATTTATAGGATGCCTGCTCTATTCCAGGTATCATGCTGAGTCAAAGCTCTTCAGACCTACTATTTAATTTGAGTCACTTCCCTTTTATTTTCCCTTTGTGTGATGAACTGAGGGTGCCAGTATAGGGGAAAATGGCTAACATTCCATCCATGAAAATCACACAGTATGAGAAGGCTCTCTTGGCAATCTCAGAGTTCTCCGAGCTCTGTAGATGCTCCAAGAGTCTAGGAAACAGCAGCAGCTTACAGAAGTTTCCTCCTTTGACATTTAGCACAGAGATGGCAACCTTGTCCTTATCTGCTACCTCTGTGTAGGAATATTAAAATTGTAAATTACATACACTTTCCTAAAATACAGTCCTTTCACCCGGACCTGAAATAAATGACTTGGCTTCAGGTGCCTCTGGGTATCACTTGGCTTGCCCGTCAGTGCGGATCTGAAGATGAGACGCTAAAACCTTCAGATCTGCCTCCCTTGAATGTGATCTTAGCTGCTACACCATCTCCTTCTAAAAGGATAGCAAAGGAGATATGGGTGTTGTTTGCTTTTTCACTCATCTAAACTTTTTGCTTAAAATTATGGAATCTCAGAGCCTTGGAGATGATGCAACATATTTTTAAATAAACTGCCTCGTCTAAGTTAAGTGCTGGAAATACAAAGGTTTAAAAACAGTTCTCCTTTAAAGGAATTCATAGTCTACCAAGGAGACAGGCCAGCCAAAGAGGTAATGTCAAAACACTATGGTAAGTGCTAAGATAGATGTAAGATGCAGCACCTCCTAGAAGAAGCAAACACCTAAATCAACTAGAGACCTTAAGGAAGACTTCACAGAATTAGCAAAGCTTAAAATGAATCTTTAAGAAGTTTGCTACGCAGCCAAAGAGCAAAGGAAAGGTGTTCCCAGCAAAGGACATGGCATGATAGTTGGATGCATGAATTTTAAGTCAACTATTCCTGACCCCTTGTTCCTTAATATGTTTAGCAGCTTCTAAGAAATTTGCTGTCCTCATTTTTGTGATAGCTGTGTGCAGTGTATAAGGATAGTGAGAAAAAGAAAGGGATCGAAGAACCACCAAGAGAAAGGAAGATGGGAGGAAAGTGAAGGGAAAGAGGAAGAGAAGGGAAAGGAAACCAATATTTATGGAGTGTCTATTATATGCCATGTGGTTTTACATGATCTCATTTCATATTATTTCCATTCCATACATTAAGTCAATGTGTTTCAGAGAGATGAATGATTTCTTCACCTAACTTCACCTTTTTGTCCTCTCCTGTCCCCATTCTCATGCTAACCCTACCTCAGACCTCTCTTTGAAGCTCCACACTGCCTATTTACCACCACCACATGGATCTCTAACAGACACTCTGCCCTCACCAGTCCAGAATGCTGCTCATCATTTTTCCCACCAAAACTGTTCCCTCTCCCCTTTTCCCATGGCACCTCCCCATCCACTTGTCCAAGCCAGAAACCTGGGAATCACTCTTCAGCCTTTCCCTGTTCCTCAGCCCCTCAGTCTACCTCTAAATCCTATCTCAAATGCATTCCCTTCTCCCCAGCTTGCCTGGCACCGCCCAAAATCCAGGCATCAGCATCTGTCCTCTGTCACTGCTGGAACTGTCTTCTATTTGATTTCTCCCTTCCATCCTTGCCACTTCCCATTCTAGCCTCTCCACCTGGCAGCTAAGGAATCTTTTTAAGAGATATGACCCCTAGAGTCAAGCCCATAATCCTTAACGCGGCAAGACCTGCCCCCTGTCTTCCCGGACCCCCATCTCTCCTCGGGGTCTTTCATCCTGCCCAGTTCCCTCTCTCCAGCCTCCTTACATGACTGCTTCCCCTCATCCTTCAGATCTTAGCTTCAATGCCATTTCCTCAGAGAACTCGTCCCAGTCTATAAAAGATTTCACCTGTTTTTTTCTTTCTTTCTTTTTTCTTTTAACCTGGCCTTTGACTGTTGTCATCACCGACTTTTCTATTTCTTATCTATTGTCTTCAAGTGTGTTTGACAAATGTAGTTAGACATTTATTTGCCTGTTTAGTTGTTTCATGTCTGTCTTGTTCACTAAGTGTAAGCTCTGTGAGGGCAGCACTGTGTTTCTTTATATTTTTAGAGACCAGGGTCTTGCTCTGTCATCCAGAGTCATCAACACTGTGCACAGCACTGAGTAGAGAGTAAGCACTTAAATGTTATATTTTAATACATTACATATTTTTGTTAAAAAGGAATATTAAATTAAATGTGTTCAGGATAAAGAAGAGCTTGGATTTAAATCCGCCTCTAGGGCCAGGTACGGTGGTCCACACCTGTAATCCCAGCACTTTGGGAGGCCAAGGCAGGTGGATCACCTGAGGTCAGGAGTTCGAGACCAGCCTGGCCAACATGGCAAAACCCTTTCTCTACTGAAATTACAAAAATTAGCTGGGTATAGTGGTGCGCACCTGTAATTCCAGCTACTTGGGAGGCTGAGGCAGGAGAATCACTTGAACCCGGGAGGCGGAGGTTGCATTGAGTGGAGATCGTGCCACTGCACTCCAACCTGGGACAGAGCAAGACTCCGTCTAAAAATAAAATAAAATAAAATATAAATAAATCCACCTCTAGGCTGGGTGTGGTGGCTCACACCTGTAATCCCAGCATTTTGGGAGGCCAAGGTGGGAGGATTGCTTCAGGCCAGGAGTTCGAGAATAGCCTGGGCAACATAACAAGACCCCATCTCTATAAAAAATAAAAAAATAAGCCAGAGCAGTGGTGAGCACGTTTAGGCCCAGCTACTCAGGAATCTGAGATAGGAGGATCGCTTGAGCTCGGGAGTTGGAGGCTGCAGTGAGCTATGATCACCCCACTGCACCCTACTCACTCTGGGTGACAGAGTGAGATCCTGTCTCTAAAAATATGCAAATAAACCCACCTCTTCCTGATGCCAAAGCTCATGATCTTTCCTCTTCCTCAGGCATTCAGTGGGGGAAAATCCAACACAGGCCATCAGGCAGTGCATGGTATTCCTGGAGTTTGTTTCAGAGAAGAGACAGAAAGCCTTTAAAAACAATCCTGGGCCGGGCGCGGTGGCTCACACCTGTAATCCCAGCACTTTAGGAGGCCAAGGCAGGCAGATCACGAGGTCAGAAGATCAAGACCATCCTGGCTAACACAGTGAAACCCCATGTCTACTAAAAATACAAAAATTAGCCAGGCGTGGTGGCGGGTGCCTGTAGTCCCAGCTACTCGGGAGGCTGAGGCAGGAGAATGGCGTGAACCCGGGAGGCAGAGCTTGCAGTGAGCCGAGATTGTGCCACTTTCCTCTAGCCTGGGCAACAGAGCAAGACTCCGTCTAAAAAACAAAAAAAACAAAAAAAAAAAAACTTAATCCTGATTAGAAGGTGAACTCTTTGCAGCTAGAGGCCATGTCTTCATTGTTTAGTAAAGTGCCTGGCACAGGGTAGATGCTCAATAAATAATGAATGAACGAACAAATGAACCATGAGAAACTCACAGGTTTCTAATTTGAACAGATGGGCAGAGGCACCATTCACTGAGGTAGATGAGGGAGAGGAAGAGCAGATTTGTTGGCTGGGTTGGGAGGGGTGGGGAGAAATGAAAAAAGAGTTTAGTTTTAGAATGACATGCAGAGAAAGGCACAGTTGTCAATAAGCGTGTTGTGTTTTGAGAACAATGAGAAGTTTATTCATTCAGTCATTTATTTATTTAGTCATTAATCAACAAATATCTATTTAAAGCTTAATACATGTCAAGCACTACGCTAGGCACTGAACATATGATAATAAATCAGACAAAGTCAAGAAAGGGAAATGGATAAGAAACACCTATTAAAATGCAGAGTGGCTCATGCCATTATCAAAGCAAGCATAGGGTGCTGTGTGTGGGGCCTCAGAAGCGGAGGCTGCAAGACTTCCTGGGGAAAGTAACACCCCAGTTGCATCCTGAGGAATGGAGGAAGTAGGTGCTAGCCAGACTGAAAGCCAGAGAAAGGGTGTTCGAAGCAGAGGAAGTAGCATGTGCAAAAGCCCAGCAGCAAAAGAAAGAAAAGCACTCAGAGAACTCCAGATGGTTCAGCAATGTGGGAATCCAGTGTCGAGCTCAAGGTGCTCCACGGACAGTAGTAAGCGGCCCAAGTTGTGAACCTCCTTGACCCCCCTCCCTCCATCTCTCCATGTAGAGAGAAGAATAGATTGCACGGAAAGTCAAGTGCAGGTGTCAGTCAGTCCCTGTGACTCACAGTAGGATGTGTGAGGGGAAATGAGGAGAAAGTAGGGTTGAAATTATAACCTTGGACCAAATTGTTAAGAGCCTTGTCTGCCATAATGGAGGGTGACTTCTAGGGGCAGTTGGTAACCACTGAAAGTTTTTAATTGGGAGGGTGGTGGTGATGACATGATCAGATCCATATATTAGAAAGATAACTCAGGGCTAGTGTGAAAAATGGATTAGCAGAGACATGACAAGAAGGGACTATATTTTCTGTCAAGAAGGCATTCTTCAAACTGGAAAAAAATAGAATGGTAAGAAGATGCTGAAGTCCAGCATTGTGTGTGTGTGTGTGTGTGTGTGTGTGTGTGTGTGTGTGTGTGAGAGAGAGAGAGAGAGAAAGAGAGAGATTGTAAGAAACTACATGAGTCTCGGGCTGGGCGCGGTGGCTCACGCCTGTAATCCCAGCACTTGGGGAGGCCAAGAAAGGCGGATCACGAGGTCAGGAGATCGAGACCGTCCTGGCTAACACAGTGAAACCCCGTCTCTACTAAAAAATACAAAAAAAAATTAGCTGGGCATGGTGGCGGGCGCCTGTAGTCCCAGCTACTTGGGAGGCTGAGGCAGGAGAATGGCATGAACAGGGGACATGGAGCTTGCAGTGAGCCGAGATCGCACCACTGCACTCCAGCCTGGGTGACAGAGCGAGACTCCGTCTCAAAAAAAGAAAAGAAACTACATGACTCTCAGTTCTGACGTTCATGGGCAACTTAACTCCCTGCCATCTGCCTCTCCTGCCTTGGGTTTCCCTGACACATTTTGCCTCCTCTGCTCAAAGAGTCCTCCCTGCGTCTTGCCCATCTTAAAGTAAAACTTCAAGTTCAAGCCTTCCCTACTGCTCTTCCCCCAGACAGATTGAACAGTTTCATTCTCTAGGCTGCTATATCATTCTGGACATAACAACTACATTATAATTCCTGTTTTTCTCATCTGTTTCCTAAACTAGATTATATACTCCTTGAAGGCTAAGACTGTACAAGTTTCTTTGTATCCCCGACATCAGGTATTGTTCATGGCAAACACTCAGTGAGTACTGGATTGGAATTTATAGGAATGCTAATAAACTGGGATGATCTAATAATGTGATTTGTTTTTGTTTTTGTTTTTGAGATGAGGTCTCACTCTCTTGCCCAGGCTGGAGTGCAGTGGCGCAATCATAGCTAGCTGTAACCTCAAACTCCTGGGCTCAAAGGATCCTCTCACCTCAGCCTCCCAAGTAACTAGGACTACAGGTGTGCACCACCATGCCCAACTAGTTTTTTTATTTTTTTGTAGAGTCAGGATCTCACCATGTTTCCCAGGCTGATCTGGAACTCCTGGGCTCAAGTGATCCTCCCAACTTGGCCTCCCAAAGTGCTGGGATGACAGGCATGAGCCACCACCTAAGGTGAAATTTAATAAATGTGAATTCCTGCACCTGGATCTAAAACTTTAGCTGCCCCAGTACAGGATAGGAGAGCAAGATATCTATTCAGCAAACATCTCCGGACTATCAAGCAAATGCTAGGTACTGTGCTTGACAGGGGACATAAAGCAGGAAACCAGGGAGACACATTCTTTGCCGTCATGGAGTTTACACATGGGATGACAAATTTTAAACAAGTAACCAAATATAAGTGAAATGCTGTAGAGAACAATATAGAGTCCAATGGAGACCTCACCTGGTCAGGACCATAGAGGAGCACTCTATGAGGAAGTGATGTATAAGCTGACCTGAAAGACTGCTGGAGTTTTCTAGGCAGAGTCAAGGGTTGGGCCTCTGTGGGTGTGGGTGGGGGCAGGGGTGAGATAGCGTTTTCAGCATTGTTATCATTACTTCCTTAGGCAAGTCTTCCTTGACTTCTCTGAAGAGGTCACATCTTCTGTGGCCACATGGATCGCTCGTACAGAACTTACCTCTACTGCAGATTCATGTTTATTTCTGCCATGACTTGATCAATGCCCAAGGCCCCCACTAGACTGTATGCACGGTGAAGAGACCTGTCCCTGTGCTCATCAGTGTATTTCTACTGCCTAGTACAGTACCTAGCATGTAATAGGCTCTCAATTGATGTCTACTGAATGAATGAGTGAATGAATGAATGAATGAATGAATGAAGTGGGTATTCCAATCAGAGAGAACAAGCACCAAAGACCAATGTGTCTGGGAACACAGTGAAGGGGAGACTGAGTGTCTCAGAAAATCTGAGTGTTTGGTCAACTGCCAGCTATGCATGAAACAACAAAGCAAGATGGCCGCAACTTTAGGATTTATTAAGAAAAATCTTGTCTCTACTCTGTCTTGGCCAGACTAAACCTACAGTGTTGTTTTCTTTCCTGGGTGCCACACTTTAGAAAAGACCATGACAAATGTTTGCAAAACATTTCCATGTGGGAAGCTCCATCACATGATGGAAGGATGGTGGGATTTGAATCAGATGGACATGGTTTGAATTCCAGCTCTGTCGCGTGTTCACTGAATTGGACAAATCGCTGAACTTCTAAGAGCCTCTTTTCCTATCCATAAAGTAGGACTAATAATATCCAGAGTCCTGAAAGCTAAATGGAATGACATGCAAAATGCCTAACATGGAGCCTGGCACACAGTAGGCACCCAATAAATGTGAGGCCCCATACCTATTAGAAGAAGCAGAACTCAGAGCATTTGAGTTACAGAAGACTTCTTGAAGGGGGTAAAAGTCGAACTGGTCACTTAAGGACTGGAGGATTCTATTTTATTGAAGAAAAGAGAGACCTTAATTGAGGTGGGTGGACAATAGTTGAGCACAGCACTGGGCTGGGCTCTATGCATGGACAGAGAGAACCAAGTAGAGACCAATCTGAGCTTCAGGTAGAAACATCCCTCCTGGGGGGGCGGGGGGACCTTCTGTGCTTGATGTCACCTTCCCAAAAGGAATGCAATGCCCGGGGACCATCTTTGACTAGTATACCCATTTTGGAAAGTAGGGAAACTCGATCTTAGTTTATAATTTGCTCACAAACTTAGATAACCTCTGAGGCCCTGCCCTCCTGGAGCTGGTGTGGTACATACATTCCACTAATGGTAGTTAGAGCAAGTAGGACTGTGTGTGCATGCATGCATATGCTTAAGCACTCACAAAGCCAAAACAAAGCGTGCTACCCACACTGGCCTTGGAGCTTGGCAGTCACAACCAACAGCAGCCCATCCAGAGAGCAGCTTTGGGTCTGGAAGGACTAGTAAGGGAGAAGGAAGGCGAGAGATGGGGAAGAACATATGTTCAAAAATAAACACTGCCTCCTGCTAAATGGTCTAGAAAGCATCTGTAAGAGGGGCTCTGGGCTGTGGGGTTTCCGAGGATGGTGAGTGTGGGAATGTTTTGTCTGTAGAGTTGGGGCTGGGGGCTTCCACATCCTGCCCACTGCCACATCTGGGGAAGTCATCTGCACTGGGCTGATGGCTCCCCGAGCACTCCTGCTTTAATGGCTCGTGGTGCCGCAAGAAGTGGCCCTGTAATGGCCATTCCAGGCTGCCCCGGGGAAGGGTCTGGGCAGGCCCCAGGCAGCCTGTTTGCTCTCCTCCCACCCCAGGCCAGCCAGCACCTTTCACCTCCTCTTTGCCTAGGTGAGCTGGCCTGAACCCTAGTTGGGAGCCTCCAGCTGTGGGGAGACAGTGGGACTAGAGGCCTTGGACATTTAGAGTGGGGATAGGACTTGGTCCCGCGCTTCCTGAATGCCATCCCCTTGCTAAGGCACAGGCTCCTGCATCTGTCATTGTTTGCGTTCTTCTCTTGACACAGCTCTGCCAAAACCTCATCTCTTTACAAAATGAGGCTAATGGTTATGGGGTCAGGTCCAAGACCAAGTGGTGCAGAAGGAGCAGGAACACCATGCTTTGAAAGAACCTGCTTCGCATGGTGTTAGGGAGAGGTATGGAAGGAGAAAGCAGAGAAATGTGCTGAGGCAGCTCAGAGGGCTCCCGCCTCTGCTATCCCCCAGGGCCCAAGAGGATCCATTGGTCATTTCTGCCCTCACAATCCAGCATCCAGCGCAGCCCCATCCCCTCGTCCATCCCGAGCCTGAGACATAGCTGCAGGTGCAGACAAACCTGCTCGCCAGTGACCTCTGGCATGGGGTATTTTAATGGCATAGTCCGCTTGCCTTGCTCAGGTCCCTGGGGAATTAGCTGGGGGACCCAAGAGCAGCGGCATTGTGAGTCGAGATACCTGCAAGTTGTAAGGATTGAGCGATGGGTCCTAGCTTCAGCAAGGGGGAGACTCCCCCTGCCACTCTGGTGCCCCAGCAGCAGCCTGGCTAGAGTGGGGGCCCAAATGTGAATGGGGGGATGCTGGAGGGGGGCAAAGGGAGGGGAGGGCTTGCACTGGCTCCTCTCAGCAAGGGCTCGTAAAGCTGCAGGTGTGAGATGTTGTTATTTAGTCTAGAGCCTGGTATGTGACAGCCCGGGCCCTCTCTCCTGCGAACTGCCGCCGCCACCGCCTCTGCTGGCCAGATAATTAGTCCATTACGACTCTCCCACCTCGGGTAGGTGGGGGCAGGGTGAGAGCCCACCCTCAGACTCCTTGTAATTCAACTTCCTGTGTTTTATGGAAGCAGGCTGTTGGGGGCAGAGAGTGAAAGGCCGGTCCCTAGGCTTGGCCAACCCCTTCCTCAACTCCCAGCCCCCACCTCCCTCCTTCCACCCAAACCCGGTTGCTGTGGTGACCAAATGTTATTTCCCAGCTTCGTGTTGGAACTGCTTTGTAAAAGTTTTTTACATCTCTTACCTGCCTCAAACACGAATGCAGGCTGGTCTATCTCTCCCTGCGTCTTGCTCTGCCCGTCTCTTCCTCCGCATCTCTCCTCTGTCTCTCTCTATTTTTATTACACGCTTATCGCCTTTTTCCCTCCTGCTTTTGAAATTGATTTCCTTTCCTTTCTCCCCCTATTCAGGACCTAAACGCTGAATGTTCGATATTTCATTTGAGACCGCTAATCGCATTACTGCCCTTGACGTTTTACAGATATCATATTATGGGCGCAAATTTGGCAAATTATTAGCGCTGTAATGTATAGCTTGTCAGAGGTATTTAAGACGCTAAGAGCCCAAGGCTTATCGGGGTTAGCAGAGAGCTCTCGTTGAGCTTTTGAAATGCAGAGAGCCAGTTATAAAACACACTGTGACTCTCTCTTCAGCTGGTGAAAAAAAGGAAAAGAGAAAAAGAGAAAGAAAAAGAAAAAAAATGTCACCCGTCTATCAGAGGCTTCCAGGGCTGATAACAAGCAAAATTCTTCTCTGTGGGTTTCACTGGAAATGTGAGAAGCTTTTAAAACATTTCTCAAGCTGTCTGGAAAAGAAAAAAAATCTTTATTGAAAGGATGTAGCAATCTTTTTTACTGTGGCCTATTTATCTCTGGGGAAAAAGCTGTAACAAGAAGATCCCCTACTGGTCACCAGCCGTGTCAGGGCCTGCCTGGCTTTGGTGCCAGGACTTTGGTGTGGGGGGCTTGCTGAGCGAGAGGGGGGCCACCTTTGGCAAAACGGGGAAAGGCTGCTGGCTGGTGTGCATTCCTGTGGAAGAGGCAGCGTCCTGCACGCCTAGCACAGCGCTCAGGGCTCAGCAGACGCATCTCATCAAATCCTTTTTGAATGAATGGTTGAATGAACCAACCAACAAACACACACAAAAAATAACAGAACCTTGAAACTGCTGCCCCGCTTTGGTCTGCCTAACTGTGCCAGGTGCCTGTTTACCCCCCTACTACTGTAGCAAGTGACTTTTGCTGATACCACTGTCCACATGTGTTCCTTCACCCTCATACAAACATCCCTGCTCTTTTGAGGCCATTCGATCCTCTCTACTTACTTGTCACTGTCATCTGCTGATGACATCTCCCCTCTATTCAGCAGGAACGTTGGCACTCAGTATCTCCCTGCTCACCCCTATTCTGCGTTCCTCCTGTGAATTTCAGCACCCACATGGACTGTCCACATCCTGGGATCCTCTGCTGCAGCATCCTGCACTCCTACAGCAGATTCCATGGAAACACAGCCCCGCCCTCAGTCTGACCATCTCCCACAATTTCTTCGTCTCAAAAATAATGAACTCTGAATCCCATTTTGTAAGCTGCGTCTGCTGTCCTTATGTCCGTTCTCCTTCCTCACTCCCACTGAATCTGTTTTTGACCTCCGTTAGACCTTCAGTCCCTGGACCATTCCTAATTTAACAAGCCCACCATTCCCCTCCTAGCTTCACTTTCTTTCCTGCCCGACCTTGACCCTTTGATCAACATCTTTAAAGAATTTCTTCGTGCCATTTCCTCACCCTTTTGCCTTTCTGTCCCACCTGTTTGCCTACCTCAAATCCCAAATCCATGAAAGCATTTACTTTCTCCTCTATTTCCGGCCTGTGATGCTCCGGGGAGAAAAGCGCATAACCATTTCAACTGGTGTCACCACTAGCAGACCCTGACTAAGTCTCAACAGTCTGCGTACTTGTCCCAGAATGACTTCCCATTTCCCACAGCAGTTGTTGTAAACCCTTCCCTCTCTCAAAATATTTCTCTTCACTGCCTCTGTTTACCTCATTCTCTGTAGATGACTTCATTTCCTGCTTTTCAGAGAGAATAAAGGCCAAACAGCCACAACTTTTCTCCCTCCCTAACCTTGGCCTCACCCTGGAGGCCATCTTCACTGAATTGTCCCCTAACTCAGTACTACTCAGTACTTGTGTCCTGACTCAGTACTACTCAGCACTTTTGTCCTAACTCAGTACTATCCAGTACTTGTGTCCTAACTCAGTACTCATCCTTCCACCTGGGCCCATCACTCCTCCTCCTTCAATCTGGCACCACCATCTCTTCTCTCACATTTTAAATATCCCTCTTCCTACCAATGCCTTTCTCTCTGCCTTCACACACCCTCAAATCTCCCCTTTAAATCTTCTTTTAATCTTAACTTCCAAGCACATTACTCTCCCCTCTTCCTCTTTCCCTTTACTGATAAACTTGTTCAAAAGACATCTCACTCACATTGCCTCCACTTCCCCACCTCCCATTCAGTCAGCCCATTCACTCAATGAGCTCTATCCCACTTCTTCACTGACATTCTGATCACCTCTTCTTTCTTCAAAGCCGCTCTTCCCTTAGCTTCTCTGACTCATCTCTTTGGATCTTATCTACTTCTACTCCTGCTCATTCTCCTTCCCCAGCTTCTGCTTGATGTGCCCCTTCAGTATCGCTGCTTCCCAGAGTACACTGCTTCACTTCTCTCCTTACTTACGCATCTTCCCGGGGTGAGCTCATCATGCCTGTAGTTTCACCTGCCACCTAAACACTGATGAATACCATGGCTGCAACTTCAGCCTCAACCTCTCTCCTGAGCTTCATGCCCATATTCCAGCTGCCAACTCACTATCTCTCCTTGAATCCTTGCAGAGCACCTCCAGACTCAACATATTCAATACTGACATCATTATATTCTTCCAAGCCTGCAACTTAAATGATCCATCAGCACCATCTAACCACACAAGCAGAAACCTAGTTTGACCTAGAGTCTTCCCTTTTTCTTTCCCCGTTATCTGTCCTCTTTCACCAAAGGAAGGAGGAAAGGAAGGAAGGAAGGAAGGGAGGGAGGGAGTAAATAAGTAAAACTTGGGAAGTAGGAGAGAAGTGAGTTCCTTGCCTTGTACCTTATATCAGAATTAATGAATTAAGCCAGGCACTATGATGTACACCTGTAATCTCAGCCACTCGAGATGCGGAGATGAGAGAATCGCTTAAGTCCAGGAGTTCAAGACCAGCCCAGAAAACATAACGAGACCCTGTCTTATTTTTTTTTTAAGTAATGCATTAAATAGATGAATTAAAAATTTAAATGCAGGGCTGGGTGCGGTGGCTCACACCTGTAATCCCAGCACTTTGGGAGGCTGAGATGGGCAGATCATCTGAGGGCAGGAGTTCGAGACCAGCCTGGCCAACGTGGTGAAACCCCGACTTTACTAAAAATACAAAAATTAGCCAGGCATGGTGGCAGGCACCTGTAGTCCCAGCTACTTGAGAGGCTGAGGCAGGAGAATCTCTTTGACTTGGGAGATGAAGATTGCAGCGAGCCGAGATTGCACCACTGCACTCCAGCCTGGGTGACAGAGCAAGACTCCATCCCAAAAAAAAAAAAAAAAAAAAAAAAAAGTTAAATGCAAAGGGTAAAAATCATAGCTATGTATCTGGAAAGAACTTTCATAGTGTGAATGCAATGAAGTCACCAAAAATTCTAAATTACTATACAACAACAAAAGCCCCACCATAAACAAAAATAAAAGGCAAATGCCACCTGAAAAACAAAGATTTGCAGTAAGTATAGCAGAACATTTGATGTCCGTAATATGTAAAGAGTGCTTACAAATCAATAAAAAGCACTAATAGCTCAATATAAAATGGACTAAGTAATGAACAACCAGTTAATAAAAGAAATATGAACCTTCATATTAATATAGTTCATGTAAATTAAATGAGGTGATATTTTGCCGATACAAATTGGCAACTTTTTTTTTTTTTTGAGACGGAGTCTCACTCTGTCACCCAGGCTGGAGTCCAGTGGCGCTATCTCGGCTCACTGCAAGCTCCGTCTCCCAGGTTCATGCCATTCTCCTGCCTCAGCCTCCCCAGCAGCTGGGACTACAGGCACACGCTGCCACACCTGGCTAATTTTTTGTATTTTTAGTAGAGATGGGGTTTCACCGTGTTAGCCAGGATGGTCTCAATCTCTTGACCTTGTGATCCACACACCTCGGCCTCCCAAAGTGCTGGGATTACAGGCGTAAGCCACTGCGCCCGGCCCTGCAAATTGGCAACTTTTTTTTTTTTTTTTTTGAGACAGAATCTCACTCTATTGCCCAAGCTGGAGTGCAATGGCACAATTTTGGCTTACTGCAACCTCCACCTCCCAGGTTTAAGTGATTCTCCTGCCTCAGCCTCCCAAGTAGCTGGGATTACAGGCATGTGCCACCACACCTGGCTAATTTTGTATTTTTAGTAGAGATGGGGTTTCACCATGCTTGTCAGGCTGGTCTTTAACTCCTGACCTCAGGCGATCCACCCACCTCAGCCTCCCAAAGTGCTGGGATTACAGGCATGAGCCACCACGTTTGGCCAGAATTGGCAACTTTTAAAATTATAAAGTTCAATGCTAATAAGGGTAGAGTTAGGCAGACATTCTTATATACTATTGGTAAAAGCATACATTTGTATAACCTTTCTAGAAGCAATTTTGTAATGTGTAGCAAAATCCTTAAAATATTCATATCCTTTATTTTAGTAATTCCCTTCTTGGAATTTATTCTAAGAAAATAATTAGATATGTGGTCAAAGATTTATGCATAAGGATCATCATTTCAGTATTATTTATAGCAGAGAAAATCTGAGAACAACCTAATGTTCCACAACAATAAAATGGTTAAATAAGTTATAGTATAATCATATGATAAAATATTGTTCAGCCATTTAAAAACATATATTTGAAGAATATTTCAGCAGAGATCCTAAAATAATGTTAAGTAAAACTATGCATGGGAAAAAAAAAAGGAATTACACACACACACACACACAAACACACACACACACATATTTTTAGACAGAGTCTCGCTATGTCACCCAGGATGGAGTGCTGCAGTGGCACGATCCTGGCTCACTGCAGCCTCCACCTCCCAGGTTCCAGTGATTCTCCTGCCTCAGCCACTCGAGTAGCTGGAACTACAGGCAAGTGCCACCACACCCAGTTACTTTTTGTATTTTCTAGTAGAGATGGAGTCTCACTATGTTGTCCAGGCTGGTCTCGAACTCCTGGCCTCAAGTAATCCACCTGCCTGGGCCTCCCAAAGTGCTGGGATTACAGGCGTGAGCCACCATGCCTGGCCAGATATTTATTTATATTTTAAAAAGGAGATTTATTTGAAAAACATAAAAGCACGACAGAACACTTCATAGGCCACTTTACACAATAAAATAAGCAACAATAGGCTGGTAATAGTGCTATAATCCCAGCATTTTGGGAGGCCAAGGTGGGCGGATTGCCTGAGCTCAGGAGTTCGAGATCAGCCTTGGCAATATGGCAAAACCCCATCTCTACTAAAAATACAAAAAAAATTAGCAGGGCATGGTGGTGGGCGCCTCTACTCCCAGCTATTTGGGAGGCTGAGGCAGGAGAATCGCTTGAACCAGGGAGGTGGAGGTTGCAGTAAGCCAAGATCGTGCCACTGCACTCCAGCCTGGGTGACAGAGTGAGACTCTTATCTCAAAAAAAAAAAAATTAAAATTAAATAATAAAAAATAAGCAACAACATACTTTTTTTGTGAGTATAAACGTTTAGGTATACTAACAAAAGTTGCATGAGTATAGCATTTATGATCAGACGAACCATATTCATAAAGAAATAGGTCAAAGAGGGAAATGTATAAACACATTTCACTATAGTTGGTAATTGTGTGCCATCAGCTTTATAATTGTGGTTATCTGAAATACCATGATGAACAACCTAAGTCTTTTGACAAGATGGAGCAAAAACTACAATGGGTTACCACTGTGGGTCACCACCACATATGCAGTCACCCAAAGAGCAGAGATCTCAAGAAATTTTGTCTTTCACAAATGCAGATGTACAAAAAGGACATCTCGTCATTTACTGAGGAAGTTTCAACATTTTTACGTAGATGCGCAATGCTGATACACAAAATCAACATTGTGATAATGCACTTTCATGGAGTCAAATCTGCAAAAAAAAAAAAAAAAGCATAAAAAGAATTACAACTCTCTTAAAAGTCTCTACACAATTTATACCTCCAGTATTGGAAATGATGCAAAGATGAAATACGTAGCACAGCAAATTATAGCAAATAATGCTGACAATTTAAAATAGTGAAAGAACTGGTCACGCACAGTGGCTCACTCCTGTAATCCCAGCACTTTGGGAGTCTAGGTGGGCAGATCATGAGGTCAGGAGTTCAAGACCAGCCTGACCAACGTGGTAAAACCCTGTCTCTACTAAAAATACAAAATTAGCCAGGCATGGTGGTGCACTCCTGTAATCCCAGCTATTTGGGAAGCTGAGGCAGGAGAATCATTTGAACCCAGGAGGCAGAGGTTGCAGTGAGCCGAGATTGCGCCATTGCACTCCAGCCTGGGTGACAGGGTGAGACTCCGTCTTAAATAAATAATAAAATAAAATAAAATAATGAAAGAAAACTAACCTGTGATTGTGATCTTGGAGATTTTGGACATTAGAGATTTACGTTTAGGGATTTTGATCTTTTGGGATGTCAACATTTAGAATTATGGCATTCAGGATTGTGTCTTTCAGAATTATGATCCAAACCCTTTTAAAACACAGGTGTGACTGGGCTGCTCTTTGTAGATTCCTCCCTTGCTTCCTGTAATCCTCAAGGTAAATCCGGGGTCCTCCAGAAGTTTCACTAAGTGCTTCACAATCCAGCCCAAACTATTTCTTCTGTCCCATTTCTCATGCAGCTCATCTTCCCCTAAACTTTGTCTGCTTTTCCATGATTCCATGGCTTTGCAGGTCTTGTCCTTTCTACCTGTTGTCCTGTTATTTCCCTTTTCCATCTAGGAAGATTATTTATTCAAAACTCAGCTCCAGTATCATCTCCCTGGTGGACTCACTCCGTTCCAAGCATTTAGTTGCTCTCTCTGATGTGTGTCCAAAGCTCTTTGCCAGTTAACCCCATTAGACTGTAAGAGCACAGAGGCCAAAGTCTTTTCCTTATTTTTGCTTATTTTCTCAGCAGCTAGCACAATGCCTGGCAGGTAGTGGGTGTTTGAGGAATATCAGATCAGTTATTAAATTGAAGATTTCTGACTTTTCCCTTCCCCTGTGATGAGAGAGAACAGGAGAAAGACAGCCCCCAAAGCCATGACACTTTGGGGTCAGAAGAGCCCTTCAAGATGATCTGGTCTCTTCTTCCATGTTTGAATTCCCTCCATTAGGACCAATTATCATCCAATCACTGCTTGAATACCTCTTATGAGGGGGAGCTCATTATTCTTCAAAGCAGTACTCTGATTGTTAGAAAATACTTTCTTAAAATGAGCCTAAACTAGCTTTAACTTTCACCAACTGTTCTTGGTTTGGCTCATAGGGGACATACAAGAATCAGCTTCCTCTGCCTGTGTCACCCCTCTCTAAGCCTCCTCTTTCTGCCCCCCTTTTTTCTAAGGTGCTGAGTCTCACTCCCCCTTCTACTGTACTGCTTTATCCCTCTAAAGTCAGTGCAGATGACCTCTCTCTCAATTAATACTCTACTGCTGATGATTCATAATGATGTTTTACATATGTACGCTCTTTATGGTTTACAACGGGCCTTCACATACATTTATTATTATTTTGAGCTCACAAAGAATGGTGCCCAGACCTGCCCTGTCCAAGGTGGCCAAACCAGGACACAGCAGGGTGAGCCTGTCACCACTTTATGAATGCGGCTGGAAGTCACATTAGCTGCTGACTCATACTGACCTTATCAACTAAAACCCCTACCTTGTCTCATTGCTGAGTCATGTCTCTTTCATCCTGTCCTTATGCTGTTTTTTTAGATAGAAATTCAGACTCTTACATTTATTGTTATCCTTACTTCTACTATTTATTGAGTCCCCACTATATACCAGAGGTGGACACTTCAGACATATGTGTATTTTGGCATCTTTTATCACGTGGTTTATTCCTTATTAAAACTGTGGGTGAGCATTATGAGCTCATTTTGCAGGTGGGAAAGCTGAAGTTAAGAAAGGGAAGCAACTTTTGCAAAGTTGAATAGCTTATAAGAGGCCGAATTGTTTTATGACTTCAAAGCCTTGCTTTGTTCTGTTTTGTTTGAATTATAACAGTGTGCCTTTCAAAGGGGAAGGAGGAGCAGAACAGTAGGACTTGAGTGCTTGTTGTATGACTGATGCAGTGATAGGAGCATTGCCTTCATTATCTCCGTTAAGCCCCACAGCAATCTTATGAAAAACACCAGTCATCTATTTGCTATCCACCTGTGTCTCCTGCAAATGGGAACAGCTCAAAGCAGAAGGGTATACTGAGGCTTTCTGCTGAATGGTCCTGCCCCTGAAGACCTTCTTGTCACAGCAGGGGAGGAAGAGGGGAGCTCCAGCTCCCTAGGGGAAGTCGGTGCAGCTGCGTTGCTCTGTAGGATTGAGCCACTGAGTCCCTGGACCTGGTCAGTCCCTGCTTGCACCTTTAAAGACCAGACTAAAAGGAAGGAGGAAATAGATGGCAATAAAATGGTGGACTTCCAATGTCACAGACATGAGGGTTTGCCCCCTCTCTTTGGTCTTGGAAAGAACTGCCCAGCTTTGAGTCCTAAAGGGGAGAGTAAACGAAAGTCTGCTGAAGGCTCTAGGTCAGCATACTGGTGTGAGTTTAAAGCTTTAAGTCCAGGCTGGGCATGGTGGCTCACGCCTGTAATCCCAGCACTTTGGGAGACCAAAGTGGGAGGGTCACTTGAGCCCAGGAGTTTGAGATCAGCCTGGGCAACATAGTGAGACCTCATCTCTAAAAAATATCAGAAAAATGAGCTGAGCATAGTGGTGCATGCCTGTAGTCCTAGCTACTTGGGAGGCTGAGGCAGGAGGATTGCTTGAGCCTAGGAGGGCTGCAGTGAGCCCTGATGGCACCACTGAACTCCAGCCTGGGCAACAGAGTGAGACCCCGTCTCAGAAAAAATAAAAGAAAAAGAAATAAAGTTTTAGTCCAGGTTGGTTCTCCCAAACTATGGAATAGATAGAAACATGTATTAAGTACTTGCTTTCGGCCAGTACTTCATACTGAGTTGCAGGGACCACAAAGAATAAGACACCTGCCCTGAAGAGGTTCAAAAGCTATTGATTGACATGAGATAGAAGTACAGGGTGCTTCCAGCACATGAAGGGTCACCTAGATCAGACAAGGGATGGACTGTCAGAAAAGGCTTCTGCAGGAGATAGCACCTGACCCAAGTTAGGAGGAGTTGGCACTGGAAAAAAGTGGATAAGCATTCTAAGTAGAGGGATCAGAATGAGCAAAAGCAGAGAGGTAAAAGAAAGCATCCATTTTTAGGGGGAATTTGACCCAAGTCAGCATTGCAAGGACATAGAGGTAGGGCCTAGGAGATGAGCCCGAAGAAGGAGGTGGGTGCCACTTCATGGAAGATCAGCTGAAGAGTCTGAACTTGATTATTTTTATTGAGACAGACTCTTGCTCTGTTGCCCAGGCTAGAGTGCAGTGGCACAATCTCAACTTACTATACCTTGGCCTCCCGGGTCCAAGTGATTCTTGTGCCTTAGCCAACTGAGTAGCTGGGATTACAGGTATGTGCCACCATGCTTGGCTAATTTTGTTTACTTTTTGTGCATGGAGGTTGGGTTTCGCTATGTTGGCCAGGCTGGTCTCGAACTCCTGCGCTCAAGCAATCCTCCCGCCTCAGCCTCCCAAAGTGTTGGGATTACAGGTGTGAGCCATTGCACCTGGCCTGAGCTTGATTTTTTTTTTACATTTCTATTATTATTATTATTTTTAATTTTATTATTATTATACTTTAAGTTTTAGGGTACATGCGCACAGTGTGCAGGTTTGTTACATATGTATACATGTGCCATGTTGGTGTGCTGCACCCGTTAACTCGTCATTTAGCATTAGGTATATCTCCTAATGCTATCCCTCCCTTCTCCCTGAACTTGATTCTTTAGTCAATTCAAATTACGATTGCATCTAAATACCAAATATCACTTCTTCACTGCTGGACTTTGACAAAGCATTGGCATTTAATCTGGTTTGGAGATGTTAATGGCCTTTCAGCCCATTGTTCTTTCCTTAGATTTGGGGATTATCAAGTATCAGAATGAGGTGGTCATTCCTTTATCATCACTGCCATCATCATCATCATGGTTGCCATCATAATAGCCGAATTATGAAACCTAGAATTGTATATGGAAGAGAAAGGTGATCCTCCAGTTCGTTAACCTCAAGTCTGTGATACATCAAAGCACACCCATTAGAAAATAGTCAAATCATTACGTCTCTAGTCATTTGTTATCTGATACGGACAGACATTTAAAGATTGGAGAGAACTAAAACAACAAAGAACATACCTGGAACAGAAATTTACTAAATGTTTTTAAGCTCTTCAAGTGGAGATGCTATTTAGAGCGGGAAAGGGGGAGCTATTGAGTTGTCCAGACTCGTTGTGACCAGGGAGCAAGTTACTGCTAATCTCCGTAGGAGGAGTAAAGCTTTCTGGCTTCATCGGGGGTAGGGGCTGGGAACTGGGGGAACAACTTCATTACATTTCCTTCTGTGTGAGGAGGGGCTTCAGGAGGCAGCTTCTTCTTTTTTTTTTTTTTTTTTTTTTTGAGACAGAGTCTCACTCGGTCACCCAGGCTGGAGTGCAGTGGCACGATTTCAGCTCACCGCAACCTCTGCCTCCCTGGGTTCAGCGATTCTCCTGTCTCACCCTCCCAAGTGGCTGGGATTATAGGCACATGTCACCATGCCCAGCTGATTTTTGTATTTTTAGTAGAAACGGGGTTTCACCATATTGGCCAGGCTGGTCTCGAACTCCTGACCTTGTGATCCGCCCACCTTGGCCTCCCAAAGTGCTGCGATTACAGGCATGAGCCACCGTGCCCGGCCAGGAGGCAGCTTCTTCTGAGAAATTTGTGAGAACTCCCACTGATGTTCCTTGCCTTGTTTACTATTAGGGTTCTTTGAGAGGAGCCCAGAGCCCAGGCCAGATGTGTTCACAATTTGAATTTAGTTTGTGAATTAGCACATCCACTATGGATCTCTAAAGGAAATGTGGCTGTTCATGTTAGTCTTTGAAGTTAATGTGTATTTCCTAATACCCACATCAGTCCTTCGATACACCAGCACAGCACAGGCAAAGTGGGACTGACCCGCCATCCTTCTGCGCAGCTCCTGGGTGACTACTGAAGCTGATGTCTACTTAGTAGAGGTCTGGGAGATTGTATGGGGCCTGGCTGGGACTTCTGGTCAGCGAGCAGACCTTTGAAGAATTGGCTTCTTCAAACCTGTGGCCCATTCCCAACAGTGAGGCTGCTGGGAGCTGGCTACGTGCTGTGGGTCCAGGCAGTTCAAGAGGCCTTCCTAGAATATATGAGAACTCTGCAAATTTTCCTTCAGCCTGGGGAGCGGTGAGAAAGGATGAAGTGTAACAGGGCCCTGAAACCTCATCCCAACTCGCTATTAAGCAAGGGTGCTCTTTTCTAATCTAATAGAGTAAAACTGAGAAAGGGGTCTTCTCTACTTCCCAATTCCAGGGCCTTCCTGCATTCGCTGGTGATGATGGAGTAGGGTGACCTTAGGAGGTGTGACTTGGGCCCTACAGGCTGTCTGGGAAAGTCAGAGCTTCCCTCCATACTCCTCCCAGAACACTGAGTGGGTGGCTGTGTTGTGAGAGTCCCTTGAGAGCCCAGAGGCAGAAACGAACTCTTTGCAAGAACGACGCATCTCCAGAACATCTTCTCAGAACAAGGCTGCCTTCACTAGAGCTCATTCAGTAAGTGCTTTAGGAATAAGGCAGTGGGGGTGAAACATTGCTTTGAACTGGGCTACCTGAACAGCAAGCTTGGAAGCCTGGAGAGCAGCAAGTGGTGCAGATTTACAAGACCTCATTAAACAGTCCGTGGGATTGATACAGGCCTTTATACTTGGAGGTTCTGGGCTGTCCAGCAGGCTGTGGGCCCTGTGTCCCCAGGGCCCTGGAACATGGGCCTGCAGCCTTTCTCAGCTCTCACCCTTGTCGCTTTCCTCTGGGGCTGCGGAGCTGGGGAAGGACGGATCTCTTTGCTTCACTCTCATGAAATGGCGCATCAGTAAGTGCTACTTAAGAAAACACATGGTCTGCCCCTCGAAAAGGCCCCCCTCTGCTGCTGCCGCCACCAACACCTTTCTTTATTCCGCCCAAACCTCACCAAGGGGAATTCGAAACAACTGTGGTGATAAATCCGCCTGCAGATAATTGGCAAGAAAACAACACTTGTGCAGTATATAACGTTTTATGGTTGTTTCATGTACTTTATTATAATACTAATGAGCAGTTATATATCAGGAGCTAACTGCACGCCGGATTAGCTTGTTAGCATGATATGAAATGGCAGAGCAAACAGTCCAGGCCCCTCGCTCCCTGCATGCCTCCCCCACCCTCCCTCCCTACCCCTCGGTCCCATTTGCACTCAGTAATTAGTATGCAAATTAGGCCCCGGGACCACACAAGTTCTAGTATATTACAAGGGCTTTATTATGCTCTTGTGAGTACATGATGGAAACGGCCCATGACAGTGTTTATCTCACTACCTCTGTCTTGCCTTCTTCTTTCTCTCTGCCCCTCTTCTACCCCCTGCATACACACACACACACAAACACCTTTCTTTGCGTGGTCTACAACCAACCCCTTCTTGTATCAGACCTCTAAACTTGATAGAGTTCACTAGGTCTTTCTGCCCCTGTTTGAACATATCCAGTGATGGGAATCCTGCTCCTTCTGGAAGCCATAGTTCCATTCCAATTACCATAATTGAAAGAAAATTCTCCCTTTTTCTGTGGTTCTTAATGTGTGTGTGTGTGTCACAGACTCCTTTCAGAATGTATTGAAAGCCATGAACACCTTCTACAAAAAAAAATGTATATTAACGTTTACATAACATTTTATATTCCATTTTAGGGACCCTAAACCCATGCATAGAGGGGGATCCATAGACTTCTTGCCTCATATTGAGCCAAAATTTGCCTTTCGTTACCCTAGGAGTAAAGTTCTGTCCTTTGAATCTCTTCAGAGGGAGTCTATTCTCTTTACTATATGATAAACTGGCAAATACTTAAGAATTCCTGTCGCATTTCTCAAATTCTTTCCCCAACTTCCCCAACCAATGATCACAAGTCAGGGTTCCAAGACATCTTTCCATCCTGACCCACCTCGCCCTAGTCACCTATCACCTGAATGGTACGAAGCCCAGAAAAGTGCAGAATGTTCCCACTGTGTTTGTGGTGTGACCAGCCCGCCTTTGTTCTGTGCACTGCGCCTCTGCCAATGTGGCTGGAGTCTTCAGAAGTCTTTTGGCAAATGTAAACTCAACCAGAATTCCTGGATCTTCTTCCCATGAACCTTCTCAAGGCGTAGCTTCTCAAACCTATACTTCCAGAAATTCTATTTTTAGCCTACATGCAGAATAGTTACTTTCGTCTGTTAAATCTCACCTGTATGCCTACTTGCAGAAGTGATTTTTGAATACTGATCCTGTACTTCATCTTGTTGGCTGTCCCTAGACTTATCTGACTATAAATGTGTTAGTCATGCTGTTCATGCCTTCAAGTTGTTGATAAAAATGCTGTACAGGACAAAGGACAAATCTGGTCATATGTCACTGGAGACCTTGTTTTCAAACTCTCATCAATATTCTTTGGGTGTGGTTATTCAGCCAGCTCTGTATCTACTTACCTTTCTCCAGTATTTTCTCTCTTGTCATGTCTTTTCCGTCTGATTTACCCTATAAATGTTTTTTTAATCCCTGCCCCTTCTTGAAACGATCCCCTTGATCCTGTATTTCCCCTTAAGCTACTCTTGTTTTTGTCATTTTCTTCTTAGTTGCATTTCTTGAAAGATTGGTCTACACTTTCTCACATCTCATCTAGAAGTGAGCTGGCTGGTATGGCTTCTGCCCTCGCTACTGCAAGTAAACTGCTCTCTCAAACAGCAGTAACAACCTCGGAATTGCCAAATTCTGTGGACATGTTTCTGTCTTTGTCTGTCTTAATTTCACTTTTGCATTTGGCACCAAAAATCATTGCCCTCTTAAAAAGCTCTATTCTGGCCAAGCGCAGTGGCTCATGCCTGTAATCCCAGCTCTTTGGGAGGCCGACACAGGTGGATCACCTGAGGTCAGGAGTTCAAGACCAGCCTGGCCAACATGGTGAAACCCCATCTGTACCAAAACTACAAAAATTAGCTGGGCGTGGTGGCAGGCACCTGTCATCCCAGCTACTCGGGAGGCTGAGGCAGGAGAATGACTTAAACCCGGGAGGTGGAGGCTGCAGTGAGCTGAGATCATGCCACTACACTCCAGCCTGGGCGACAGAGTGAGACTCCATCTAGGGAAAAAAAAAAAAAAAAAAAAGGCTGGGCGCGGTGGATCATGCCTATAATCCCAGCACTTTGAGAGGCCCAGGTGGGCGGATCACCTGAGCTCAGGAGTTGGAGACCAGCCTGACCAACATGGCGAAACCCCGTCTCTACTAAAAATACAAAAATTAGCCAGGCATGGTTGTGGGCACCTGTAATCCCAACTATTCAGGAGGCTGAGGCAGGAGAATCACTTGAACCCGGGATGCGAAGGTTGCAGTGAGCCAAGATCGCACCACTGCACTCTAGCCTGGGTGACAGAGTGAGACTCCATCTCTAAATAAATAAATAAATAAATAAAGTTCTATTCCTATGGTTCGCCGTGAGCCCTGATGTCACTCTCCCAGGTCTTTCCTGACTCTCTGAGCATCCCATCTCAGTCTCCTTGGGTGACTCCTCTTCTTTCACTTGCCCCCAAATGCCCGAGCTTTCTACTTATAGTTCTGTCTTCCCTCCTTTTATTCTTTTGTTTTCATTCAAAATGTGAATAAATACCATTGAGCCACTCTACGTGCCATGCACCATATGAGAGAGCAAGACACAAGGATTCACGTAGCCTGGAGCCCACCGTCAAGGAGCTCAGGCTAATCATCATAATGCAATGTAATGAGTGTCTGCAGAGAGGAGAGTATGGAAGGACATTACAGGAGCCAACAGGAACTAGTGAGCCAACCTGGAGAGTGTGGAAATGATTTCACAGAAAAGGTAACACTAAAGTCAGTCTTAAAGGATGAGTAGTGTTTACTAAGCTCTCCCCAAAATCTCTCATTTCTGAATCCAATACCTTATCATTTTTCATCTGTATTAATCCAACACTGTTCCAGAATTTTCTGATTCCCATCCTACTCTTTGCTTCCTCTAACCTGTACCTCTCCCCCAATCTATGCTCCACACTAATGATGCAGCAAGGTCTTTCTAAAATGCAAATCTGATTCTTTGTAAAATTCTTGATTGACCTCTTTTGCCTATTAGGATAAACTCCAAACTCTTCGGCGTGGTATGAATACTGTCTCTTACTAACCTGACCTCTGTCTAGCCTGCCAGCTCTCTTTGAGGGCCTTTTGTTTGGCAGGTGTTCTTGCCCACTGTGATAGGGTCCACCACTGGGCCATGAGAAATCCATCATTTAAAGGCATTCTTCCACACTGGCTTCAGCTGAACTTTGAAGAATGCTCCCCTTATGCAGCCAAGCTCAAAGTCTATGCCTGATGGTCTCCCCAGGATACCTCTGAGCAGCCTTCCTCAACCACTGCCCACATCTCTTCCCCAGGCTGCAGCAAGACCCCACAGCACAGGCAGACAGAGGAGAGAACAGGACGGCTGCTGCCCAAAGGAGAAGATCAGAAAGGAAGAATCTGTAAAGCATGAGCACAGAATAATGGGCTTCATGAATACTTAGCATAAGGAAGAGAGAAAAAAAAATCTGTGTAGCAGGCAGTTTTTGTAAAGCGTTGAACTGTACCACACATCACCCCCTGACAGGCCCTGATGTTAGCTCCTGGAATGGATCACAAGAGACTCATTAGAAAAAACAAATATTATCGCACGCTGAAATGATTTATGGAGAAAAATGAAAAATTTTGTGTTGTTGCGTTCCCTCTCACTCACTCCCCCTCGCCTCTGCCTTCTATGGGGAAGTTATTTATGGCTCTAGACCCTTAACAAGAGAACAGCAAAGCTCTGAGCTGATCACTCCTGCAAACTGCCTACATTTGATTTTTATTAGTGACTTAAAGCTTCCTTTTTTTTCTTTATTGTCCTGGGTGAACCAAAATGCATTTTAATGCCTGCTATTCAGGCCAGACAAGAAATGTGTAGATGCCTCCCACACAAACCAGCCACGCCAGTGTCTCTGTCCAGAACCGAGGGAGGTGTACAAGAAGGGACCAAGAAAGACCAAACTTTCTGAGAGCACGAGTCAGGTCTCCCTGGTGTGCAGGCCACTAGATATAGCAAGTTGATTTCCTCGTTTTTTGGGGCAGGGAGTGAACCAAGTAAGTTTCAGACAAGGAAAAGAGACAGTAATTAACATTTGTTACGGTGTTTGCAATCTGCCAGGCATTATTCTAGGTGTTTTCCCTTAGATTCTTTCACTTAATCTTCCCAACAACTGAGAGGTAGGTATCCTCATGCTTATTTCATGGAAGACGAAACTGAACCTCAGAAAAGTCAAGTAACTTTTCCAAAGTCAGACAGCTAGTAGGCCTTGAGTGGTGGCTCATGCCTGTAATCCCTGCACTTCAGGAGACCGAGGTGGGTGGATCACTTGAGACCAGGAGTTCAAGACCATCCTGGCCAACATGGCAAAACTTCATCTCTACTAAAAATATGAAAATTAGCCAGGTGTGGTGGCACACACCTGTAGTCCCAGCTACTCGGGAGGCTGAGATGGGAGAATCACTTGAACTCGGGAAGCAGAGGTTGCAGTAAGCCAAGATCGTGCCACTGCACCCCAGTCTGGGTGACAGAGTGAGACTCCGTCTCAACAACAAAAAAAGAAAAAACAAAGTCACACAGCTAGTAACTGACAGAACTGGGAATCAAATCCAGGTCCATCTCACAACATTGTCAGTATTTATCACCGTACCACATTGTCTCCTAAACTGGATCATGCTATCTCTAGAATCATAACTTCTGAGCACTAACTGGAAGGTTCCTCAGAGACTTACTTCACGGTCCCATCTTCTATCCACTGTAGGAGCTTTCCCTTTTCTGTTCCGGACGGTCATCACCATGTTCCTGTTGGAAGGTGCTGCTTCTCAAGGCAGCCCAGGGCGCTGCAGAGCAGTTCTAGACAGCCACAAGTCCTTTGCACACTGAACCGTCATCTGAGCCTCTCCTGTTTGGTCAGGTGCTTTCCCATTCAGTCACCTTGCTCTGAAACATTGCAACTGTCAGATTCCTTCTTCCCATATGTCTCCTGGATATAGGTAATTTTATAAAATTAAATTTTGAGAGATTCCTCTTAAGAAAAATTTTAACTTCAGAATGCCCCCGGGTGGAGCAAGACCTTTGCATCTCTCGCTGTGACAATCAGGATCCATGCTATGGCAGAGCCTGGGCTTGACCTAACTAAGCCTTTGGGGTCCTTTTCTGCCTGGCCTGTGTGATCCTGGACCTCTGTTCCTGTACACTGGTCCTCTAGGCTCTCTGGTTTCTCCAGCTGCTTCACATGATGCCAGCACTGGGCCAAGAACAGAGGGGGTACCAGTGCAGACCCAGTGGACCCTCACAAGGGAGCTTTACAGTGACCATCATTTTTCCTTTTCCATTGAGCTGTGACTTCCTACTGTCAATCAGACAGTGAACAAAGATGCACAAGAAACCTCAGTGGGCAGGAGCTGACCAAGTCTTTTATCTGTATCTGGGTGCCGTGAGTCCAAGGCTGTGGCCTCACTGAGGACAGTCAGCAGAGGGTTACACACTGAGCCTTGAGTGACTAGCCTTGGAAAATGCCCTGCCCATGCCCCTGTACTTTAGGATGTCCTATGGGGGAGGGAGGAGGATATAGGGAATTTAGCAGAAAGTAAGAAACTACCACAGAGATGGCTGGGGAACCAGGCTCAGGCGCACAATCCCAGCTAATCCTAATCTGTGTTTTCCCTCCACAGCGTGTCCCCAGGGGGGAGCTAGGGTTCCAGGAAGAGAGGATGGTGTTCTTGACAACAAGGGGCTGGGAGCCCCAGATGAAAGGCCATGGGGGCTGCACTTCAGGGTGATCCGTAACTCACTCTGACATCTGAACAGAAGGAAGGGCTGCCCAGGCCCCTGCCCCACCACCTCTCATTTAATCCACAGGGAGACAGGGAGCCCAGCCTTGGGACGTTGCTAGCAGCTTCCCCTGAACCCTCGAGTTCTCCTGTAGCAAATTGGGCTGACCAAAGAAGGCTGGAGAGGGGAGGAAGGCAGTGCTGGAGAAAGGAGTGGTTACCTTGAGTGGGGCTGGGGGCCGGAGGGTCTGCGCCTCCCCTCCCTGCCCCAGCCCCTCCCAGGCCCGCTCCAGGGCCAGCCGCACTGGGCCTCATTCCTGGAGGGCCCTGTCTCTCGGCAGTGTTGCTAGGTGCGGTGAGCCCAGGCGCCTGCCACCGGCTGGCCAAGGCTCTGCCTGGAGACCATCGGAGAGCTGGGAAGAAGGAGCTGCATTATTTGGTTGATCCCTCCCTCCCTCCCCCAGCCTCAGCACAGTGAGCTTTCCGGAGGGATGGTTCTGAGCCAGCCCATCCCCAGGCCTTCCTCTTTGTGCAGAGACCTCCCCGTCAGACCCCCCACCTTCGCCGGCTACCCCCTCCCCCTTCCCTCCGGTTGAGCAGAGCCAGAGTTAAGCCTGGGGTTAATGCCCAGTGACACCTGCAGGTTGGCTAGTGTTGTTGACATGGGGCTGGGGGGAGGGGAGGGGGTGATGGGGGAGATCGTTGGTGGCTTTATTATGGAGAACTCAGCAGGCCTGGGGCCTTCTATTGTCCAAGTGGCAAATAAATAAATAGGAGAAAGTAAGTCTTCCCCATGGCTTACCGACGGGAGGTTAACAGCTGGACATGACATGACAAATTGGGCATTTTTCTTTGGGGACTGATCCTTACAGCAGCTAGCAGGGAGAATGAGAGAGAGAGAGGGAGGGGGAAGTAGAGAGAGCAAAAGCAAGCCGGAGCACGGAAGGGGCTAGTCACAGAAGTCAACGTGGAAGCCGTGTGTGCATGTACAAGAGTACGTGACCGGGGTGTACAGGAAACATTGCATCATGTTTTGGGCATTAAAAAAAAATACATGCAAGCATTTCACATGTAACGACTTCAGGAGTCAATCCCAGAACCCCAAAAGCTGGGTATCTGGCTGTGGGGGGAGATATCTCTGGGATCTGCCTTCTTGAACCCCTCCCCCGTCCTGCCAAATGGAAAAACCAAAAGGTCAACGCCAGCTCTGATCCCAAAGAATCTCCTTCCTCCAGATGAGTGGGATTACTGGGCAGTGGCGAGTGGTGGAGCAAGCAGCCTATCTCCAGCCTGGGCCCGGGGTGAGAACTCTTGCATTATGCCCAGTTGCCCGGAACTGGTCCCAGCTGGACAGCAGAGCATCCCACTGGCCTGTGGAGCTGGGGACAGAGAGCAGCAGCTCTCCCCTGACCCTGTCCCATCTTCCTCCTCATCCCCAGGGAATACCCAGCAAGAGGTCGGGAGGACCACAGGAGACAACCACTCCCAAACAATGATCTCAGTTGCCCACTGTGAACTGGAGCGGGGGTGGGAGAAGAACAGAGCAGGAGCAGACAGGAAAATGCTTGATCTCTGCCGGGGCCCCAGAACCATCTGAGCCAAGGACTGCTCTCCATCCCTGTCTTCTGAGGCTGTAGATTATAGTGGGTAGTCACTTGTGCTCTGGAGTCAGACAGACCTGGGATCACCCTGTTCCTCTTGTTCTTGGCCCTGTGATCTTGGCATGCTATTTAACCTCTCTGAGCCTCAGTTTCCTTATAGGTAAAATGGGACTAATACCAGTACTAGCCAGCACGAGGTTTTAATGAGTTCATGCATGTAAGTGCTGAGTGCAGAGTCTGGCACACGATAAATCCTTTATAAATGCCACTCAGCATTGCTCTGGGGCTAGCCAACCTTTTCCTCCCTGTTGCCCTGTGTTTTAAGATTGACTGAGGGCTCTATAGAACTGTCCTCCGGAGAAGGAGGGAAGTGCATCTCTAGCTCACCTTTCTGGAAGTTATCCTTTCAATCTCCAAAGGCTGGGCATGGATTAGCCTAAAGCCTTGTGGAACTTTGCCTTCCAAGACATGTTTGTTTCTAGCAGTGGGCTGCAAGGAGAAGCCTTGTGGCTGTGATTCTGCTCCATGCCCACTCCACGGCGGATGCCTGACCAGTGTTCCAAGGACATTTTGAAGGAAGAGAGGATTTCTGATTTCCAGGAGGGGTTGTTGTATGTCCTGGAATGCAATCTCTCCATTCTCCCACTGGGTACAGAGAAAAACCACAGGAAAATGGTGAGAAGATGCTGAATGAGTTAATGCAACCAGGAAATACTTATTGAGCATGTACCAAGTGTCAAGCATGGCTCTAGACCCTGGGAATAGAGCCACAAACAAAGCGGGCTAAAATCCTTGCCCTTGAGGAGCTTACGCCGTAGTTCTCTAGGAAGGCAAGCGGGACACCTCGGCGTTGCCTCCACCCCTTCCATGTGGCCATGGTCCATTGTGATCTTCTATGCTCTTCCTGTTGGATTCAAATCAGGCCTCACAGAAGAGCCAGTCACAAAGGGAACTCGGAGATGTGCAGGACAGAGAGAAGAGCTGACGGGACATCTGGTACCTTCGGTTGGAGGGAGGGCAGTTTCTGAGGATTAAAAGAAGCTTTATTGAAGGGAGGTTTGAAAGGAGAAGAATTGTGGAGAAGAAAGCTACTGTGTATTTCATGCTGATTCCATGCCATTAACTTTCAGGCACTTTACATCCATTATCTAATTTTATCCTCAGGCACTCAGCAAGGCAGTTCACGTTATTCCCACCTTGAGATTCAGAGGAGGAAGTGACTAATCCAAGATCCATAACAGGGAAATGGGAAGAACTAGATTTGAATCCAGACCTTTAGTTCTTCCCTTTGCCCAATTATGCTCCTTGTGGTTTGCTGGAGAAAGCCTGGCAGAGGGTGCAAGGGCAACAGTGGGGGTGGGGGTGCAGAGGCTAGGAGACCTGACCAGAGTGTAGAGGGGTTCACAGGGCCAAGGAGAGGAGATATCTAGGGGGCCTAAAGATGGGTGAGACCTCTGAGCCTCCCTAAAACAGCATACTGCAACCTCTTCATCAGAAACCCAATTTTTTTTTTTTTTTTGAGATGGAGTCTCACTCTTGTTGCCCAGGCTGGAGTGCAATGGCGCAAACTCGGCTCACTGCAACCTCCACCTCCTGGGTTCAAGCAATTCTCCTGCCACAGTCTCCCGAGTAGCTGGGATTACAGGCATGCGCCACCACGCCCGGCTAATTTTCTATTTATAGTAGAGACGAGGAGAAACCCTTTCTTGCATGTTCTCCTACCTCATTGCAAACCTTTCTGAACTGAGTGAGGGGCATTCTGAACCTGAGAGAGAAAGGGGCTAGTTCTCTGAAGATCATCACCAGACCATAGAACCAAAGTGGGTAGAAGGTTTGTAAAAGGAGGTGGAAGGTGTGACAAAGACAATAAGCACCCGAGATGACTCACACTGCTTGCCAGGTAAGCATGGGCTGCAGGACGTGGGAGGAGAAGCTGGCGAGCTCACTCTCGGTCCTGGTTCTTCCGGCCACCCAGCCTCTTCATGGCCAGTACCAGAAGGCCAGATCCCTGTCCTCCTCCCCAGGCCCAGAGCCATGGCTCAGTGGCCCCCCAGGCCCAGCCTAAGAGGTCGCATGGCTAGGACTTCTACCTGGAGAATCACCTCCACCGCAACATCTGAGAGCAGGAGCCACACAGGAGCTTTCTTCTTCCAGGAAGTCCCTTCCCCCAGCCCCCTGCTACTCACTCCCCTATATAATATTCCACGTTAGAGCTCATAAATGCTGCTGCGGGTCCCCAGCCTGATTGAATTTGGAAGCCATTGTTTACAGACGTCTGGCTGTACAGGGGGATTTATTGAATTTTCCATGAAATGTTGCTCCCCTAATGCTGTAAAAGGCAAGCAGACCACATCAGAGGAGCCCTGCGTTACAGGATCATGTTACCCCGAGATGGAGTGCTTGCTTCAGAGTCATTGATGCACCGAGCTCTGGCTCTGAAAAGTAAGACCTCGGGCATCACTCCTGACCCCTCGCTGGCACCCCAAAGCTGGGACTTCTGAGCCAGCTCTGCCCCTGCATTTCCCTCCACCCATGTCTGGTTAGTCTCAAATCCCTCTCCCACATCCACTCTCCTCTCCAGCCCACCTGCTATGGACAACTGCATTGCTACAGCAGCCTCTCCAGGCGCCTCCTGGCGGTCCTCTCTCACCTGCCCCAGTCCCAGAGTCATACCCCTCAAGGCAGATGACACTAAGGAGGGGTTCAGCAAGTAAATAAGCAAAGGAAGAGAAGGAAGCAGGGCAGAAAGAAGGGAGAAGAAAACCAAGGTGTTCATGTTGTCACACATTGAGAGGGATGCTTCCTCCAGGGTGCCTGGCACATTAGGCCCTGGGAATCTGTGGACACGAGAGCCCCCAGGATGGGAAAAGGCATTGCCAACAGCCCTGTGAGACAGAGCTGAAGTGAAGATGTCTCCTTGTGTGTGTCACAAAAATGCAACTGGACCAAGCCTTCCCCATTTTAAAAAACACATTCTTTAAACCCTCCTCACTCCTTGAGCTTCTGTCCCCTTCACTGCCTCACTGCTCAAAGGCTTTTTTATATTTAACCACTTCCATTCTCTCCACTGGCTCATTTCTGCCACAGTCCTTACCTCTTTGGTGAATCTGTTCTCCTAAAGATTGTTCATCCACATCTCCAAGTCCATGTTGGTGTTCACCCTTCTTAACATCTCTTCGCCTAACCCTGCGGTCACCCTCCTGAAACACTTTTCTCTCTCGGCATCTCTCATACCACCTCCTGGTTCTCCTTGCAGACAGCTCCTTCTCTGGCTCTTTGCCCTCCTGCCACCCTAAATAAAAGTAGGTGTTTCCCAGTGTTCTACCTTTGACCCTCTTCTCTCGGTGCACACTTTAATCTGATGAGCTCATCCATTCCTGCAGCTGCAGCTATTATCTTTATTTAGAGGACTCCTGAATATAAAGCTCCAAATCTGACCTCGTGCTGCTCTGGTCCCATTTTTCCAACTGCCTGGTGAATATCTTCAGCGCTTTGTCCAATAGACATCTCAAAATTCAATCCGCCATGTAGCCCCAACTCCCATGATAATTCACCTTCAGCGGTCATTATTTCTGTTGATGACATTGTCATCCTCTCAGTTATCCAGTCATGAGATCTTGAAGTGGTCTTTGGTATAGCTGCTCTAGGCCCATCTACCTACTGCATACTGAGTATCTCAACCCAGACTCTTAACACAGTCTTATTACCCCCAGCACCCGCACACATCAACTCGCAACTTGTTCTCTTTCCTTCATTTTCTCTCTACCACGAACAGTACCGCTATTGTCCCAGGCCCTTAAGCCAGAATCCTAGGCATCCTCACCGTCTTCTCTCTTGGCCTCACATCCCCCATGTCTCGTTAGTCACGAAATCCTGTGGATTCCTTATCGTCCCTTATATATGTCCCCTTATCTCTAGCCCCTGCTACTGACTTAGTTCAGGTCCTCCCTGTAGCTCACTTATACTGTCTAAAAAATCCTTCTGACCAATGTTCACCATCCAGTCTTTCTCCCTGCCGTCCATCCTCCCCACTGCTGCTCACATGATCTTCCTAAAACGTGACTCTAACACCTGTCTAAAACACTCCAACAGCTCCTCATTGCTTCCAGGATTACATCAGAGCTCTCTAATGCCTCCTAGCATTTGCACACAAGATTTCCTTTACCTGGAATGTTTCTTCCTTCCAGGCTCCCCACCTAGACTCCTTCATTCAGCCTCTGGTACTCTCCCAATTCTTCTTTTCTTTTTTTTTCTTTTTAGACAAGGTCTCACTCTGTCACTGAGGCTGGAATGCAGTGGTATGATTGCACCTCACCACAGCCTCGACCTCCAGGACTCAAGCAATCCTCTTACCTCAGCCTCCCTTGTAGCTAGGACTACAGGTACCACATCTGGCTTAATTTTTAAAAATTATTTTTGTAGAGACAGGGTCTTGCTGTGTTGCCCAGGCTGGTCTCGAACTCCTGGCCTCAGGCAATCCTCCTACTTCAGCCTCCCAAAGTGCTAGGATTACAGGCGTGAGCCACTGCGCCCAGCCTCATTCTTTAAAACCCAGCTCAGAGATGCTGTCTTCCCTAACCCCTCCAAACATAAGTGGAAACCCTTTCTTTCTAGTAAGCAACTACTGTACTTAGTTCTTGACACTCTCAAAACAGCTATGATTGGCCGGGCGTGGTGGCTTATGCTTGTAATCCCAGCACTTTGGGAGGCCAAGGCGGGCAGATCAGTTCCAGACCAGCCTGGGCAATGTGGTTAAACTCTGTCTCTACTAAAAATACAAAAATTAACCAGGTATGGTGACACATGCCTATAACCCCAGGTACTCAGGAGGCTGAGACACGAGAATCACTTGAACCCAGGAGATGGAGGCTGCAGTGAGCCAAGATCACACCAGTGCACTCCAGCCTGGGCAACAGAGTGAGAGACTCTGTCTCGGGAAAAACAAACAAACAAACAAAAACAGCTATGATGTAGCATTGCAATGTTGATATACAAGGCCATCTTTCCCAACTATTCATTTCATTAGCCCCAGTCCCTAGCACAATGCCTTGCATATAGGAGGCTCTCTGAACAATTGCTAAGTGAAGGTCAAGTTTAAGCGAAGGAGGCAGAGCGCACATGAGGAACTTTTATCACCAAGGGGAATTTTTCTCTCTCCACCTTTTCTGTGGTTCTCAAAAAGGGTGAATTCCAAGAGTGATAGTCTCTTGCTCGCAACCCATCATTCCTAGAATCCTGGTGTTTCCAACAGTAAGAGGTGTTCACCAGCCAGCAGGTCCTGAAGCCTTGGAACTCCCTCTCTCTCTTCCCTCCTTGCCCAGCGTGATCAGCCTGATGTCTCTTCCCTCCCAGTTCTGCTTCCCCATTCTAGTGACCCCTTCCTCCCCTTCCTCCTGCTGCTTCTTAACTGGGGGACTCCAGTGTGACTGAAGGGCCTCAGAGGGAAAACAATGATCCTCCAGAGAGAGCATGTGTTCACCACGTTAGGTAAACACGCCAAGCTGCAGGGGCCGCCTGAATGAGGGGTCTCCAGCCAGGGATGGGGAGAATCCCACACCAGCATCTTAGCTGGCAGACAGACCCACCTTCGCCCTGAGTAGGGGGTGGGCAGTAGCTCTGAAGAGAAGTAGCAGGACATTGTTTTCTCAGATTTCATTGGTTTATTTATCCTACGCCTGGGCTCCATCTGTCCTGTCTCCAAAAAGTGAAGCAGCAAGGACTCCAAGCCACCAGAGAAGCCCTGTCCTCAGCCTGCAGCTCTGCGAGGACCTAGAGCCAAGCGGAGTTGGGAGTTTGTCCCCTGCAGGGTAGAAGCCTGGGAATGTTTCAGGCCCTATGGCTCAATTGCCCAAAGGGATAGAAAGAGAGCAAATAGGCCAAAAAGATAGCATGAGCGTAGGCCTGAGCCCTCCTGATTCCTGACTGGTGTCCCTCCACAGTCCCCTTGGCAAAGCCAAGAGGGCCAGGGGCTTTTGGAGAAGTGGGCCAAGAAGGCTCGAGAAGAAGCCCAGATGACCCAGACTTGACCTCTCTACTGCAACCAAGAGAGGCAGGTGTTGGGTGGAGATGCTTGGGGTTATGGAGACATCCCCTTGGAGGAGCCTGCTGTGTCTCTCGGGCTGCACATTAGCTGGGAAGGCTGTTGAGTACCATGCAGCTGGTCTTGGTTTTGCAGAGTTCTGGACAGCATTCAGTTCCCTGAAATCAGGGACAACAGAGCAAATCTCCCCTAGGTGCATGGGAGAATCTGCGGCCCTCTCAACAGTGATGGGCTGATAGGAGGAATAAGAAATGGGGAATCAGGAGAGCAAGATACCTTGAAGAGATGCAGAAAGGTTGCTTTCCATCCTTACGAGTAGGAACCTCTCTACAATACAAAATCATGGCAGCTCAGGACTTGCCCCACATTCATACCTTACCTTATCCCAGCCTGAGGTTGAGCTACAGGAGCTGTACCAAAGTATAACATAGCTAGGCTTTGAATGAAGGTTTCCAGCCCGTTTAGTTCTGAGTGTATGTGTAGCTTCAGCAGCAACTCAGTGGAGATGCTCAGGGCGTTCTTGGGCCTGTTCTAGTCCCTGCAATGCTTCTCCATGGCCAGGTTGGACCCCCTGTTCATTTCACTCACCACCCCCATGTGTCTGGTCTCCTAGTGTCACATGACACACTTGAACCATGCTTTCCAGAGCCCAGATCCATCACTCAGGCATTCAGGGGATTTGGATATCTCCTAGCACCTCCATCGCAGCAGAGCAGAAACTAAAGTCATTGTCTTCCCCCTAAACCCTGCCAAAATTGGCCCCTCTCCTATCCTTTGTAGGTCTGGAAGTGTCACCCAAGTTTACTGTCATCTTCACTTCTTGCCTTTTTTTTTTTTTTTTTTTTTGAGGCGCTCTGTCGCCCAGGCTGGAGTGCAATGGCATGATCCTGACTCACTGCAACCTTCGCCTTCTGGATTCAAGCAATTCTCTTGCCTCAGCTTCCCAAGTAGCTGGGATTACAGGCACGGGCCACCACGCCTGGCTAATTTTTGTATTTTTAGTAGAGACGTGGTTTCACCATGTTGGCCAGGCTGGTCTCGAACTCCCGACCTCATGTGATCCACCCGCCTGAGCCTCCTAAAGTGCTGGGATTACAGGCGTGAGCCACCGTGCCCGGCCATTTTTTTTGTTATTATTAATAGGACTGATGAGGATTCATATTTTTGAGAATGTCTGATAATTTCCTTAGGTTAGGGTCCTAGAAAAGAAATTATTGGGTCAAAAGGTATAAACTTTTAAAAAGCTGTTGATACGTATTGATAGACTGCTTTCTAGAAAGGTTATACCAATTCACAATCTCATCATCAATGAATGATTATACCCATTTTCTTAAACCATCATCCACATTATCAATTTTTAAATCTTTACTAATTTGATTAGCCAAAGGGGAAAAAAAATCTTTCTGCATTATGGTAGCAACCTCCCATTGGTCTCCCCACCTCCAATTCACCTTGTTAATAATCACTAGGTTATACATCCTAAGACTGAGATTTTACCACGCACTTCTTCACTCAGAATCCTTCAGCTCTGCTCCCCAACTTGCCTGCTGCATAAACTGAACACCTCAAGCTCCCATTCCCACAAGCTATGCTTTAGATCTAGTCTCCTCCTAACACATACCTCCATTTTTACCTCCTTATGGGGCATGGTTGGCAGCCACCTCCTCTGAGGGCCTGACTCCAAGCTGGAAGTCATTTGATGTGTGCCAGTGGAAGCCATTGCCCCTCTAGTGCCTGGTATATGCCACCAAACCGTGGACAGCAGGCTACTGAAACTGGAGTATAGAGGCTACTTGGTTGGGTCCTATAAGCCTCATCTAAGACTATTTCAAAAAGGCTCCGCAGCAGGCTCAGAACTTGTGAGCAGGAAAACTCCAGATCCTCACAATGGCCTCCTTTAGGCTGTCTCAGATGTGTCCATCATGAATGAAAATGAAACTCCTGCTGGGTGTGGCGGCTCGTGCCTGTAAGTCCAGCACTTTGGGAGGATTGCTTGAGCCTAGGAGTTCAAGACCAGCCTGGGCAACAGGAGTGAGACCCCACCTCTACAAAAAAAATAGAAAAAGCTAGCCAGATGTGGCAGCACATACAAGTCCCAGATACTTGGCAGGCTGAGGTAGGAGCCTCGGAGGTCAAGTCTGCAGTGAGCCATGATTGTGCCACTGCGCTCCAGCCTGGGCAACAGAGCAAGACCTTGTCTCAAAAAACAAACAGACAAACAACAACAACAACAAAAACCCATCAATGGCTCCCTGCTATTCTAAACTTCTTCTTTTTTTTTTTTTTTTTTTTTTGAGACAGAGTCTTGCTCTGTCACCCAGGCTGGAGTGCAGTTGCGCAATCTCGGCTCCCTGCAAGCTCCGCCTCCCGGGTTCACGCCATTCTCCTGCCTCAGCCTCCCGAGTAGCTGGGACTACGGGCACCCGCCACCACGCCCGGCTAATTTTTGTATATTTAGTGGAGACGGGGTTTCACCTTGTTAGCCAGGATGGCCTCGATCTCTTGACCTCGTGATCCGCCCGCCTTGGCCTCCCAAAGTGCTGGGATTACAGGCGTGAGCCACTGCGCCCGGCCTCTAAACTTCTTAATGCAGCCTAGAAGACCACATGTCATCTGATCTCTACCACTTTTCCAGCCTAATCTCTCACCACGCCCCGCCTTGAGCTACAAATTCCAGCCGTGCTGAGTTACTTTCCTTTTCCCAAGGCACTGTGTTCCAGCTCCTCTCTTTGCACATACTGTTCCCTTCTTCTTCTCCCTATCTCTTCCTCCCCCTGTCAACTCCAAGATTTCCTTCAGATCTTAGCTTAGACTCATTTCCTCTGGGAAGCTTTCTTCTGTCCACCCCACAAGAGTAGGATAGGTGCCACTTTTGTGTATTTCCACAGCACTCCTCATACCCACTCTTCTAATAAGGTTATCTTCTTGTAATTGCCTCCCTGCTTGTCGGTCTCTCCAACAAAATTGTGTTCTTAGTGACATCAGGATTATATTTTGTTTATTGCTTGTGGTATCCATGGTGACTAGCATAGTATCTTGAACATGATAAGTGCCCTACAAATATTTGCTGAGTATAAGAATGAATGAATGAATGAATGAATGAATGAATGAATGAATGCTTCATGGCATCCAGCTACCCAGTCCTGACATTCTCTGAGTCTCAGTTTCTCTCTCACTAAAAACGAGATGACTTCTTTTTCATTGTTGTACTCTCTGCAAACCTGTAGAAATGAACCCCTAGTGGCTATGAGAAGCTGCCTAGGCCAAGGGCGTGGGATTCAATTGCTGTTTGGTTTCTCTACACTCTGCCCATCAACAGGAGGAGGCACTTAGTATTGAAAGACTCATGGTAGACAAAGTAGGATAAGACTGATGAAAACTTTCTGGAATAAATATATGGTCCAGTTAGTGTCCCATCTCTGAGAATGCCTGCTATACTAGTCAGTGTTCTAGCAAGAAACAGAGGCCCACGAATGGGGTAACAAAGGAAAGTTTAAGGAAAGGACGATTTATAAAGAGAAGGTGAAGTACTTCAGAGCTAGCAACGACAGGGGAGCTGTTACTACCCCTGGGATTGAAGGAGCATATACCAGCACCCAGGAAGAACTGCGGCTATGACCACGGCTGCAGGAGGAGCTGTGACTTTCAGGAAAGGAATGCTAACCCTTGGCTGGCAGAGAAGGAGCCAGGGCAATACTCACCCCAACTGCTTCTCTCCTCTCGTTCTCTAATGTCCTCCATGTGTCAAACCCCATAGGAATCCTGAAGGCAAGCAAGCTTGGTTGTTGGGGCAGAAGACAGAAATCAGCTTTCAGGGCACAGAACAGAATGGAGAAGGGTGATGTGTGTATCTGCAGAAGCGAACAGATATCTCTCTGGCCCCTGCCCCCAGGAATGGAGGAAGGATGGAGATGAGGAGGGCTGGGTCTTCTTATCCACTCAGGCTTCACCCAGGACAGAGAGCAAGAGCCATTAAAGAGGCAAAGCCCAGAATTTGGGAGCTGGCAGCCTGGTAGGCATTGAGGAGGGACTTGGGCAAAAAAATTGAGGAATGCTTGCCACTGCTTAGGACATGTCCTTCTCGCCTACCCTTACTCCTTTGCTGTCTTACTCCCCTAGCCTAGAACTGGATCCCAAGCTGAGACAGAATAGGAATCCTGGCAGGAATTTCAAGATTGTGCTCTCTGATGTATTCATACTCAATAAAGCTCTCTGTCCTGGAGAAAAAAGCTCCAATGTCAGACCCAAGGACAGGAAACAGTTGGGCTGAAGGGGATCCCATTGATCTGGGACTTGGAATCAGCTGAGAAGAGAATGGAGGGTCAGGAAGATCTACCCTTTCCCTAGAAATCATCTGAAGCAAACCTGTGGGGCTTGGGAACCCAGTGCCCTGCATCAGAGCAGTTCCTTGCATGCAGCCAGGTGGGGAGCCAGTCTGAGTTCCAGCTGGAATTTCATAGCAAGCAGGTAGAAGGCAACGGCCCTCCCAGCTCACCTTCACCACCCACCTTTTCACTCGTTTTTTGGTCTCTTCCTTTTTATCTCCACTGCTTGGTTGTTCTAGTTCAGACCTGTCTTTGTCCCTCCTCTTAGATTTTTGCAATAGCTTCCTTACTAGTCTCCCTGCCCACAATTCTGATTCCTTAATTCCTCCTCCACACTGTTTCAAGAGTGATATTTCTAGCATGTAAATCCAGTCATGTCTTACCCCTTGCTTAACTTTCTTCAATGGCTCATTTTTGCCTATAGGATCAACTCCAGTCTCCTTAGCATAGCACTCAAACTCTTTTTTGAGACAGGGTCTCACTCTGTTGCCCAGGCTGGAGTGCAGTGGCATAACACAGCTCACTGCAGCCTCCACCTCCTGGGCTCAGGCCATTCTCCTACCTCAACCTCCTGTGTAGTTGGAACCACAGGCACACGACACCACGCCTAGCTAAGTTTTTGACATTTTGTAGAGACAGGATCTCACTTTGTTGTTCAGGAATGTCTCGAACTCCTGGACTCAAGCGATTCTCCTGCCTTGGCCTCCCAAAGTGCTGGGATTACAGGGGTGAGCCACTCCACCCGGCTTTCAACTTTGTATGATCTGACCCCACCTACCTGCCCAGTCTCAGTTCCTATGGCCTCTATGCATACCCTAAATTCCAGCTATACTGAACGTACCAATTTATGTATTTATTTACTTTAAGTTTTTTGAGATGGAGTCTCGCTCTGTCACCCAGGCTGGAGTGCAGTGGCATGATCTTGGCTCACTGCAAGCTCCGCCTCCCGGGTTCACGCCATTCTCCTGCCTCAGCCTCTGGAGTAGCTGGGACTACAGGCGCCTGCCACCATGCCTAGCTAATTTTTTCTATTTTTTAGTAGAGACAGGGTTTCACCGTGTTAGCCAGGATGGTCTCGATCTCCTGACCTCATGATTCGCCTGCCTCGGCCTCCCAAAGTGCTGAGATTACAGGCGTGAGCCACCGCGCCTGGCCTGAATGTACCAATTTATTTTTACCTCTGTGACTGGGCATATAGCTTTCCCTTTGCTTAGAATGTCTTCTATGCCTTCATCTGCCTGTTGAACTCCTACTAATCTTTCAAGACCCAGCTAAAGTGATACACCCTTCTTGAAGCCTTCCTTGATGTCGTTAATTGTCTCCTCCTTTGTGCCCCTACCCAGAATGTATTTCTATCACCACATCATTTTCTAATTATCTGTCCACATGTTTTTCTCCCCACCAGACTATGTGCTTCTTTTGTGTGTGTGTTTGAGATGGAGTCTCTCTGTGTCGCCCAGGCTGGAGTGCAGTGGCACAATCTCGGTACACTGCAACTTCCGCCTCCCAGGTTCAAGCAATTCTTGTACCTCAGCCTCCCAAGTAGCTGGGATTACAGGCGTGCATCACCACACCTGGCTAATTTTTGTTTTTTCAGTAGAGACAGGTTTCACCAAGTTGGCCAGGCTGGTCTCGAACTCCTGACTTCAAGTGATCCATCAGCCTCAGCCTCCCAAAGTGCTGAGATTACAGGTGTGAGCCACCACACCCAGTGCTATGTGCTTCTTAAAGAAAGGTAGTGTATTTCCTTAGCTTTAGCACAGTGCCTGGCACATCAAACATGCTCCCTAGTCAATTAATGATGACCTGAATGAACAAATGACACCCCTCTCTACCTGCTGTCCTCTGGTAAACCTGCCCTCTTTTTAATGCAACTCCCTCAGACTGGCTGGACCTATTTAGGGTATCTCCTTCCCTCTCTTGCCTTTTCCTGTCTGCTCTTCCTGTTCTTTTTTTTTTTGACAGAGTCTGGCTCTGTCACCCAGGCTGGAGTGCAGTGGCATGATCTTGGCTCACTGCAAGCTCCGCCTCCCGGGTTCATGCCATTCTCCTGCCTCAGTCTCCCTAGTAGCTGGGACTACAGGCGCCTGCACCACGCCCTGCTAATTTTTTCCATTTTTTAGTAGAGACGGGGTTTCACTGTGTTAGCCAGGATGGTCTCAATCTCCTGACCTTGTGATCCACCAGCCTCGGCCTCCCAAAGTTCTGGGATTACAGGCGTAAGCCACCGCGCCCGGCCTCTTCCTGTTCATTTTTAAGCAAAGTTCTCCTCTTTACAGATGTTGCTAGACAGGGAGGGGAACCCATGGTGCTCACTATATCACTGAGCTGAATGTCTTTGCCCAGTGAGAACCCCAGGGTGCCCGAAATGGCTGAAACAATCCCTCCGCTAATAGGGGACCCTGGGCCCTCATTCTGCATCTCTCTAGGGGCTGAGTTGAAGGAGCTTCTTTCTCAATCCACATACATATATATGTGTATATATGTATGTATATGTATATATGTATATATATTTTATATACGTATGTATATATAATATATATACATATGTATATATTAATATATAATATATATTTTATATATATATATATAAGCTTCTTGATAGAAACTGTTTGTGTTGGCTGGGCGAGGTGACTCACACCTGTAATCCCAGCACTTTGGGAGTCTGAGATGGGAGCATCGATTGAGCCTAGGTATTCTTTCTAGACCAGTTCTGGGCAACATAGTGAGACCCTGTCAAAAAGGAAAAAAGGAAGAAAAAGAAAGAGAAGGAAAGAAAGAGAGAGAGGAAGGAAGGAAGGAGGGAGGGAGGGAGAGAGGGAGGGAAAGAAGGAAGGAAGGAAGGAGAGCGAAACTGTTCATTTTTACATCTTGCACAATGCTTTGCTCATAGTAGGCACTCTGAACTGAAATACCTTGAAAACTAGGATCATCCATATTCACTCGTTCATTCATTCATTCATTCACTGAACAAACTGATTAAGGGATGTACATGACTGTGTCTCATAAATTTGTCCAAAGATGTTTAAATTCATTTATGTTTTCTGCTAGACCCACCATTTGGGAGAATGAATTTCTTAAGTTCACTGGCCACGGTATAAAATCACCTTTATTCATCCCAAATGTGTTCGAGTTTCAAAGCAAACCCACTTTGCCTACAGTTTCAGGATCTTGTGAATAAGTTTCTAGTCACCTTCTCTACACCATTTGTGATTTGTGATTTCCTTCACATCCCCCACCAGCCTTCTCACTTCCAGACTGGGTGGTGAGTCATCGACCCTTCCCCACTGAGGAGCTTTTGCATGCCCTGCGTCTTCTCCAGGGTGGGACAGAGTGCCACGGCTGAGCCCTGCGGGTAGGACTGTTCCAGCTGGGCACCTCAAGGAACATGTTCTCCTTCTTCCGTCACATCTTATTCACAGTTCTCTTAGCCTTTTGGCCAACAGCCTCAGGGAACTGTCTAAATGAAGAAGGATTTCTAGGTCCTTTGCCAGAACCGTGGCTGACCATGCAGAGTTGAGCACTGGAGAGGGGGTTTTGATGTGTTCATCACAAAAGGCATTGCCTTGCACTTGCCCACATTTAATTGAGTCTGTACCCTTTTGCCCTGAAATCATCCTGCCAACTAAATCCAAAAGGATGCTGGAGAATAGAGAATAACATCTATGGCCCAGCCCCCACTGTATATGCGTATGCACACCAAGGGCCATACCTTTGGCTGGATGCCTAGGGCTCTTTTCTGGCACCAGGTGAAATATCAGAATCTTTTCCACTGCTCCCTGTCTAATTCAATCAGATATAAAATGTGTAAGACTTTGTCTAAACCTTCAAAGACCTCCTAGTAGGCTTGGGGAAGAAATAGACACATATGATAGTACCATTAGTGGTAGCATCTACTGCATATTAAACATGTCCTATATGCCAGGTGCTTTATATACATCCTTTATATTGAGTATCAACTTTAATCCTTACAACAGCCCTGCAAGGTGAGTATTTTTACTCCATTTGATAAATGATAAATGAAGCAGAGAGGTTAAACAACCTCCCCCAAGATCACGCAGCTAGAAAGTTTACGGAGCTAGAATTCAGACCTAGGTGTGTCTTACTCCAAAGCCTGTGTTTTTTGCCACCACCTTACATGATCTCAACATATAGCAATCAACATGACATGTTATAGCCCCGGTGAAAGAGATCAGTTATTGGACTGTTTTGGTCTCTTCTAGGTTACCTGTCACCTGTCTCAACCCAACTTTTTCAGACCTTAGCTTAAAGTTCGTTTCCTAAGGGAAGCTTTCTCCAGCCCCCATGATGCATTCCCATAAAGCCAGTTCTTTCCCTCACAGCTGTTGTTTAGGCAATTGTTTGTGTAATGTGTTCCTTTCCTGTTAGAAGGCAACTCCGTGAGGGCAGAGACAATGATAGTTTTGTTCAGTGTTTTGTCCCTAGCGCCTAGCCCAATGCGCAACACATAGTAAGTGCTCATTAAACTTGCCTTCTCGCTCCAGAACCTCACTTGCTTTCTAGTTCTCCCCTACTCCCCTGCCCTTTCCACCTTGCCTCCAGAACTTCCTTCAGTGGTGATGGCTCCAACATCCCCCAGCCCCAGTCCTCAGCCTTCCAGATGCTTGGGTATCCCAGGAGTTTTATTCACACTGCCACGCTGTTCTGTGGAAGCAGGGCTTCCCCTCGGCCCTAGCAGGGCAGGTGCTGACAGGAGCAGCCAATAGCCAGGATGCCAGGTTTCCCTGTGCTAAGCTTTTTCCTGGGAATGATTTAAGGCCCTGAACAGATAAGTGAAGAGCAAACCCGCAATGAAGTCAGCACTCTGCTTATTAAGTGGAAAAAGCTGTGCTCGGCTTATTGAAATGTTCATTAGACAGATATATAGAGATGAGAAGGAGGAAGGGAGGGCGGCGGCACCGCAGGATCAGGCTGCGCTCCAGCGGTGATGCAGGGGGCATCCCGGGGGAGACTTCGGTCTAGCCCCGGGAGGAAGGGGAGTGGGGCTGGGACAGATGAGCAGGCCTGTTAGGAAGAGGGGGCCACGGCCCTGACTCCAGGAAGCCAGAGCTGAAGGAAGGGGGCCTGCGCAGTGTGCGAGGGAGCTTTGGAAGCTGTCAGTGCTAGCTAGCTCTGTGAGGCAGCAGATAGAGGGGACTTGGCCCACTTTAGAGAATGCCCACTTCTCTGCATCGATGTCACTGTCTTTGTCCCAGGAACATAATTTCTGAAGAACTTTGACCCACTTTATTTGCCCACTCTGAAGGCAAGAGGGTGACTGCTTCCTGAGCTCTGAGCTCCCCCAAGGAAGGGCTTTTCCTGGGGTGGGAGCTGAGCCTTGCCAAGGGCCCCCCTCAGCCCAGGAGGAGCCACGGCTCCTTCAGCACCTCCCGGCTCTCTGGCTTCTGTCCTCAGTGCCCATCAGGCAGGCAACCCCAGCAAGCTCTGGAGTGGAGTGGCCTTGAAAAAGCTGCAGCTACTTGATGACGGCGTCACCTCCTGTGATGTGGGGAGGACTCCCAGTGAGTGGGGAACTGGGTCTAAATCATCCATGTGCCTGGCAGTAACCTGGAGCCTGGCCCACGGAAGGCTTCTTATTGATAAGCTCTAGATGGTGGCTGATGGAGTGAGTGAAAATTCTACCGCTCTCCCCAGTTCAGATGTTGGAAGGGGAAAGAATCATGGTGTGACTGGAAGGGCAGGTGCTGTTTCCCAAACAGGAAAAAAAACAGCCACAAGATTTTCCAGTGTCTTCATGGTCTTTCTTGCCATCATCAGTTCGGCTCCTGGAGGTAGAGTCGGTGGTGACCAAATGGACAAAAAAAAGGATGCCGGCTGGAAACTATGTGAACAGAACAATAAAAACAGTATCTGTAGAGTTTCAGAGCATTTTCACAGGATCTCATTTAATCCTCATTCATTGATTCAGCCAGTAGTTGGGGTTTGTTTGTTTTTGTTTTCTGAGACAGTCTCACTCTGTTGCCCAGGCTGGAGTGCAATGAGGCGATCTCTGCTCACTGCAACCACAGCCTCCTGGGTTCAAGCGATTCTCCTGCCTCAGCCACCCAAGTAGCTGGGATTACAGGTGTATGCCACCACACCCAGATAATTTTTGTATTTTTAATAGAGATGGGGTTTCACCATGTTGGCCAGGCTGGTCTTGAAAGCCTGACCTCAAGTGATCCGCCCCCTCAGCCTCCCAAAGTGCTGGGATTACAGATGTGAGCCACCACACCCAGCCTTCAGCCAGTAGTTGCTGACCTCCTACTTCCTGCCAGGCCTGTACATGCACCACAACCTCAGTGAATGAAACCAACTCTGTCCCACCCTTGTGTAGCGAATCGCCTCATGAAAGGTAAATGTCATAACAATTCTTCATTAATTCTTTCATTCAGCAAACAGTGATGCCAAGCTGGACTCCTGGGAATGGAGAAATGAATCAGACATGCATCCTGCCCCAGAGAACTTTACAGTCTAGGAGGTACCTGTACAAGTAAATGGATGATTAGAAACAGTGTGATAAAGATACTGAACTAACCCCTAAGTGCCTGAGGGTTAGGCAAGGCTTCCTGAAGATGTGTGAACTGAGTCTTTAAAAAAGAACCTACGTGGCTGGGCGCGGTGGCTCACGCCTGTAATCCCAGCACTTTGGGAGGCCAAGGTGGATGGATCACGAGGTCAGGAGTTCAAGACTAGCCTGGCCAACATGGTGAAACCCCATCTCTACTAAAAATACAAAAATTAGCTGGGCATGGTGGCCGGCGCCTGTAATCCCAGCTACTCGGGAGGCTGAGGCAGAGAATTGCTTGAACCCGGGAGGTGAAGGTTGCAGTGAGCCCAGATCGCGCCACTGCACTCCAGCCTGGGCCACAGAGCAAAAAAAAAAGAACATATGTTTGCTAAGCATTCAGGGAGAAGGAATTTCTAGGCCAAGAGAGGTGGATTTGAGGGGAAATTCAAACAGGTCAGCCATGGAAAAAGAATGGTGGAAAATAGTGTTAGTGAGCTAGCCAGGGGCCAGGCACAGCAGCTCATGCCTGTAATCCCAGCATTTTGGGAGACTGAGGCAGGAGGACTGCTTGAGGCCAGGAGTTTGAGACCAGCCTGGACAATACGGTGAGACCCCGTCTCTACTAAAAATTAAAAAATTAACTGGGCATGGTGGTGCACACCTGTAATCCTAGCTACTGGGGAGAGTGAGGCAGGAGAATCACTCGAACTCAGGAGGTTGAGGCTACTGTGAGCAGTGTTCACGCCTCTGCACTCCAGCCTGGTTGACAAAGGGAGACCCTGTCTCAAAAGAGAGAGAGAGAGAGGAGAGAGCTAGGCAGGACCAAATCCCAAAGGAATTTCCCAGCTACATTTAAAGCTAACTTAACTTAGCTAATTTAAAGCTAACTCCTTAAGGAGTTAGACCCATTCTAAAAGTTCCTGCAGGGTCAGTGAAGGGAAAAGACCACCTCAGCAGCAGTGCAGAAGAGGGGTTATCTAGAGGGGCCATCTCAGTGGTCCAAGTGAGAGATGGTGCCATCTGACTAGGGCAGCGGCACCAGGAAGGAGGGGACCAGATGGCCCAGCATGAGGTCTGAACGTAGTTTGGCACCCTGCTAGATATAGGAAACCAACCAGAAGGTGTCCATTTCACAAGGAGGGGAGAGGGCACAGAATGCCTTGTCCAGGGGGACCCGGAGCAGTGCGGGGAATCCAGGGCCCTGCAGGAAGCCGTGGCTGCTTAAACCCATGTGTCAGGGCCCGCTTGTGATGCTGAGGCTGCTGACACCTGCTCCCAGGCCTTGATGACTCCATTTCCCAGCTCCCTCCCTCTGCCTCGCTGACTTTGGAGGTGATTAGTAATAAAACTTTAACAAGCATCCATAGGTACGTCTCCCTGTCACTTTTATGAGGCCATTTCCTGAGCAAAGATATAGGAGCACCTTCAGTCTCTCTAGCCATGTTGTTGCTGCCACCATTTCAGTGTCTGCCTCAGCCTGAGCAGGTCCCAGACAGCTCCAGGGGCTAAGTCGGGGTTGGGGGGTTGGTGCCTGGAGGAAATTGGAGCATGCTTAGCTCAAGGAACCTCAAAAAGGCAGGCACAGCTCCCTGTATGCCCTCGAGGGCTCTTTGGAAATTGTCACTGGGAAGGCTGGAGCCGTTTTCACTGCCTGGGCCATTAGAAATCAAAGCAGGCCTCACTTCTTTCTTCCCCTCCTCTCCCCGAAGTGTCCTCTTCCATCCCCATCCAAGAGTTTTGCTCTCCTGCTTCATTGATCACTATGTATTTATCCAATGCCATCACAAATGGACGTTGGAAATACAGTCAAGAATTATACTTGCTCTCTGTCTTGGGGGAGCTGTGGACCTGAATGGGGCTGGGAACAATAGACACTACCCTGTAACCAAAAAACATGGTAATAAAAGTTCTCATGGGCACGAATGAAGTGCTTTGGTGGGAACCCAGAGGGGGATGCACTTATGAGGCCAAGGAAATGGGGAGAAGCTGGGGAATATTTCTCCAAGATGGTAACAGCAGACCTGGGCCTTGTTGAATGAGGATTTGTGTGAGCTGGGCAGAGGGAAGGCAGCCCCTTTTTCCTGGTGAGCTCCTAGGTCCTCAGGGGCGAGGCTGGGCTAGCCTTGCTGGAGCTGAGCCTCCTCTAACTGGTCTGAGCTGATGCTGAGGCAGGGCCCCCTGAGCTGGTGGCCCCCCTGCTTCAGGAGGTGGCTGAAGTGGCACAGTAACTCTGGTAGAAAGGGGCTTCATCCACAGCAGCTGAGGACTTCAGGGGGCCCCGCTTCCCTCCCTTGGCCCTGATGGTACCTGTTTCAAGTCCACCCAGGGAGATGGGGCCAGATGAACGGGAAGAGGGAGAGCTGCTGCATTTGCCGCCGTGGACTCCTCCCTCGTTCTTGAAATTCTCTGACTCTGGGTTCTGTGACACTAGTGTGTCCTGTAGTATGTATGATGTAGTGCAAAGACACCATAGAGCTGGACAGATATAGTTTCAAATCCTAGCTCCTGAATTTGAATCTCTGATAACATCTTAGGCAAGTTGCCCTCTCTGAACCTGTTTCACCATCTACAAAATAGAGATAATAGTCCATATTTCAAAAGGTTGTTGTACTCCTCGAATGAGATGATGACTGTGAAGTGTCCAGGACAGACTTACGTCCGTGTTCTTCTTCCACCCCTACCTTTCCTAACCTCTATGACTGCTCCCTCCAGTCTTGTTCCTGGGCTCCTTTTCTTGCATGAGCCCCTTAGGGTTTCCCAGAGCTGACATCTCTTACATCTCTATCTTCTCTTCACAGCTCCCTCCTGAGTTAGAGACCCACACTTACAGCTGCCCACTAGATTCAATTCAATTCAACATTTATTAGATACCTATCGTGTGAGAATGCCACTGGCCCCCATGCCTGCCTTCAAGGACTTGGAATCCTGTAGAGTTTTACCCAATGGCCCCAGTTTCTTCTGTGAAGTTGGAATTGAGGTCATCTGCTAAGAGTGGTGGGAGTAGGGGATGAATGGGGGACCAGAGAGTGGTAACTGTTAAAAATAGCTATCAGAGAAATGTTTCTCAAATTCCCCCCTCCCTTCTACCTTGTCACTGCCACCCTTATTCAGATCACTGCCATCTCTTGCCTGGACCGTTGCAATCACCTTCTAACTCAGTGGTTTACAAAGTGGGCTGAACGTTGGACTCCCCTAGTTAGGTGGGGCTTTTTAAAAACTCTGAAGCCTGGATCTCTCCCCAGAGATTCTGATATAATTGATCTCAGCATGGCCCAGGAATCAGCATTTTTAAAGCACCCCAGTTAATTCTATTGTGCAGCCAAGGTGAAGAACCACTATTCTGGCCAGGTGCAGTGGTTCATGCCTGTAATCAGCACTTTGGGAAGCCAAGGTGGGTGGATCACCTGAGCTCAGGAGTTCGAGATCAGCCTGGCCCACATGGTGAAAAAACCCATCTCTACTAAAAATACAAAAATTACGCAGGCAGTGGCATGCATCTGTAATGCCAGCTACTTGGGAGGCTGAGACAGGAGAGTCCCTTGAACCTGGCAGGCAGAGGTGCAGTGAGCAGAGATGGCACCATTGCACTCCAGCCTGGGCAACAGAGCAAGACTCCATCTCAAAAAAAAAAAAAAAAAAGAACCACTATTCTGTTTTCCTGCCTCTGTTCTCATCCTCACTAATCTGTTCTCCACAACACATGTGCTCAGGGGGAACCTTATAAAACACAAGTCTGGTGGTGTCGTTCCCTTGCTTGTCTGCCCCTTAGATTGTAAGTTCCTTTAGAAAAGGGACGATACCTGAATCAACTCTATCCCCAGCACATAGCATGGGCCTGGCCTGAATCAACTCTTTATCCCCTGCACATAGCATGGGCCTGGCCTGAATCAACTCTATCCTTAGCACATAGCATGGGCCTGGCCTGAATCAACTCCATCCCCTGCGCATAGCATGGGCCTGGCCTTAGGACATGCTTGGTCAGCACTCCGTGAATAAATGAATGAGTGAGTGAACAAACTGATCAACCAGTAACCAACAAACTGACAGATAGATGTTGGTTCTGTGCCTAGGAATATGTTGGTGAATTATAGCAGTTCACCACTGAACCAGGAGAATAAGGCCAGTTGGGTACCAATCTGGAAGCCTGGGGAAAATGCAGGGAGGGAGGGAGGGAGGGAAGAAGGAGGCAGTGAGAGGTCAGAAAGGCAGAGTTTCCTGAGAGGTGAATTATCAGAGGGACCACCATGGGTCGGGCAAGCACCTCAGCCAGGGAGTAATGGAGTTAGGGAGGAAGGGCCCAGGCAGAGCCAGAGAGAGCCGCAGGAGCCGCTTAATCTGCCCCTAGGAAGTGCAGGCTGGGGACAGCAGGCAGGAAGCAGTGGGCCCATTCCTCAGCGCTAATGCCCCCAGCCTAACACAATTACCCCTTCCTTCTCCCTCAGCCCAGGCAAGGGGGAGGTTGCATGGAGGGCAAGCATGCCCCGCAGCTGGGGAGGGTGGGGGTCATGGCTGGAAATCCAATCAGGAGTTCCACTTTAGTATTAGCCTGAGCTACCCATTTTAGCTGGAGGGGTTTGCATAGATGCTGGGCTAAAGAGATGCTGCTGGAAGATCTGTGAACCACTGCCTTCCCTGCCCCTCCCTGGGTGCCAATGGGACTGGATCTGGAGACTCCCATCCCCGTCCTGCAACCCAGTCCTCCTGCTGCAGTCTTACCTGTCCTCTGAAGCCAGTTTGCTAAGTCTTGAATCCCACCTCATGGCTGGCCCCCACTGCTGCTTCTCACTCCCCACCTCAGCCTCTCGCCCTCCCTCTCTGCTCCACATTGATATAAATGGAGGCTTCGGCTGCCTTTAAATAGTCCGATCTATCAGAGGGGCACACGCTGCCCATAAATCTGCTGGGGCTGATGGCTCCCTAAGTGGACTGATAGGAGCTATTTCCGGCAAGGTGTTCAGTTACTCTGTCCCTCCCATCCCTCCCCCTAGCTTGCCCTTCCCCAGGGGCAGGGACCCTTTTTGTCATCTGGTAATTGGCATTTTTTCACTTGCACTTGGTCCTGCAGAGGGAGTGCAGCGCCCAGCCCAGCCCCTAACTGGATTAGCATTGGCTTTCAGAGAGGGTCCCTCTGGGGTCGACCTTCCAGTTCAAGAGATCAAGATCGAGCTGTTGGTTCAACAAGGAAGGGGGCTGAGGTGGGAGGTGGGTACCCAGGGGAGCCAAGACTAAGTGCGGAGGGAGGGGGTGAATGAAGTCCTCAGCCCCTCTCTGGCTAAGCCTGCCTGTATCCAGCACCCTAGCCTATGGAGCATGGAAGAGACCAGAAGACAGGCTCTGGAGCTGGGGGTCTCCATCCTGGCTGTCAGAGTCCCTCTGGCCCTCCCCGTCAAGGCTGCCTCGGGCTAGCTGTGAGCTTTCCCTTTCTAGAAATGACCTAGGATTGAAAGGGGGATGGAAGTCTGAGACTGGGATGGGGTTTCTCCAGACAAGTGGTATGGATCTGAAACAGAAGCTGGAGAAACCCTAGGGCCAGCTGTTAGACAGTAGGGGGCCTGGTGCAGGAACACACACACATTACCCTAATTTGGAGGGCGGCTGCTAATGGATGGATTTCCCTGAAGGAGAGAAAAAAGACCTCTGGAGGCTGGGACCTGCTGGGGGAGACACAGAAATGCCCTTGGAGGTCACCCCAGTGACCTGTGGTCAAGAGGTCACTATGGCCACTCAGAGATCACCACTAACATAGCTCCATTTCCTATCCCATCCCCCTGTGGTTTTCAGAGGGCAGAAAGCTGAGCCAGCCTCGTTATACCGGCCCAGGCCCTTGCCCCTGCCAAGGACCCCTAGAATAGTCCTGCTAAGGTTCTTGTGTCTAAAGAAGAGGAAAAGCTAGAGATGGTGAAGGGCAGAGAAGAATGGATGGAGAATCACTCCTTTAATGCATCCGTAAGACACTTACCAAGCTTCTCTCCTGAAATCTGAGTTCTTGGGAATGGGACCGAGTGGAGGGGTCAGTGTTCCTTATCAGGGTGCGGGAGGTGGGATGCTCTTGCTCATGGACTCTGGTTAGGGAACCAGGAACAGTACAAACAGAAGACTTGGAAGAGTGTTGTTTTGAGCAAAACAAGACTTGCTTATTACAGTGACCCCATTTCTGACCCAGCTGTTGGGGATTAGAACATAGCAAGAGGGTGAAGGGAGGAGCATGTGATGAGATTCCCAGCTGTGTATGATCCTGGGACAGGGACAAGAGTTGGCCACATAGCCCCCGCCAGAGTCTCAGACCTGAAGGGGACCTTTTCTCCTGCTCCAGGGAAGGGGCTGAGCACTCAGCAGTGACCAACTGAGAAGCCCCGTGAATGACACCAAGAATGCCTGTTGAGGTCATCAACAGCATTTCTCAAGCGATCTTGAGAAGATCGTTTCTCAAGATCAGGAGACTTGGAGAGAGCCTACCCTTACTGGGGCAGGGGTGGGAGGGTAAGGGAAATAGACTGTTTAGCAGCAATCAAGAGAGATTCTGAGGTGGCCACTAAGACCCTAGGGATAGCCTCACACAGCATAAGTCGTTGTTCTCTCTTCCTCCCTTCACTCATTCATTCGCTTGCTCACTCAGTACACTCTGACTGGAGCTCATGGAGCTCACATCTACTAGGGAGAAAGACTTCTGAACAGACATGAAACTCAGTGTACCAGGCGCCATGTGAACCCAGAGGCTGTGCGAGTCCCTGCTGAAAACCTGCCTGGGGAGCCCCATTTCACCCTGCAGCTCCAGACTCCACCCGGACTCCTGGAGGTTCCCATTGACCCTCAGGCTCCTCAGACTCAACTTGTCCAAAGCTGAACTATGTGATCATGCCTCTGACTCTGTTCCCCAGTGAGCATCCCTAACTCAGTGAATGGCACACAGAGAATCAGCGCTGTGTCACCACTGCTGGAATTCTGGTTCCTCCTAGAGTCCCTCTTCTTCAATCTCCACATCCAACTAGAGATCCATCAGAGTGTCCTTTTCAACAATGTAGGTGACACTGTGCCACTCCTCTGCTGAGAATCCTCCAGTAACGAGCCCTCCCAATCAGGGTAAAATCCTTACTGTGGCCACAAGGCCCTGCCAGTTCTGCCTCCCTCAGCCTCCCTGCACTCATCCCCACCTCACTCTGCTCCAGCCACACTGGCCGTGTGGCAGCTCCTCAAACATTCTAATGATATGACTCACATGTATTATCTCACATAGGTATCTGTGCACCGATGCTTGTCTTTCCCACCTGTGACCTTGAGCACCCTGAATTTATCTTAATTCTTGTTGGATAAATTCACCTTTGTAACCCCCATCCCTAGCACAGTGCCTGGCCACATGGTAAATGTTTGTTTAATGTCTGCCAAATAAATGAATGGGCAAATGCCAGCTGGGATATCCCTGAATGAAGAAAGACCCTAGAGAAATGTACTAGTCTAACTCCTTTGCAGGATTTGGAAGGCGTTTCTCTGTAGTCCTTGCCCTCCTGAAGCACTCTCCAGATGCCCAGGCCAGGAATCAGCGGGGATGGAGTTGCGAAGGCAGGAGAGTGGCAGCCTGTTCAGGAGAGGCTGGGACGCGTGCAGAAGGTTGCTTGGGTGGAGTCCGAGCTCCCCCACCAACATGTTGTGTAGCTTAGAACTTATTATCTCTGTGCCCTTTTATTCTTTCATTTATGGGATGGGATGGGGGATTCCATGGGAAGGCTTCGGAGGCTATTCCTCCTTGAATATTCTAGGATGCTACAAAAGATGGTTTGGGTCCAGACAGACTGGGTCTGGGAGCTCAGCAAAGGAGCCTCGCTTTGGTCTTTTTGGCAGTGCAGTTTCTAAGCAGAAAAGTTTGGCTTCAGAACTTGGTCCATTTCAGAACTTAGAGGCAAAAACTTCCTTCCAGCCCTTTAAACAGACCTTGAGGTTTTTGGAAAACTGATGAAGAACAAACACTTCACTTGCGGGCAGTCTGAGGTGTGTGGAAGCTAAAGAGAGGTTGTCTGTGGCAAATGCACTGTCTCCCCAAGGGAGACTTTGGAAAGGTGCTTTTGTCTGTTTTTAGACTAGCCTCTCTCCCCGCCCCACTATCCCCAAAAATTATTATAAAGAATTATTGCCATTAGTACGTCTTTCCTACTGAAAGGAGAAAATCGCCTCATTCATAATTTATACCCTCAATTACTATTAATAAAGAAATATTTCAGCAGAAAATCGCCTGGGAAAATTACACGTAACATTGCATTAACATTCTATTTGAACATTTTCATCACATTTGTTATAGAGTTAATAAGAGGGATACGGTCCCCTGACTTCTTCATGAAATTATGGGCTGACGATGATAGTTTAATCTTTTAGACTTTATATAATATATTCACTTTACTAATTGAGCTATCCAAGGAGCAGTTAGAGATGTTCTTAAATGTGGAGACAGAGGAATCAGGGCCATGACTTTGCTGCCAGAGGCACCGCCTGTCAGGATGGGGCTGTGGGCAAAGCCTGCTGACTTAGGCACCAGCTCAGACCCCACCCTGGCAGAGCCAGGATCTCTACACTACCTGCTGAGAAGCCAGGGTCTGGTGGGAAGGGGTGTGGGGCTGCTGAGGGGGAACAAGGAGGAAGGGAGAAGGAAGGCCATGGGGAGCTGAGAAAAGGAGACAAAAGGGGCATTTCTTTCTAGACCACTCCTTCAATAGTCATTTGTTTAGACGCCCTCTACCCGCATCGTCCTGGGCCCCAGCAGGAGTTCATAGTCTGAAAGGGGTAGCAGGCCTATGATGGTGTTTGGTATTACACTTGGCAGTGGTTCTAGGTGCTGTGAGCTCCTAGAAGATCGGGCACCCTTGGGACCATCCTATGAAGGCCCCTAGAGACAGGTGCCAGAGAAGGCGCTGCCCCTAAAGGCCTTTGCAGCACAAAGGAAGGAGTTGCTGTTTTTCAGGTCCGAATGGAAGCGATGGGTATATATTTTGGGTAATGGGGAGGAGAGCTGAGCGAAGTTCAGACAGTCCAGTCCTTTGTCACTGCTGTAGTGCCTGTGCTTTTCCATCCCTCATCTCAGTGAACAGCAGCAAAGCTGAGAGGCAGATCTAGTGAGGGTGGAGGTCCTGTTCCTGACTCACCTTCCATGACGCCTTTACTGGGGCTTTTCTTACAAACCCCATCCAGCGCTGTCCCTTTCCCTTGTCCACTTTTCTATGACAGTATTCTGGGGGATCTTTGGTAACATTTCTTCTGAAAATTGCTTGTCTTCTTCCCTACTAGAATGTAGCTGTTTGTCCGTTCCATTTGGCGCTGAATGTCCACCACACAGGAGGCACGCCATGTGTTAAGGACTTATGTTGGACTAAGGAAAGTAAAGTACAGAGGGGTCGGATAATGTCCCCGAGACTATGTGGTTAGATCAGAACAGGCTAAAGCCGAAGTCTCCTCCTTTCTATTTCACCTCTGAGTCTTGGCACCTCTTTTTACTTTATTGATCCAATGTATCAGGAATGGGAAGGCATCCAGACTTCTCCCTCCTTCACGCTCATGTCGCGATGCAGGTCACTGTCATCTCACACTTGTGCTATTGCAATCTTCCTGCTTCCTTTCCGGCCCTCCCACGATCTATTCTTTGCACAGCAGCCAAAATAAGCCTTTAAAAGATAAATCAGGCCGAGTGTGGTGTCTCACACCTGTAATCCCAGCACTTTGGAAGGTCAAGGCGGGTAGGTCATTTGAGGCCAGGAGTTCGAGACCAGCCTGGTCAACATGGTAAAACCCTGTCTCTACTAAAAATACAAAAATTAGCTGGGCATGGTGGTGCGCACGTGTAATCCTAGCTACTCAGGAGGCTGAGGCAGGAGAATCGCTTGAACCCAGGAGGCAGAGGTTGCAGTGCACCAAGATCACACCACTGCATTACCACCTGGGTGACAGAGAGAGACTCCATCTGAAGAAAAAAAAAAAAGATAAATCAGATTATATTACTGCTCTGCTCCTAACTTTTCCAGACCTTCCTATCACACAGAATAAAATCCAGTGTCCTCTTCCCAACCTACAAGACCCTACAGTCTGGCCCCTCTTCCATCTGCTCTCTCTACCACGGCCACATTATCCCCATCGTTCCTTGAATACACTGAGTACCTTCCCCATCAGAGCCTTTGAACTTATTTCCTCTACCTGAAACACTCCTCCTTCGCAGATCCTCATGACTCTCTTCTTCATTTCACTCAGATATCTGCTCAAATGTCACTTCTTCAGAGAGGCCTTTCCTGGCCACCTGCTGTCACTCTCAGCATCTCCTTACCCTGCTCATTTTCCTTCATTTTGCGTGTGCCTACCTGACATGCCACTGTGTCTTTATTTGTTGGTTGCCTACTCCAGCAGTAGAAAGTAAGTTCTACATTCACTGTTAGATTTCTAGCTCCTGGAACATGGTAGGTGCTTAATAAATTTCTTGAATAAATGAATGAATGTTTGCTCTGCTTTTGTCTGCACATGTTCTATCAGGGTGATCTCATGATCTTCCATGTAAATGCTACACCATATGCCAGCAGCTTCTAAATCTTAACTTCAATCCAAATCAATCTCCTGAGCTTCCAACTCACTTTCCAGCCACCTACAGGACATCTCCCCATGTGTCGTATGTCTAACACACATATGTCCAAAATGGAACATACCATTTTTCTCCCTTCTTTAGCTCCCATTTCATTAAATGGCACCACAATCTTAAATGCCCATCCAGAAACCTGAGATTATTACCCCTCTTCCTTTCTCAGACCTCCATCTAATCAATCCCTAAATTCCGTTCATCCTACCCTTAAATAGCTCTCAGATCAGTCCACTTCCCTCCATTTCCAAGGCTCCTAGCCTAGTCCAGGCCACATTGCCATCTCTCACCCCAGTGACTGGGACAGCCTCCAGCTGGTCTCCCTGCCTCCGGTCCTTCCTCTACAGGATGTTTTATGGTTAATCTAAAACATAAATCCTGGAGTCAGAGATAATATCCAGGCTTCTAGTTGAGGAATTAGATGATAATGACTCCTCTCACATTAAATGGAAGAGGAGGCAGTCTGGGGACATGTGACATTTGACTACCTTTGTGGCATTTTAAAACATAGCTGTCTCCTCCCACTAGGTGGCAGAAATCATCTCATTCATCTTTATAGCCTCTGTGTCCTCAGCACCCAGCACAGTGCCTGGCACAGAGCAAGTGCTCTTGAATATTTGTTGCATGTGATTGTACCCTGAAATTCACAAGGGAAGGGACTCTTTGAAACCCAGCCTCGATGGCACCCCGCCACTGCTCTTATAATATGCATCATGTGGTTCTGTAATTCCTGTTTACTCATCTGACTCTTCACTAAATGAAAAGCCCCTCTTTCATAATTAAAGCTCAGCACAAAGTGGGTGCTGAATAATGTTTTGTGAAATCAATGACAAAGTGAATCTCTCTCTGTACATTGCAATATCCTATTTACTGTTCCTTCTACCTCCTTCTGATCTGCTGGCCTCTGCAGCAGCAAGACCAGCCATTCTCCCAGGCAGGTCTTCTCTGGCCCAGCCACTTCTCAGCTCTCTCGGTGTCTGTGACTCATTGCCTCAAGAGTAGCTTTTGATATCTGCCATCAGCTGCTGCCGCTAAGGATTCAGGTCATGCTTGTGTCTCTTCTCTTCAATACCAAGTAACCTTTATTGTCTAAGAGAAATGTTTGGCCCTATAATTTTGCACCATTACTCTACTTGGGGAGAGATACCCATGAGGAAGGATGTTGTTCACCAAGTAAACAATGAAGGGAAAGATCCTCCAGGTGGAAATCACGTTGAATGAAATGGATAAAGATGTGGAGACTTGAAAGAGAAGTTCTCGAGGCCCTCAAAGAAGAAAGCACGCAGGAGAACTGAAGAGAAAGACAGGTGCCAGAATGTGGTACAGGGTAGGGGGAGCTTATAATATAATTATAATATGATAATGATATAATATAAATTATATAATTATTATAAGAGTAATAATGGCTATTATTAATTGAATGCCTAAAACCCTAAAACGTCCCAGGCGATGTGCCAGCTGCTTCACATGCATTATCTCATTTACCCTTCACTAGAACACTATGTGTTGGGTGCCAAGGAGTTTGAACTTCTTCTTGTTTATCTTGAGGATAATGGGGATCCATTGAAGGCTTTGAAGGAGAGTTGCATGGTCAGATTTGCCTGGGCCCTGCCCATGGAATGCTGCATCCAGAAAAAAGAGATGTCAGGATCAGGACAGCCCAGGGGTTATGACTGAGCTATCAGTCCATGAGGACACCGGGCTAGAAAGAAGAGAAGAGACCAGAATCTACAGAAGGAAACCTAGCAGTGGGCATCATGGAAAGCAGACCTGGAGTGGAGCAGAGGCCTAAAGGAGGATCAAGAGCAAGCCTGGAAGGAAATCAGGAGAGTTCATATCAGATAGCATGAGTTTAATGAGTTTACATCCACTGACAGTTGGATATAGGGGTCTGATTTCCCAAGAGGGGCTCAAGGATAGAGATAGAAAATTTGGAATTAATAGACTATAGATGGTAGTTGATTTCATGGAAACATGTCTCCAACAGGACAAAAAACTGAGCTTACTAGGCCCTACATCATCTAACCCTTGCTTACCTCTCTGGAATCATCCCTATGTCCTCTTAGAGTTATTTTCCCTCTGGTCATACTGTAATATTCAGGGCTGGGCGTGGTGGCTCACCCCTGTAATGCCAGCACTTTGGGAGCCCAAGGTGGGTGGATTGCTTGAGCCCAGGAGTTCGAGACCAGCCTGGGCAACACGGCACAACCCCATCTCTACAAAAAATACCAAAAAATATGAGCTGGGCGTGGTGGTGCACACCTGTAGTCTCAGCTACTCAGGAGGCTGAGGTGGGAGCATCACCTGAGCCCAGGGAGATGGAGGCTGTCATGCCACTGGACTCCAGCCTGAGCAACAGAGTGAGACCCTTGTCCTAAATAAATGAATGAATGGATGGATGAGTGAATGAACGAATGAATGAATGAACGAATGAATGAATAAATAAATAAGAAAATAAAAAATAGTGTAATACTCACATTTCCCCAGCTGGGCCATGCTCTTCCTCCTATAGCCCTTGCCCTCTGGAGTGCCTTTTCCTAAACTCTCCCCTCTGTTTGGAATGACCTCTGCCCTATCCCACTTCACTTGGCTAACTCTTACTTGTCCTTCAGGTCATATTTTTAAATTAAGCTTTAAATTTCTTACCATTGAGAAAGTCCAGAACACATGTTTATCCTGTGCTTCCTGCAACTCATGAGTATACTTTCTTACACTGTTCTGTGCTCCAGTTTAAGAAGACTGGGTAACATAGAAAAAGCCTCTCAGGGCTTCACTGTGAATCTTTAATACATTTACTTAGAGAAGCCAGACCCAGACAGTTCACCAGCCCCAAAGCCCAAGAGCCTAAAGCCTGGCCCTTCAGTGCTATTTTGTGAGGGTAAAGGAGTAAGAGAGAGCACCCAGGTCAGCCTGCCCCTGCACTGCCATTAGGGATTCTGCACGTTCATTCCTCCTTTGTTTAATAAGCACATTTGTTTGCTGTGTCTTAGATGTCACTGCCTTTGAGAAGCCTTCCCTGACCTCCAGCCCGGGGTGGGGTGATTCCTCTGTGCTTCCTCAGCCGCCTGTGCTAACCCCTATGGGATTGTTGCTTTTGCTGTGGTTTTGTTGTTGTTGTTGTTTTGCATTTGTGTTTTTTTTTTATTTTTTATTGACTCATAATATTTGTACATATTTACAGATCACATATGACATTTTGTTACATGCATAGAATGTGCAATTACCAAATCAGGGTATTTAGGGTTTCCATCACCTCGAGTATTTGTCATTTCTACGTACTGGAAACATTTCAAGTCCTCTCTTCTAACTATTTTGAAATATACATCATTGTTAACTATAGTCATCCTACTCTGCTATCAAACATTAGAACTTATTCCTTCCATTAGAACTTATTCCTTCCATCTAACTGTATTATTGTACCCATTAACCAACCTCTCTTCATCACACGCACTCCCTGCCCAGCCTCTGGTAACTATCACTCTGTTCTCTACCTCCATGAGATCAACTTTTTTAGCTCCCACATATCAGTGAGAACATGCAGTATTGGTCTTTCTGTGCCTGGTTTATTTCACTTAAACAATGATCTTCACTTCCATCCATGTTGCTGAAAATGACAGGATTTCATTTTTTTAATGGCTAAATAATATACCACATTTTCTTTATCCATTCATCTGTTGGTGGGCACTCAGGTTGACTCTGTATCTTTGCTGTTGTGATTAGTGCTGCAATAAACATGGGAGTCAAGTACGGTGGGCAAAGGACATGAACAGACATTTCTCAAAATAAGACATACAAATGGCCAACAGGTACATGAAAAAATGCTGAGCATCACTAATCACCAGGGAAATGCAAACCAAAACCACAATGAGATACCATCTTACCCAGTTAGAATGGCTATTATTAAAAAGACAAAAAGTAACAGATGCTGGCAAGAATGCGAAGAAAAGGGAACTCTTATACACAGTTGGTGGGAATGTAAATTAGTACAGACGTTATGGAAAACGATATGGAGATTCTCAAAAAACTGAAAATAGAACTACCTTGCAATTCAACAATCCCACTACTGGGTATTTATCCAAAGGGAAGAAATCAGTATATCAAAGGGATCACTGTGCTTTTTATTGCCTGCTCTCCCACTAGTCTGCAAGCTTCTTAAGAAACATTTGTTTAATAAATGAAATAATTGTGTCCCACTGTGTGACATGCTCCATAATGGGCCCTGGGACCACCAGGTTGACGAGGACATGGTCCCTGCCCTTGAGCAACTGCCAGTCTAGCCACTTGATCCTCATCCGTAGAGATCACTTGGGTGATCTACCACTTCACTCAGGTGAACTACCATAGATCACTTCATCAGAGCAACAAATTCCACTTGGGTGAACTACCATAGATCACTTGGGTGAACTAGCATACATTACTTCATCAGAGCAACAAATGCTTTCCAAGTCTGTGCATACACATAATTTTCTTTGATCCTTATAGCAGTTTCTGGGGGATAGTGGTAGATAAGGCAGAGATTAGTTCCCAGACCTTAGCTACCAGGGAGAATAGGGGGTGGCCAGGAGGAGTGAACTTTGTTGGTGAACTTTGTTGTCACAAGTTCACCACTTGAAAGAACAGAGATGGAAGCCATGGGATTCCAGCAGTTCTCCTTTCTCTGGGGCTCCTAAGGGCAGAAGTTTGGCTGCGGGACCAGATCTTACACTGTTTTCATTCCATCTTGAGGCTGATGCCTTCCCTGGCCTTTGGGCATGTAGGATTCCCTCCCAATTCTAGTGCCCCCAGCCTAAGACTGGGGAGCCCTGGGCAAGGAGAAGCCAGTGGCTGGGCTGTGACTGAAGCTCCCCAGCCCAGCCAGGACAGGATGGGCCCCAGTGTAAACCGGATTTGCCTTGTAAACAGCTGAGCAGCTGGGCTCCATCTTGGCAGGGGAGCCCAGCAACAACCCAGCAGGACAGCCCCAGCCCAGCAGGGCATTGTCCAAAGAAAAAGGGGGGAAAAAAGCTGAGTAAACAAAGAGGGATGGCCAGTTTTTTCGTCTCTGACTTGTTATTTCAGCCGGACAATTGCTGTGCTGACTGTGGGTCTGGTTGGGCTGGGCCAAGCTGAAGTCTCAATGATCTTCCTCACCTCATCTCCTCTCTTCTCACCTCAGCTCAACTCACTTTGCCTTCTCTACTCTAGGCTCACTTCTGGGAAAGGGGTCAAAGACGGAAACTGCAGACAAGTGGGGACAGGCTCCAGGAGCCGACAGGAGGGTAAGGAATTGAGCATTTGCCAAGTATATATAGAGGTATATCCAAGGTCTTGTTAGAACACAGAGCAGAGGCTGATACAGCAGATTCAAATAGTCAAGACAGTCTGTCCAACATTGGCTCAGATAGCCCCACTCTGGCTCTCATAGGAAAGTTCACTCTACATTCCAATAATCTTGATACCAAAGTTACATGTGAAACCCTAGGACTGTCTTCCTATCAGGTTTCACATCCAAGCCATCTTCGGCCACTGCCCAAGTACAAGCCCCTGCAGCCTTCTCCAGTATTTTCAGCCCCAAACTGCAGTGCACCCCCTCTTACCCGCTGCCACCTCTCCTCCCAGCTTCTCCCCTCTCCCCACTGCCACCTCTCCTCCCAGCTTCTCCCTTCTCCCCACTGCCACCTCTCCTCCCAGCTTTTCCCTTCTGCCATCTAAAGCAGATTCTCAGCTCTTGACCACCTCAACCTTAGTGCCCTTTATCACCACTTTATGTGTCCATCCCTGATCCTATGCCATTCATTCATTTGACACATATTTAATAGGCATCTACTCTGTGTTCTCAACACTTGAAATAGTGACGAACAAAACCCTGTTACCAAGGAGCTTTTGCTTTAGAAGTGGGAAACAGACAATGAAAAGATACAAGATACTTAAGGGAGTGATCAGTACCACAAAGGAAATAAACAGCGTGGTAAAATACTGGGGACAATGGCTCACGCCTATAATCCCAGCACTGTGGGAGGCCGAGGCGGGTGGATCACTTGAGGTCAGGAGTTTGAGACCCACCTGGCCAACATGGTGAAACCCCATCTCTACTAAAAATACAAAAATTAGTTGGGCGTGTCAAATGCCTTTTTTTTTTTTTTTTGAGAAAGGGTCTCACCCTATCCCCCAGGCTGGAGTGCAATGGCATGATCACAGCTCACTGCAGCCTTGACCTTCTGGGCTCAAGTGATCCTCTTACCTCAGCCTCCAGTCCCAGCTAATTTTTAGATTTTTTGTAGAGACAGGGCCTCACCATGTTGTCCAGGCTGGTCTTGAATTCCTGGGCTCAAACAACCCTCCCACCTCAGCCTCCCAAAGTGGCTCAGATGATGGGTAGAATCTTCCAACCAGATGAATGCAACTGGGATTTTCTTTCTTTCTTTCTTTCTTTCCTTTTTTTTTTTTTTTTTTTGTTGAGACAGAGTCGTGCTCTGTCTCCCAGCCTGGAGTGCAGTGGTGCAATCTTGGCTCTCTGCAACCTCCACCTGCCGGGTTCAAGCAGTTCTCTGACCTCAGCCTCCCAAGTAGCTGGGATTACAGGCGTGGGCCACCATGCCCAGCTCATTTTTTGTATTTCTAGTAGAGATGGGGTTTCACCATGTTGGCCAGGCTGGTCTTGAACTCTGGCCTCAAGTGATCCTCCCAAAGTGCTGGGATTACAGGCATGAGCTACCGCGCCTGGCCAGTGGGATAAGTATTTCAATTTGAGTCCATGCCAAGGGAAGGAAGGCTAAGCTGAAGAGAAGCTCTGGGGGTTATTTGATAGTAAATTTAGAAGAAAGAAGTCGGCAAGTGCTATGGGCCCCCATGCATCTACTATTATTTGGATCCCAGAACACTTCAGGGGATAGAGAGTTCTGTTCCACTCTGCACTTGTCAGGTAGCGGTAGATCCACCTGGAGGACAATGTCCAGTTTGGGAGAAGAGACACTGATCAACAACTCTAATCACTCCCACAGACCACAGACCCTGATAGTTTGCCAAGAATGACACCTGCCTATGGTTTAGCATCCTTGATCTTCACAAATATCCTGAGAGTGGGATAATAACAGTAGCTAATATTTATTGAGTGCTCACAGTGTGCCCAACATTCTTTATTCTGTTTTCCACACAGAAAATCATGCAATCCTCAGGCCGGGTGCGGTGGCTCACGCCTGTAATCCCAGCACTTTGGGAGGCCGAGGCGGGTGGATCACGAGGTCAGGAGATTGAGACCATCCTGGCTAATACAGCGAAACCCCAACTCTACTAAAAATACAAAAAAATTACAGGCAGGCGCCTGTAATCCCAGCTACTCGGGAGGCTGAGGGAGGGGAATCACTTGAACCCAGGAGGCAGTGGTTGTAGTGAGCCGAGATCACGCCACTGCACTCCAGTCTGGGTGACAGATCGAGACTCTGTCTCAGAAAAAAAAAAAAGAAAAAGAAAGAAAGAAAATCATGCAATCTTCATAACAACCAAGAGATGGGTAGACTAACTGCATATTTCAAATGAAGAAGCAGGCAGAGGGGCTTAAGTAACTTGACCAAGACCACACAGTCACTGAGCAGTAGGACCAAGACTCAGACCCAGACTACCGAGGAGTCTGAGCAAAGAAAGGACAGGGAGGCTTGATGGAAATCAACACTAGTTGCTTTACTAAGTGCTAGTGTGCTGCATCTTAATCTCTCCCTAGACTTGGACCCCCAGTCTGAGCTTTGACTCTTGAGTTCTGGCGCTGTGGGGCCTAAGAACAGGGTGGCTCCATCACTGGGGCAAGCAGCCTCTTACATGTGAGCCTGTTTGTCTAAGGGCAAGAATGGGGAAAACTGTGTACTTGAAGCTATTTGCTAGGACTTTGGGACAGTTGGTTCTGGACACTCATCCGAGACAACCAGCTATTTGTGGATATTGTTTATTCTTTCTGCTCCTCTCCTCATACTGTGACTTCTGCTGACCTCCTCTGCTTAAGTAAGTCCCCACTGAGGTCCTGACCTATCTTTGGACCATGTCCTGAAGAAGTTGTTCCAGGCCAGGCATGGTGGCTCAAGCCTTCGGGAGGCTGAGGTGGGTAGATTGCTTGAGTCCAGGAGTTTGAGACCAGCCTGGGCAACATGGTGAGAATCCATCTCTATAAAAAATACCAAAAAATTAGCCAGGTGTGGTGGCGTGCATCTGTAGTCCCAGCTACTGGGAGGCTAAGGTGAGAGGATCACTTGAGCCTAGGAGGCAGAGGTTGCAGTGAGCCATGTCATGCCACTGCACTCCAGCCAGGGCAACAGAGCAAGACCCTGTCTCACAAAAAAAAAAAAAAAAAAAAAAAAAAAGAAAGAAAAGAAAGAAAGAAAGAAAAGAAAAGAAAAAGAAAGAAAGAAAGAAGAAATTGTTCCATGGAGAAGGTTGTCCCTTCATCTAGTGTTAGGATAAAGAAACTGAATCTCAAAAAGATGAAGAAACTTACTCAAATTCCTGTTGCTATTACATAATGAAGCTGGGATTTTGAACCTTGGGCCTCCAACTCCAGATGCTGTGCTTTTTTCCCCTTTTCCCACCATGACAATAGAAAATGGGCCTAATGTTCTCAGCAGAATAGAACTGGAGTGCCTATGGGTCAGGATATTTGAAATCGGGTCATGTTGGAAATCACTGAATGGACTAGAAATGTTCAACTTAGAGAAAAGAAGACTCCAGGGGACATTATTGTTGTTTTTAGATTTCCAAAAGGCTATTGTGTGGGACAGAGATCAAACCTTTTCTGTCTGAGCCCAAGAGTTTAAACACAGACCAGTGGGTGGAACTTCCAGGGAAATAGATTTTAGCTCAAGCTGTGTGTGAACTTTCTAAACAGCCGAAGCTCCCCAGAGCAGCAAAGCCGCCTGAGGATGTCTGGAGCCTCCTGGCCTCGGAGGTGTTTGGGCAGGCCACCTATTAGGAAGATTGTGAAGACAGGCTAGACCATAAGACCCTTTGAGGCTTTATAGAGAACAGTCTGGGGTTCTGGGCTCCAATCCCAGCCTCTCCCAGCCTTCAGAGCTCTGGAAGCTGCTGAGTGCCACACCTGCCACCTGACCTGCTCTGCTGGTTGTGTGTCCCTCCTTCCCAAAGCATCCTCCAGCTTCTCCAGGAGACTGAGGAGTGGACAGTGGCATGCCTAGGGCCTGTGTCCATTCGCTGTGTGGCCGCCTTCTCCAGGCCTTGCTCTTCCCTTGATTTTGAATAGAGCTTCCTAGAGCAGGAAGTGGAGTCAAGGCCATGCCCAGAGCCAGAGTCTGGGCCAGGAGAACTTCATGGGAGAAAGGCTCATCTGTGCTTAAGAGCTGAGGTCTAGGCCAAGCCTTGGCTGAGAGAGAGAGTGTCCGGAAGGACTGCCTGTCTGGTGCTGATCGGGGAAGGTTCATTTGATGACATCTTCATTAGGATTTTCCTCTCATCATACGGACTCTGCACCACACTCACACACATATATAACTATTGGAAAAACGATTTTAATACCCATGGCACATTGTCCTTGTGTGATATAAAATCCAATGACATGTGGCATTTGGAAAAGGTCACTTCTCCCATCAGGATTCATTAGCCTGTTTCAGCCTCTACGCCGGCAGGACAGGTCCCAGCTGCTTGTCCCCTGCAGTGAGGCCAGTTGGACAGGTGGAGCCTACAGGGACCCTCCCTGGAGAGCAAAGGGCCTCCCCAGGGTGCCGGCCAGGGAATCCCTGCTTTGGCCAAGCTCTTTCCCACACATGCCTGGGGAGTAGGGAAGGGTGGTTTCCAGAAAAAATGAAACCTCTGGCCAGGCAACCATGGCTTTCAGGTCTGGAGTGCATGGGAAACGGAAAGTCAGGACCAAACCCTCAGTGTTTTTCCTAAGACGATCATCCTTTGGCAGAGAGGGACCTTTGAGGGACTCTGGAGAGAGAGCTGAGGGACAGGGTGGATGCAAAGAGGAGGCAAAGGACATGAGGGAAGAAAGAGTCCTAGGGGGCTGGGGTGGGCAGGATCCTGGGCCTTCCTCTGGGAACCTGACTGGAACCTGGGATCTGCTGGTGTTCTCTATTCATTCCTCTTTGGCAAAGCTAGGACCCAAGCCTGCTCTTCTTGCTCCATTCTTGTGTTCCTTGTGTGCTGGGGTTTCATCTCTAGGTGTGAAGCAGCTGTGCCCACTAGCCAGGTCAATGGAAATGGACATTTTCTGTCAATGCTGGTGTCAATGTGGCCAAGGGAAGCGCCCACCAGCACCAGCATCTATGCCTCCCTGACTTTCCACATTCGGCCTGGCCAGCACTCACCTTGGGAAGTTACTTCCTTACAGCTAAACGGAGCTGCTTCTCAGATCCTTGGGCTGTTGGTTTGTTTGATGGGAGTCACCAGATCACAGAAGAACTCTAGTTGCAGAGTGGAAGAATGAGGACAGTCAAAGGAAGAGAGAAGACTTTGAAAAAACTAGAGCTGGAAACCAAGAAGCCAGTAAGCTTGGATGAGGGGAACGGGAAAGAGATGCACCCTAAGGCAAAGCCTGAGAAACTGGCAGCCCACAAAAGCAGGGGTCCTGCTCCTGAGCGGCAATGTCCATCCACTCCCACATCCATGCACCCCTCTTATATGTCTGTTCTTGCCGTCCAGTATTTAAAGGATGGGAAAAGAAGGGCCCTCCAGCAAAGAGAATAATGGGTGCCCAGTGATGCAGGAAGAAACAGGGGACTGAGGTACCCAAAGCCAAGTAAAAAATTCAAGAAGAAGCGAGTGGTGCCGGGCGCGGTGGCTCACGCCTGTAATCCCAGCACGTTGGGAGGCCGAGGCAGGTGGATCACTTGAGGTTAGGAGTTTGAGACCAGCCTGGCCAATATGGTGAAACCCCATCTCTACTAAAAATACAAAAATTAGCTGGGCGTGGTGGCAGGCGCCTCTAATCCCAGCTACTCAGGAGGCTGAGGCAGGAGAATTGATTGAATCCGGAAGGCGGAGGTTGCAGTGAGCAAAGATCGCGTTACTGCACTCCAGCCTGGCCAACATAGTGAGACTACATCTCAAAAAAAAAAAAAAAAAGGCACTTTGGGAGGCCGAGGCGGGTGGATCACCTGAGGTCAGGAGTTCGAGATCAGCCTGGCCAACATAGTGAAACCCCATCTCTACTAAAAATACCAAAAATTAGCCTGTAATCCCAGCTATTCAGGAGGCTGAGACAGGAGAATCGCTTGAACCCGGGAGGTGGAGGTTGCAGTGAGTCGAGATCACGCCATTGCCCTCCAGCCTGGGCAACAAGAGCAAAACTCCATTTCCAAAAAAGAAGAAGAAGAAGGGAGTGATCTACTGAGCTCAAGTCACTGTCCGTGGAGTCCGGTGAGGATTACTGAGACTTAACCATCAGAACTGGCAAAAAGGGAACGCTTGTCAATCCCAGCCAGAGCGCTTTCAAGACAATATGAGAGGGGAAAAAGAGAAAATGATGAATATCAGTTTCTCTTTTGAATTTTGCTTCCAGAAGCAGATATATATATATATATACTTATACAAAGATTCATTATTCATGTGAGAAACATTTATTGAGGCTCTAATCTCTGCAGGTTCTATTCTAGGCTCCGTGTACCCAGAAGTAAGCAGCACAGTCCTTGCCCTTGGCTTCTCGCAAAGTAATCAGTGAATGAATGGGATGAAGCCTCACTTCTCCCACTGACAATTTTAGCTTCATTTTCATAGCTGTTCAAACAGATACTAGAAATCTGTGCCCTCTCTGTTTATGAAGTTCAGCATGTCCCAGCTTTTCTAACCTGTCCCTATTCCAAATGTTTTGACCTATTGCCATACCATGTAGTCACACTGGATTCTAATTTTTGATTTAGAAAATGTGGTCATTACTGGATTATTTCGAGAATCAAAAGAATCAAAGAACATCACTTCTGTGATGTGCTAAGTGCTCTATCAGTAGAAGGCATTATTCAAAACTGGCTTAGACTAGAGAGGCAGGTTCAGCCACTTCTTTCTTTGTGCATTCAGGGTAACCTGTACGTCCTTCCTTCCCAGCACCAATCTCCTTTCTTTTTAATGTGTTTTAAGGTATGTGCCTCTCATTCCAAATTGTATCTGACACAGGGCCTGGCACGCAGTCTAATTTCTCAGTAAAGATTTATTGAATTTCTGAATGGATGGATAAATGGTGGGGGCATAGACAAGTAGACAGCAAATTATGATTTAAGACAGAATGAAATGATAATTACCACCACTAACATTTTTTGAGGACTTACTATATACAAATCCAATGCTAGTTCCTTTACATGCATTCTCTCACATCATTCTCACAGCTACAACATGAGGTACATAGCATCGTGTCTCTTCCAGATGAGGAAACAGAGGCTCAGAGAGGTTAAATGACTTGCCCAAGACACCAAGGTCACCTGAAGACCTGGGAACTCCAGCTCGAGCAGCCCAGGCTGCTCACCCTGACCTAGCCAGAGGGTTACAGGAAATGTCCTTTGGCCCTTAGATTGTCCCTCCTTTGGTCCACTCAATTCAGAACCCAGACAATTGGCCATGAACCCACCACTTACGTCTTCACCCCTCCTTCATCAGGGCGGGTCAAGCTAGTCCAACCCTAGCAGCCGCTAGGAAGGAGCTGTCCAGAGCGTGGTTCATTCCTCTTTTATAGCCCTTGTCAAATTCCAAAGCAAGTCGTAAATTCATTAACCTCGTAGGGATTAAGCTGTGCAGCTTACTTAGCACCATAAACAAGATCATTGGGATGTTGATTTTCCCCTTTTATTGCTGCACTCAGGAAAGCCTAGCTGGCTCCAGCTCTGGAAATAGGAGTTGGCTCCCCTGAAGGTTGTCAGGATGGTGGGGAAACCCTAGCTGGCTGTCCCTCAGTAGTTGCAGGTACTGGAACGTGGGGCTCAGGTATATGTAGCCCAAGAATTGCTCCCCAAGCTTGTCTTGGCACAGCCAGAAGTAACATTTCTTTTTGTTTTTTGTTTGTTTGTTTGCTTTTTTCTTTTGAGACTGAGTCTCACTCTGTCGCCTAGGCTGGAGTGCAGTGGCGCCATCTCAGCTCGCTGCAACCTCTGCCTCCCAGGTTCAAGTGATTCTCCTGCCTCAGCCTCCCAAATAGCTGGGATTGCAGGTGCCTGCCGCCACGCCTGGCTACTTTTTGTATTTTTAGTAGAGACGGGGTTTCACCATGTTGGCCAGGCTGGTCTCGAACTCCTGACCTCAAGTGATCTGCCCACTTCCGCCTCCCAAAGTGCTGGGATTACAGGCGTGAGCCACCACGCCCAGCCCAGAAGTAGCATTTCTAATCCAGTTGCCTGAGCTGTCACCATGCATCCTAGGGAAAGGCAGAGGAGAGAAGCCCAAATGTCTACCCACCAGGTCACCTGGCTCTCCTGACAAAGATGGTATTAAGATGTCATCTCCCGTCTCCTGACTCCCCAGGCCCCGTGGGTTTCCTCTAGTGCCTCTCGTCCCCAGGTCTGTTTAACCCATCTATCTCTCCAGTAGACTAATGTCCCTCACTAGCAGGAACTGTTCCCTCTGCTAGCACTTGGGATCCCATTTCCTCATGTCCGTCTGAAGCCTGGCTCCAGCAGTGATCCTCTGTCCTGGAGCTCCAACTCTCTTTCATACACCAAAAAGAAAATCCAGACCCTGTGCTTCCTAAGACAACGGCAATCCCTCTCTCTCCTCCCTCCAACTTCTGGAACAGTGTCATGCCTGACATCTGTCTGCACTGCTTCCCTCCCATTCACTCCGTTAACCATGGCTGTTCTACCTAAGTCCCTACCTCTCCCTTGACCCTGCTTTTGCCAAGGTCAGCAACAACTTCAAACTATCAAATCCAATAGATGCATTTCAGTCATTTGTTTGTCATCTCTTACTCAGCAGATATTTAGTGGGATCCTAGGGGCTGGTGACACAAGAGTGAGCAAAACAGAACAAAGCAGAGACCACGAGAAGTTAAATATAGCACAGTGACCATAAGCACAGCCTCCACCTAGGTTCATACCTTGGCTCTGCTGTGTGACCTTGGGCAAGTTCCTTAACCTCTCTCTTTTTCTCATCTCTAAAATGGGATAATCATAGCACCGTTGGGAAGATTGTTGTGAGATTGTCTGACCTTTAGGTCAGAGCATGGTGCACAGCAGGTGCTCTGGCTATGTTTGGTTTAGGTAATTTGCCTAACATTATACCCTGGCAAGCAGCAGACCAGGCTGTAGACCCGAATCTACCTGACTCCAAAACCTTCACTCTCTGTTGTCATCAGGCTGCCTCCCTGTTCTTCCTGCCTCCCACCTCCACCCCCATTGCCCTGTGCTATTTGGGCTTTGCATAGGGTAGTTACCTGGAAAACATTTGTTTAATGTAATAATTTAATCAGTAGTTCTGTGTTTGGGGAGTCTAGGTAGTTATTTAATGGGAAGAAATGAGGTGGTGGAAAGGGAGCTGTTTTGAAGAGAAGATAATTATTTCTGACTTAACATGTTTCACTGGAGGTGACAATGGAGAGTCCAAATGGACATGTCCTTTGGGCAGTTGACAATTCGGTGTGGGCATTCAGGAGAGACATCAAATTGGAGGCAGGTTTGGGAGTCCTGGAAAGTTGACGTTCAAGAGGGTAAAAAGATAAATTCTCTAAGAGCAAAGGGCACAGCAGTGACAAGGTCCCCGGATCAGGTCAGTGGAAGAGGCATGAGGGACAAGGTAAGGATAGAGGGTGGTGTGGAAAGGAGGACAGGAGCGCTGAGGAAGAGCCCCAGATGCCTGAGGAGGGGGTCACAGCTCCAGGGACCCAGGGAGCTGCTGCGGATGACACCAGGACAGCGATAAGAGCTCCATCCCAGACGGTGGGGAAGGAAATGAGGCGACAGGCACAGGTCCTTGTTCCAGGAGGCAGACTAGAAGACAGAAGAAAGGAAGGAGATAGAGGAAGCGGCAAGGTCCAGGGAAGGGTTGGCCCTTTTAGGAGACAGTTACACACAACGTAGAAGACAGAGGAGAAAGGACCGCTCTCGTGGCAAAAATGCAAGAGCGAGAGGAATATCGCAAGGGCAAGGTCCCTGCTGAGGATGGAGAGAAGTGGCTCTAAGGGACAGTAGGCACTGGTTTTGGAGAAAAGACAAAAGTTCTGAAAATTGAGGGAAGATGGAAAATCAAGTGGAGGCAATGGATATTAAGCTGAAGAGAGAAGTGGCTAACTCCTTTTACATGGGGTTCTCAGTAACCGCATCATAACAATGATAATTAAAAGTTTATATATGAAATATTGTCCCCCTCCAGTCTCTACCGGAGACACCTCAACTGCCCTTGGATGGGCAGTTGATCCCTTAACAACATGGGCAAATTCCCCCTAATTCCCAGTTCCTTCTGTTTTTTTTAAAGTTGGTGCAGTTTGAAATTCCACTATTGTATCTTCTTCTCTTCTTCTTCCTTTTTTTTTTTTTTTTTTTTGAGACGGAGTCTTGTTCTGTCACCCAAGCTAGAGTGCAGTGGCACAATCTCGGCTCACGGCAACCTCTGCCTCCCAGGTTCAAGTCATTCTCCTGCCTCAGCCTCCCTACTAGCTGGGATTACAGGCACCCGCCACCACGCCTGGCTAATTTTTATATTTTTAGTGAAGACAGGTTTCACCATGTTGGCCAGGCTGGTCTCAAACTCCTGACCTCAGGTGATCTGCCCACCTCAGCCTCCCAAATTGCTGGGATTACAGGCATGAGCCACCACGCCCGGCCACTGTTGTATCTTCTTTAAGGCATTTTTCCCCTTCTCTTCATCACCTTGTGGCAAGGAGGGGGTGGAAAGAGATGGGGAACATTCCCGCCCCCTCTGTGCTGGCCTCGGCTCCTTTGACAGGGAAGAGGGAGGGGGTGGAATGGTCTCTCTTGCCCCGCAGGCTGCTGTAGTCTAGCTCTCTGGTGGTATTAGTTTCCCTGGCCAACAGACAGGCATCAGGGTTCTCTGTAGGGCTGGTTCTCTTCTAGGGCACATGTGTTCCGATAACTTAACCTGCTTGAGCCTTTGTTTCCTCTTCTGTAAAATGAGTAGCTCTGGCTTGGACCGGCCTTACAGGGGCAGTGTTAAGGATTAGACAAATGCTTGTAAAGCACCTTAGACACAGTGCTTGCTCCACAAATGAACTCCCATTACCAGATGCGTGCGTGAGATAGCTCCTGGCATGAATGTGCATTTGCGGCTATGTCCAGATGTGTGTGTGTACCTGTGTGTGCAAGGGAGAGTTATGTGTGGGCTGGGGATGGGGCACCCTTGTGAGTCAGCTATTGCCTGTGTCATTGCCTACAGCTGACCCCGAGGCCATAAATCCTGCCTCTGTACCCGCTAGAGTGAACACCTTATAGCCCAAGGTCAGGCCCATGAATCATAAGCGGCGCTGGCAGGAAGCAATCAGGCAGGGCTGGGTAGAGCTGGGCAAGAGAAGGTCCCAGTATTTGGACCACTTGAAGAGGAGCCCTGGGCATATCCTGCAATCCTGATCTCTGGGAGCCGGGCTGTTCTCAGCAGGACGGCAGCTCCCATGGAGGCTCGCTGGCAGGGAGCCCTTCTCTACTTGACCGCATCTCTCCTGCTGGGGCTGCCAAGCGGCAGACCTGCCCTGCCAAGACAGGCCTGTCCTGCATCCCGGGCACCAGCACGGCCAGTAGGCGAGCTGCTCTTCAGGCCTTTCCCTTGGAGGCTTCAGAGTCCTTAGCCCAGCACGCTCAGCCTGGTGGATGTGGAGTAGCCGCCCTCTAAGCCAGATGATTTTATTTCTTCTTTGCCTTTCCAATCTGTCTTGGGGAAAGTGGCCCCAATAAGGCAGTCCTTTCACTCTGAAACCTTTTTATGACTCCAACCATAATTAACTCGAGTAATAAAATTTTTCAAATCCAAATAGATATAATTAACATTTAATGCCCCTGGTTGGTGCTGGTAGCTGGGCCCATTAAGAGCACAGTATTGATTGAGAAGGTGAGCCAGCTGGGCCGACTGCTGGGCCAGGGGGCAGAGGTGGCTGGAGCTTAGGGCTGGCTATGAGCAGGGCCCCAGCACAGGTGTGAGGAGGGTGGCAGGTGACCAAACCCCAACCCTACCTGGGGTTCAGGTCATGACTACCGAGGCTGGGGTGGACTTCTTCCTGCCATCAGTTTCTAGTGGCTCTCCCACCTTCAGACTCTGCCATCTCAGGCCTCTCCTGCCATGAAGTACTTCTCCACCAACCCTCACCCTGCCTGTCATGTGCCTGAGGCCTGCCTCCTCTCCTAGAATTTATCAGGCTTCCCAGGACAAGGCTGTGTCTTCTCTCTGAGGGGCCCCCTGGCTCCAGGGCATGCCCCTTCCCACTATTTCTCCTTTCTGACTTGCCTGCTCAGCTGTGTGCTGCAGGTTGAACTTTAAACCCACTGGTCAGATGAAAAGCCATATCTGTCTTCTAGACATGACTTACACCTCCCACCAAACTTCACTTTCCCCAGGAAGCTATACAGTGAGACAGTGCCAGAAGCATTCATTTGAATCCCAACCCTCCATTTCCCAGCTGTGTGACCTTCGGCAAGTCACCATGTTTCCCTGAGCCCCAGTGTTCTTATCTGTGAAATAGGTATAACAAGAATATCCACCTCCTGGCCGGGCGTGGTGGCTCACGCCTGTAATCCCAGCACTTTGGGAGGCCGAGGTGGGCGGATCATGAGGTCAGGAGATCGAGACCATCCTGGCTAACATGGTGAAACCCCGTCTCTACTAAAAATACGAAAAATTAGCCAAGCGTGGTGACGGGCGCCTGTAGTCCCAGCTACTCGGGAGGCTGAGGCGGGAGAATGGCGTGAACCCAGGAGGAGGAGCTTGCAGTGAGCTGAGATCATGCCACTGCACTCCAGCCTGGGTGACAGAGCGAGACTGCATCTCAAAAAAAAAAAAAAAAAGGAATATCCACCTCCTAAAGGTGGAGTCATAACAGTCTTGACCTCACTTAGGTTTCACAGGATTCCCAGGTCATAGGAATTACTGTCTCCATTTTACATGGAAAAACTGGCTTAAGGAGGCAAAATCCTCATCCCTTGTGTCTTATATTTCTGTCTCTACCAATAGTTAATTTAATATATGTTTATAAACAACACCTAAGCTGGGACTACAAAGAATATGATGATTCCTTGACTCAAGGTGCTCGTGGTCTGGGGGTATGAGGCAGGGAGAAGGGGTGCACACAATCAGCTGGTTTAAGTTAAGGCTGCACGGGAGGTGAGCAGGCTCTGGACCCTGGTGCAAATTAAGATGCAAAACGCTACAGGAAAAATGGGTGAAGGTCATGGGCCCAAGGCAAAGCCAGATATGGGGATGGACAGGGCACAGTGGGGCTGATGTGTGTGGTTCTGTGGCAGTGCGGATGCTGGCCCAGGTATGGTCTTCAGAGCATGCGTTTTCTGTGATGATCCCTGAGCCAAGGAGCAGGCTGGTACCAGGATTCACAGGTGTGGTTTAGGACATCCCAGCTCATCCACTCAGCATGTTAGAAGGACCAGCCTTCCAGGCAATCACTCATATGAGGCCCTTTGGTGAGCTGGGCAGCCCAAGCCCTGCTGGGCAAGGAAAGTCCGGGGAGGGGCTGAAATCCTTCCTCCATCCAACTTTGCTACTACTGTGTCCCCCTGCTCCCAAGCTTGTGGTCCTGTGCTCTCCATGATCTCAGTATTCTCCATCCTTCACGGGGCTTCCTCTCAGTGGTACTTTCCCAGCCTGCAGGAGCCCCATGCTTCCTCAGAGCTCTCATGGCTCAACAGTGGCTTTATATGTAGGGCCCTGAATACATCCTGCTTTAGGCTAGGTCTTGCATTGAACTAAACTTGGGTGATTCTCTGCTGTGTCCGGTTCCCCGCTCCCCAGAATGTTTGCCCCTGGCAGGCTCTGTTCTTTCAGTCCAGCTCCATGCCCAGTGCTATTACTCAGGAGGCCATGGGGAGTGGATGCCGCTGATACCAGAGATGATGAATAGGAAGCGGGGGGGCCAGGGAGGATTCATTCACCTTCCACTAATTCATTCATTTGATGTCACTCACTGTGCCAGGCCCTGTTAAAGAAATAGACAAGTAAAAGTGTAATCACAATTAGGGAAGTCTTGGGGGCTAGAGGACACACAATCTAGCCAGATGCTTCTGATAGTACTGCCTCCTAGAAGAGTTAACCTTGAAGCTGAGCCCTGGAAGATAGTTTTCCAGGCAGAGGGAACAGCATGGTTTTTGTTTTGTTTTGTTTTTTGCTGTTTGGTTTTTCTTTGAGATGGAGTTTCGCTCTTATCACCCAGGCTGGAGTGCAGTGGCATGATCTCAGCTCACTGCAACCTCCGCCTCCTAGGTTCAAGCGATTCTCCTGCCTCAGCCTCCCGAGTAACTGGGATTACAGGCACCCACCACGCCATTTTTATATTTTTGGTAGAGACAAGGTTTCACCATGTTGGCCAGGCAGGTCTCGAACTCCTGACCTCAGATGATCTGTCCACCTCCGCCTCCCAAAATGCTGGGATTACAGGCATGAGCCACTGCACCCAGCCAGGAACAACATGTTTAAAGACCCATTTGAGAAACCAAAAGAATTCAGTGGGACCAAGACAATGGTGTGCAAGGTGAGAGGCAGCAAGAGAGGAGGCTGGCAGGTCACCTATCGTCCATGCGCAATGCCCTTGCAGGCCTTGCTAAGGAATCTAAGTCCTTTCAAGTCCCAGAGCCATTATGCACTTGCAGTGGGACTTAGGTATCTTGCTTGACTTCTCTGAGTCTTGGTTTTATTCTTACTAAGTGAGGTCAGTAATTCCAGCTACGTCCGCCATGTCTAAGGATCCAACTGCCTTGTGCTGGGCCAGTCCCTGGCTTATTAGGGTGTGGTTAGAGGCATGGCCAGAGCGTGAACTTCTGCAAAGGAATATTCTAGTCACAAGCCACAATTTCCTGTCTAAATATTGAGGGGGCAACAACATGGTCTATAAGTCCTCCCGGCTCTGAAATGCCCGCAGAAAGAAGGCCCATGGGAGGCCCCACTCACCTTTAGAGCCTGGACCCTCTCACTCCTCTGTCCTCCTCCTCCTCCAGCCATACTAGTCCTGCTGGGCTGCCTCTGGGCCTTTGTCTTAATTTTCACTCCACTCTTCCTTCTCTTGCCATCTGACACTCCAGACTTCTCTCCTCCAGGAAGCCCTCTCCACCTCCGAGCCCTGACCTCCTCCTCCTCCTCCTTACTCCTCACTTCATCCTCACAGTGGTATCTTAGGTGCTCAAGCCGTCCCCCATCCTGTGAGCTTCTGAGCCTGGGCCTCACTCCTTACTCCACACCCCCAGAGGACTGGCCCACAATCTTTGAGGGTGTTCCAGGACTAAGTTTGGAAAAGGACATGATAAAAATGAAAGGAATGAGAGAAGAAGGAAGGGAGAAACAGACCAACAGACAGAGAGAGAGAGGGCGAGGGAAGGCTCTGCCTCAAGCCAACCCAGCCTCAGTCGTGGTATACTTCCCCGAATTCCTTCCCGCAGCACCACTCTGTGCTTAGAACCAAGAGCTAGGAGAGCAAGGGAGCCTGGGACTGGCACTTTTCAGCTAGGGGGAGCTGGTGGTGGCAGGGCAGAGAGGCCCATTGCGCAGCTGGTAACAGGCTGTGCCTGGCCAGGCCTCCCAGCTGCCCCTCTGTCTCAGGCCCTTATTGCACACAACATCCAGCCCAGCCCCCTACGCAGCTGCCTTCCTCATGACACAGCCCTGTGTTGTCCTGTTGGCCACTGACCACTGTGCCTGGGGAAGGGCCAGGCCTTCCTGGGAGGAGGAACTCGAGAGCCTGTGGGCTCCCAGGTTGGCAGCCCCCGCCCTCTGCACTCCCAGGCCCATACCTGCTCTGTGATTCCCCGCTTGGGGCAGGAAGGCATGCTGAGAGCCACTCTGCAAGTCCCTGTGCTTCAGGTGGTACACGCTCCTCTCATTCATTTGTTAAAGCAAGGTGGGGGTGAGTATTATCATCCTCAGTCTCTAGGTGGGGAAAAGAAGACTCGGATGGGTTACAGCAGTTGCCCAAAGACACATGGCTAGCCATGCTTCCAGGTGCTTTCAAGACCAGGTCTCCCCGAGGCCAAAGCTCATGTTCTGCCCTCCCAGCTCTTTGCCTAACTCCTGTTCCCTATGACAGCCCAGCCCTGGCCCTCGCATTCTGCCTACAATGGAGCCACCAGGATAGGACGCAGGGAGTGGGAGTAGAGGGGGATGCCATGTGGAGAGAAATGAGGATATAAGCTTGAGGAGAGAGGAAGGAGTTTTTGATGGGGGGGATGGGCCCAGAGCTGCCATGGTGTCTCTACAGCTCTCTCTTTTGGTCACAGAAGCCCAGCAGGCAGACACAGAACAGATCCAGGAGCAGACCATACCCAATCTTCTCTCCCAACACAGGCCCAAGCCTGAGCCAGCCCACAGGGACCCACCAGTTTGTTTGGCAAAGCCCTTTTCCCTGTTCCATCCCATGCCCTAGACCCGCAGAGGGCAGCAAGAGATGAGACCCACTGTCCTATCACAGTCCTGATAAGGATTTCTTTGACCAGATGTTTTCAGTGTAGGAGTCAGAACACAGCATCGGACTATTAGGAGCCCAAAGTTTCATTTTTAAGCTTTCGACCAACATGACCTCAGGCAACTTTTACCTTTCCCTATCTAAAGAAATTTTTCATATCTAAAGTGCTAAATATCACAAGATATCAATAATAATAACAGGCCAGGGTGGTGCCTCATGTCTGTAATCCCAGCATTTTGGGAGGCCAAGGCAAGAGGATCGCTTGAGCCCAAGAGTTGAAGACCAGCCTGGGCAACATAGTGAGAGCCTGTTTCTACAAAAAATAAAAACTACCTGGGCATGGTGGCACAGGCCTGTATCCCAGCTCCTCAGGAGGCTGAGGTAAGATGATCATCTGAGCTCAAGAGTTCGAGGGTTCAGTGAGCTAGGATCGCCACTGCACCAGCCTGGGTGACAGAGTGAGACCCTGTCTCAAAAAAATTTTTAAATGATATAAAATAAAATAATTGCACTCTTAAAAATCACAAAATATGAGACTTAAAAGGGATAAACTCTTGGCCGGGCATGGTGGCTCACGCCTATAATCCCAGCACTTTGGGAGGCCAAGGCGTGGGTGGATCATTTGAGGTCAGGAGTTCAAGACCAGCCTGGCCAACATGGTGAAACCCTGACTCTACTAAAAATACAAAAATTAGCCGGGCATGGTGGTGGGCACCTGTAATCCCAGCTACTTGGGAGGCTGAGGCAGGAGAATCGCTTGAGCCTGGGAGGCGGAGGTTGCAGTGAGCTGAGATGGCACCACTGTACTCCAGCCTGGGTGACAGAGTGAGACCCCATCTCAAAAGAAAAAAAAAAAAGGGATAAACTCTTATAGTCCAGCTTGAATAACAACCTACCACCCCTGCAGGAATCCGCTTCTGCACTACCCAGAAGGGCCAGGCAGTGGACAGAAAAAGAAAAGTGAAAGGCCCCCAAGAGAAACTTTGATTTGAAAAGAAAAGCCCTGGAGGGCGCTTTGCCTCCCCCCCTCCCTCCTTGTTACTTCATTCCCTCCTCCTCCTTTCACTCCCTCCATCCTACCCCCTTCACCTGCACTTGGGACTGGGCTAATGGACATGCTTCCTCCCAGCCTTCCCCACGTCCCAGGAAGTGGAGCCCATCGGGCAGAGCAGAGCCGTACGGGGTAAGGCAGAGACAGAACTTTCCCCAACAGAAATGGCCTTGCAGGGAGAGTCTGGGAGAGCAGGGAGAGCCTGTTCTCAACTAGACTGCCAAATTGCTCTTTTCCTTTGTCTGGAGCAATGCCTGAGCTCCCTTGCTGAGTTCTGTAAGAGCCTGATCCAGGCATGTGTCCCCAGACCCTATTGCCCCACCGCCCTGGCTCAGGCTGGTATCCAGAAGAAGGTATGGCAGAGGACCAGGAAGGTTATCAGAGAGGCTAAGGGGGCATTCGGTCTTGGGACAGGACTGAAGCAATCAATAGCCCATTGGGAACTGGGGTTAATTTGGGGAATTTGGATTGGATTGGATTGAAGTTTAGGACTTGGGCTAGGAGGTAGGGCTGGGTTGGTTCAAAGTACTGGAGTTAGGTTTAGGTTCAGAGCTTCTCTAGAAACTGCCCAACTCATGCTGGTCTAGCTAAGCCCATCTCCAAAAAAAGAGGGGGCTCTACCCTTGGCCTCTGATTCGGGGCTTTATTTAAAGACATAGGAGTGAGGGTGAAGATTGGCTTTGGAAGACAGCAGAGCCAGTGCCTCCCCACTATGGAGCCGTTTAGTTAGGACCTTGCCACTCAAAGAGCATCCACAGACCCGCAGCACTGGTCTCACCTAGGAGCTTGGTAGAAATGCAAAATCTAGGATCCACTCTAGAGCTGCTGAATCAGAATCTGCGTTTTAGATTAACCTCCAAGTGTTCCATGGACACTTAAAGAAAGTGTGAGAAGCCTGGTGAAGGCTCTGAGTGAAGGAAGGCCCGAGGTAGGGGTGGGAGGCCAAAGGGCACCCAACACCTCGGCCGGCTCCGGGGCCCCTGCCTAACACCCCCTCCCAGTGCTGGAGCCACAGCGACACCTACTGGCCACGGACACCTAGGCCACCCCCTCCAGGACGCCCGGGCCCTGTGGTCCATCTGGCCCAGCCAGTCCTGCACCCTGAAGCTGGCATTCCTGAGTTCTGGGAATCTGGCTCCCCGGGACAGACTAGGGGAGCAGGTACAGGATGGGCCAGGGCTCAGTGCACAGCAGGGTTGTGTGCAGGCTGGGGCTCTGGGGCCTCAGTGTGAAGAAGACAGGATCAGTAAGCAGGTGTTTTCTCAGGGACATGATGCTCAGATCACATCCCCAGCCCTGGCATTCTCTCCAGACTCAGCAATACTGAGCACGTGTTTGTCTGCTCTCTTCACTGAAACCCTCAGCCAGAATGGACAGGGTACAGCTTTCCATTCCAACCAGCATCAAGCAGATGCCCTGTGAGGAACAGAGATTTTTATTTTACTTTTTATTTTATTATTTTATTTTTATTTATTTTTTATTTTTTGAGATGGAGTCTCGCTCTGTCGCCCAGGCTGGAGTGCAGTGGCGCAATCTCAGCTCACTGCAAGCTCCACCTCCCGGGTTCACGCCATCCTCCCACCTCAGCCTCCCGAGTAGCTGGGACTACAGGCGCCCGCCACCACGCCCGGCTAATTTTTTTGTATTTTTAGTAGAGACGGGGTTTTGCCGTGTTAGCCAGGATGGTCTCGATCTCCTGACCTCATGATCCGCCCATCTCAGCCTCCCAAAGTGCTGGGATTACGGGCGTGCGCCGCCATGCCTGGCCGATGAGCAAAGATTTTTGAACCTATGTCTAAATGACTCTTCTGGAAATGGACTTTTAGGAAGGACAACAACTAAAAAGCAACTCAAGGAAGGGGAGCAGGTAGGATATTTCTGGGATATTTCCACTGTAGTGGTTTCTGGAGACTCCCATGAAAGAATTCTAAGTCAAAAGGGGAGACTGAGGCCAAAGGGCAGAGAAGTAAAAAGACAGAGAAGGGGCTGGGTGCGGTGGCTCATGCCTGTAATCCCAGCACTTTGGGAGGCTGAGGCAGGTGGATCACCTGAGGTCAGGAGTCAGAGACCAGCCTGGCCAATATGGTGAAACCCTGTCTCTACTAAAAATACAATAATTAGCTGGGTGTGGTGGCAGGTACCTGTAATCCCAGCTACTCGGGAGGCTGAGGCAGGAGAATCACTTGAACTCGAGAGGCGGAGGTGGCAGTGAGCCCTCGTGCCATTGCACTCCAACCTGGGGGACAAGAGCAAGATTCTGTCTCCAAAAAAAAAAAAATAGTACAGTGCTTTGCACAGAGTAAGCATTTGATTAGTGTTACCACTTCCCTCAGTCACAAAAAAAATAAATAAAGGAAAAACGATAGGGAAGGAAGCCGACCCACTTCCAAGGCAAGGCTCAGCTGACCCATCCCAAGGGACCTGGCTGGCCCAGGGAGGAGAGAAGGGCCTCTTTCTAGGCAGCAGTGAGCCTCCCCTCCCATCATTCCCAAATGCCAGTTATTGCTGGATCCCTTCCCTCTAGTCCGCTCTCAACTATGAGGAGTTTGCCCAAGAACTAAATGAATGTGATTGCCCACCAGTGTTTGCCATTAGTGGTGATTAGTTAAAACATCAGAGTCTAAACAGTCAATTGGTTCTAATAATTAATACTATGGCTCAGCTGTGATTGAGAGAGAACAAGCGAGTGGGAGAGAGGAAGGGAGGAGGATAAGGGACATGGAAAAAGAAGAGAGAAAGGGATTGGCAGAGGAGCTGCAGCTCTGTAGCTACCATTTCCTGACCCACATGCCAGATGCTGTGCTATAGAGTGCATCCAGCTCCAAATTCTGTGCTCTTTCGAGACATTTTATGTAAGTTATACCACCAAGGTATCCTAATCACCCTGTTAGGCAAGTATAATTATTATCTTCTTTTTATAGGTAAGACAAAGGAGGCACAGGAAGGTAAAAGCTAGCAGATGCTCCGTAATAATTTGGTGAATGAATGGATAAATAAATGAATGAAGTAGCCAGAAGTGAAATTCAAACCCAGGTTAGCATGGCTCCAAAAACTTTGGGGGGAAAAGGGGCAAGGAGGGGAGAATTTGAAGAGACAAAGGAAAACAAGACAGAAAACGTACATCCTTCTCTGTCTCAACATACATACACGCCCTTCTCTCTCTCTCTCTCATGCACACACACACACACACACACACACACACACACACACACACACGAACCTCCCTCACCTCCCTCTCTCACGCTGTGCCCCTCCCTCCCATCCACACCTCTCACGTTCTTTTCATACACAACATGTCTGTTATGCACCCCTTTCTCTCATCTCCCCTCACACACCCACTCTTGCACACACACCGTTTCTCACGAATGTCTCCCAGATGGCTCCGGCACACACGCACCTCTCTGTCTCATAGAAGCCTCTCACATGCACATATTCACCCCTCTCTCAGCCACACTTTTTTATTTCTCCTTGCACACTTCTTGGTCTTTCTCACTCTTACATGGACCTCTTTCTCTCATGTACACGCCTCCTCTTCCCGGCGCCCTTGTCTGTCTTCCTCAGTGCGCTATCTCCAGTCTCAAAGACAGTTTGGGAAATGAAATAAACATACACCCGTCTACCTCCTTCACATACAACCCCCCACTGTCTCCTCACACCCCACCCCACCCACCTCTCTCTCTCTCTCTCTCTCGTTCTCTCTCGAACACAGGTGTACACTTTGGGACATATCCTGAAACCAGCCCCCTCATGCCCCCTGCCCGCCCCCTCCAAGAGTCAGGCCTCCAGATGTGCTCTCTCTGGCTAGGCTTGCTAATCTTTGAACTGTCCCCAGATCTTGAATGGTCATGTGGACTTTCCTGCCTGGTGATGGGGAGGGGGAAACAGGGAGGGGGCTAAGCCCAGAGTCCTCAGTTATTCTGGAGCAGGTTCAGCTCCTCCCCACCCCTCCCCAGGTCATGAGCAGCAGCAGGAGCTGCAAGCGAGCAAGATGGCTGTGTGTGTATTGCTATTAATCACCCCTCCTGGTCCGCTAACGAGGCTAATGCGGTAAGTGACAATAGCCCATCTTGGTTCCTGATTTAGGGGCTCAGGACGGAAGCTGGGCTCCTGGGAGTGAAGACGTGAATTCTCCACGACACTAAACCTTCAAATAAATCTCCTCCAGTCAGAGAAGCCCAGGGCACTAAATCCCACACGCCGGTAATTGAAACCCTTAGAGCTTTCTTGGGTAGGGAAATTGCTGAGTGAGAGAGAGAAAGCGTGCAGCCCAGGGGTTCCGGGTGGGGCTTGGGCCCACAGAGAGGCCTGCCGAGGGCTCTGGGATAGGGGAGCTGCTGGGGACCCTCTAGGAGCACGTGACTGGCCATATGTCCTGGTGTGCATGTCTGTCAGTGTTTCTAGGCATGGGATTTTGCTGTCTGGTTATGTTCACATGGTCACTGGTCACCCATTTCCCACCAGGTCTATGACCACTTGATATTTTGGTAAGGAGAGCAGTTCTGGAGCTTCTGTATTTCGAGAGCTTCTACCCTTTGACACCCTTAGGGCCTCTGACTCTCACTGACCATGAAGCAAGGCTTCATTTAAGCAAAAGAAGGTTTCGGCATTGCCTCAATTGCCTTCCTTCCCCTATCCCCACCTCTCTCACCCTCACACTTCCCCCACCCCATCTCTCTTTTTTTCCAGACATTCTCCTGCAGGCCTTTCACTCCCATTCACTTAGTCCCTGAATCATTTAACAGTTACTAATACCCACCCTATGCCAGACTGTATGCCTAGGGTCTTGAGTGTTCCAGGATGAATCAGAGAATCTCTCTGCCCTCAAGAAGCTCAGCATCAGCTACTCTGGGCACACTGCCTACGGGGTAGCCCTGCTCCACAAGGAGCAGTAAAAAAATTAAATAAATAAATAAAACAAAGAGCTCAGAATCTCCCAGACAAGACAGATAAATAAATAATTGCAATATTATATGATGTATGCAATAATCGACATATAGACATATGTGGAACATAGCATGAAAAAGAGAGTAGTTAATTATTAGGGAAGGCTTCAAAGAGGAAGCATTGTCTGAGTGTGGTCTTCAAGAATAAATAGGGTCAGGCGCGGTGGCTCACATCTGTAATCCCAGCACTTTGGGAGGCCGAGGTGGACGGACTGCTTGAGCTCAAGAGTTCAAGACCAGCCTGGGCAACATGACACAACCCTATCTCTACAAAAAGTTAGCTGGGCATGGTGGTGTGTGCCTGTAGCTACCCAGGAGGCTGAGGTGAGAGTATCACTGAGCCCAGCAGTGGAAATTGCAGTGAGCTGTGATTGTGCTACTGACTCCAGCCTGGGCAAAAGAGTGAGACCCAGTCTCAAAATAAAAAAGGAATAAATCACAGTTAAAAGTTGCCCATGGGGAGATGATGGCATGGTCATGAGCATTATTGGCAGTGAGAATACCAGATGAAGAGCTACATTTTGTCCAGCCAGAGCACACACTATTGCAAGATGGGATAGGAGGCTGGAGAGGGGCATGTATGATAAAGAGTTCAGAATGTATGCTGTGGCTTTAGGAACCAGGGAAGGATCTTAAGCAGCTGAATGATAGGATCTGATTTGTGTTTTAGGAAGATCCTTGTAACTGTAGGGATGGAATAGATTAGAGGGGAGAGAGATACATGAGGAGACCTAAGAGTAGGGACTGAATATGAAGATGCCTAAACTAGGGCAATGAAGAAAAGAAGATGATTCTGACCAGTACTTAGGAGGTAAAAACAGGGAAGATGTTGACTTACTGGATGTAGGGACTGGAGTAAAGAGTAAAAATTAAGATTGTCAATTTAGGGAGGTCTCTGGATAGTGGTACCATTCACTGAAACCAAAAGCAGGAGGAGGGCAGGTCTAGAGGAAGGTAAGTCCCATCTCAGACATGTTGAGCTTAAAGAGCCTATGGGACATCCAAGCAGAGCATCTTCTACGCAGTGTTGTACGTGGCTCAGATTGGAGGTACAGGCTGAGGGAATGAAACCAGAGTTTCAGAGATCACACATAGAGTGTGGAGAGAGGGAGAAGTGAATGATGACAAGGGCAATAGCTAACATCAGAGGCAGCAGAATAGCGTGACTAAGAGCATGCATGGGGCTGTGGTATTACATAAGTCCCACACAGCCACTTACCTCGTAACCATGGGCAAACTAAGAACTTCTCTACGCCTCTGTTTCCTTACTTATAAAATAGGGATTAAATAGTACAGTGCTGGCCGGGCACAGTGGCTCACTCCTGTAATCCCAGCACTTTGGGAGGCCGAGGTGGATGGATCACCTGAGGTCAGGAGTTGGAGACCAGCCTGGCCAACACGATGAAACTCCGTCTCTATTAAAAATACAAAAATTAGACAGATGTGGTGGCACACACCTGCAGTCCCAGCTACTCGGGAGGCTGAGGCAGGAGAATCACTTGAACCCGGGAGGCAGAGGTTGCAGTGAGCTGAGATAGCGCCATTGCACTCCAGCCTGGGCAACAAGAGCAAGACTCTGTCTCAAAAAAAAAAAAAGTACAGTGCTTGCCACAGAGTAAGCATTTGATTAGTGTTACCACTTCCCTTCTTCCTCATCTCTTCAACAAGTACTTATCTATCACACCTCAGCTTGTGTCTCTAGGTTTCTCTGAACAAGGCAAATATCTATATTACAGGCTCCCACAGCACTGTTGACCTCTTTTTGGTACAATTGCAATTTTACAATTGTACAAGTATGTTATTGCATCTGTTCTCTCACTAGACTGTTAGCTCCATAAGGACATGGATCTCATTGTATCCCTAGACCCCGGTATATTGCCTAGCACATGGAAGGCACTCAACAAATATTTATTGGGCTAATAAATAAATATAACTGGAGTATCTATTGTGGATGATCACCAAGGACCTCACTGAGAGTAGTTACCATAGAATGGTGGGGATGAAACTCAGGTTGCGATGAGTTAAGAAGTGGTTAGGAGGTAAAAAAGTATGGGCAGCAAGCAAGAGTCTTTGGAGCATCTTAGGTGAGAAGAGAAGGAGAAGAAAAGGCCATTAGTAAAAGGGTGCCATATGGAAGAGAGAGCTGGGTTGTTGATGCTGATGTTGCTGTAATATGGGAAAGACGTGGGAGTTGATATGCTGATGGAGGAAAGCATGAGGAAGGGAAGGAGAAGATGCAGTAGAGAGGGAGAACTTGACAGTTTTCCCAGGGAACATAGGCAGGATTGGTATCAAAGCCCAGGAGAAGTGATTAGGCTAAAGTAGGAGGATGCCTGTTCCACTGAAACTGGAGGGAACAGGGAGGTGAGAGTAGATCCACAAGCTGAGGAAATTCATGCCTAAGGACTAAATTTCAGAGTGAAGGAGGAAGCAAGGCCACCTAGCAGAGAGAGGGGGACAGGAGATGGCGAGGCGGCTCAAGATAGTAAAATATTATTGAATTGTCTCTGTGGGAAAGAGGAGACGGAGCTGACCAAGAGCATGCAAAAGGATTGTTTAGTGGTGCTGAGATTGGAAACTGTGAATTTTTATTGGCACATATCTGCATGGTTTTGTGATTTTCCCCAGCTGTGCTTAGCCGCCTGAGTGTCTGAGACAAAAAGGAGAATAGTTGGGTTGTGGAGAAGGCAAAGGAAGTAAGAAGTTGAGTGTGTTGGCAAGATGGTGTTGAAGGTGCACAAGGGACCCAGGCTAGCATCCATGAGTGCGTGGTGGCTTGGGAGTTGGGAGAAGGGAAGAGGGAGGAGCAAGTTAAATGGATACAAGTCTTTGAGAGGGCTTGGGGGAGAGGGAGTTCCGTCACGGGTTCTACTTAGGTTGATGACAAGGATCTCCAGGAGGAAGTCAAGAACAGGAAAAAAAATAATAGGAGCTGAGGAGGTCAGGACAGTGATGGGCTTCGGGGAGAGAGGCAAGTGTGAAAGTCCTGGGTGAGTGTAGAGAATGGTAGGTAACTGACAAGGTGGGCTGTAGCATGGTACTTGACCTCAAAGAGTCCAGAGGGTGGAGAAGCAATGAGCTGGAAGACACTGAGTCCACTGCCTGGCCTGAGGAGCATGGAGTTGGGAGAATAAACAGCCTGCAGTGGAGAGGACAGCAACTGAGTGGCAGCATCTCCAGGTTCCGGGGAAAGTGAGTAGAGAGAGTAAAGGGAGTATCTAGAGACTGCGGATGGAGAGGAGTTTATTGGCATGGTCCTCTGTCCCAGAGGTCATGCTGGGAAGGTAGTGGAGAGACATCAGTCGGAGCTACCTCCACCACTACCCTCTGTCCACTGCATCCCTCCCAGAACTGCCTGCATCTCTAGCCTGCCTTCCCCAACTTGATGTCCCTCCTCCTTCACTGACTCCCGACTCCACCCCACACACACATACCGCTCATCTCATCCATCCATCCATTCCTCTTCTTCCCACACTCCTCCTTAGTTCTCTCCTCTCCAGACCCTTCCCCTGCCCTGCCCCACCCCATCCGGCCTGAGTGAGCAGGAACCCCTGCACCTTCATTTCTCAGGTCACTGCTTGGCTAATGGGCTATTAATTTGCTCAATCGTCCCCTGTGAGGCAAACTCAATTTCTGCCAGCCAGTCGTCCCTCCCTGTCGACAGCGTGATTGATTGGAGGAACAGCTGTCACCGCCCGGCTGCCTGCTCCCTGCCTCCTTCTCTCCGAGTCCACACCACCCCTCCTCCTCCTCCTCGGGCCGCCACCCTGCGCCCATAGAGGCAGCACACCCCTGCCACCTGCCCAAGGATCTGTCACCAGCAATGAAAAATGACAGAAATATTTAAGGACAAATAAGGTTTCCCAACGCAATTGAAAATGATTACAGGCAGCTACAGATGGGGCCAATCTGATGCGCAGCAGCAAATCAAATCGAATTTCCTTATCGGCGTATTATTTTAGGCGTTATCTGGCACGTTGATGCAGTTATCAATTCAATTTCAGCCGCCGGTCCGCTGTTTACTGTCTCGCCTTTGCTGGGAAAAGGTAAACATGCTCAGCCCAGCAAATTAATTTCTGGCTGAAGCCAGAGGCTGCAAAGAACTGCTACCCAGGACCCACTGCCCCCACCTTGGCCCCGGGCTACGGTGGGCCAGGCCAGCAGGGCCTGGGGCAGGCCAGAGCTCACCCAGGGAGCAGAAGCCCCACTATTTGCCTGCCCAAGTCTGGGCCCAGACCCAAGCAGGATTCAGAGCTCCTGGGAGGCTGAGGTGACCATTGTTGGCTCCGCCGCTGCTGCCAGGGAGAGGTGAAGGTCTCCCATTAATTCCCAGCTAAAAATGACAAATTCATCTTGGACGACAATTAAATGAAGTCAGTAATTGATGCTAATTGATCTCCAGATGCAAGGGCTCCCCTCAGCCTTAGCAGCACGTGGCTGGCTGCTCACTCTCCCCACCCAGCCCTTTTCTTCCTCTACCTCCCTCTGCTGCTCTCATAGTCCTTGTTCCCTCCCTAGGGTTCTGGGTCTCTTAACCCCTCAGGTGTGAGGGAGGCAGCTGGCCTGGGATGTGCTAGCAGGCAGCGCCTGAGGCCAGGCAGCTGGCCCATTGCCCATCCAGCCCTGCAGGCACTTGTAATCAGTGCCCCACGGTCCACCCATCAGCCTAGAAAGCAGGTAACACTGCCCTCCTTGGCAGCTCAGGATTTATTGCCCACAGCTGCGGAGGTTCCCACTTCATTTTTATAAGCCCATCGTCAGAACCAGCAGGGGGTAAAGCACACTTGAAGTTACTTTCCTTTAAACAGTACAGTCTTAGCATTTTGGCTGCATGGCAAGGAAGGCATGAGAGAGAGTGAAGTGTGTGTGCAGGCTAGGGAGAATAGGCAGGTATAGTGATAGGTGCTCAGGTGTTTGTCTAAATGCAAAAAAATACCCACACCGTGTGAGCACTTGTGTGTGCCAGTGCCAGCACAAGCATGTGTGTGTCCAGACACTTGAGAGGATGCATGTGCAGGTCCACATGTGGATATTTTCCAGAATCAGGCCCTTCACTGTAGTCTGTGAAGCCTAATCCCAGGGAACTCTGGGAGGCCCTGCCTGCCCCACCCTCCACTGGCCCAGCCCAACCCAGGGAGATGTCTGGAAGTTATTAGCTAAAGGAGAGAAACTGAATTGTAGCTCCACAAGAGGACAGAGGCTGTAGTTATGTTTGAAATAGCCAAGGTCATGGGTGTGAAACAGCTGTGGCCCCTGAAGCCCCGCCAGTCTCTGAACAGGTTGGCTGGTGCCTTTGGCCGGAGCAAAGGCTCATGGGGTCAAGGGTTTAGCTTCTATGACCAAGACTCAGTGAGCTTGCTTGTGCCTTGGCCTGGAGCCTTTGGCTCCAGCTTGAGCCCAAGTCTGAGCCTAAACCTGTCCATAGACTGACTTCACCTGGCTGTCTTGCAGATGTTTGCCACTGGCCACCCAGGAGCCATGTCTGGCTCAATCCAGGCACCTTCTATTGCTAGAGATGGTAAATAGCATGCATCACCATAGGAGTCAGGCTCTTGTACCTGGAGCTGGCAGGAGGCCATGTGGAATGGGCAGTGCCAACCTTGAGTTTCTGCAGGCAGAATGGAGGGAGAAGGAAAGATGGCAAGGGTATGTAGCCATGAATGTTTCACACCTGTGTATTATATCTAGGTATGTGTGTCACATGTAAGGAACCTCATGCTGTGTGAGAGGGTCTATACATGTCTTACAGAAAGAAGAGGAACAGATAAAAGCATATATAGGGGCCGGGCGCGGTGGCTCATGCCTGTAATCCCAGCACTTTGGGAGGCTGAGGTGGTGGATCACGAGGTCAGGAGATCGAGACCATCCTGGCCAACATGGTGAAACCTCGTCTCTACTAAAAATACAAAAATTACCCGAGTGTGGTGGTGGGCACCTATAGTCCCAGCTTCTCAGGAGGCTGAGGCAGGATAATCACTTGAACGCAGGAGGCAGAGGTTGCAGTGAGCTGAGATCACACCACTGCACTCCAGCCTGTGACAGAGTGAGACTCCGTCTCAAAAAAAAAAAAAAAAGAAAAGAAAAGCATATATAGAAGGATAGCTGACCAGACTAGACCAGAGTCAGGGTGGGACAAGGAATCAGAGAAAAACCCCATGGCATCTCCCAGCTGGCATCTGCCTCTTTGGGGATTTAGCGAGGTCAGTGATTACTTATTCATTGATTCAAACAATATTTATTGATTTCTACTATTACTATGACTATTTTCTCACTTTGGGCTATGCATTCTGCTACATGCTGGGGCTATAGCAGGGAACAAGTTAATTTTTGCCCTCAATAAATTTATAATCTAAAGAAGGTGATAGAATCATAACAGGCAATAATGACACTGTGACAAGGGCTGTGATAGAAGTAGCACAAGAGGCTTCGGGAACACAGAGGAGGCACCCAATACAGTCTGGAGGAGTCTGGGAAGGCCACGTGGAAGAAGGAACCCTAGGTTGCATCCTAAAGGATGAGGAAGAGTTAGCCAGGTTGTGCAACTAGCCCCTGTCCTATCCTTTTTGGTTGTTTAGCAAGCCCAAAGCAGAAACAAATAGGCCTATTGGGTTCCAAGTGACTCTGGAACTGCTGAAAATGTCACCTCTGCCCCACGGGCACCGGCCACTACCCTGGGGTCTGGGCAAGAGGGTGCACAGCTGTTCCCAGGACATCCCTGGGCACCAGAAGAAAGCATGGGCCACAGCTAAATACATATCTCTCCCCTGCCCGCCCTACCCCTACCTCCTCAACCAGGGATGCCTATTAATCCTGACAAATGATGACTTACGAACATGTAATGCAAACTGATTCATCATACATTCAAATCCGCTGCCCCGCCCCAGCGGGAGGCCCCAGCCAGACAAGTGTATTACACGGATAATGTATTTGACGTATTAATAAAACCAGCCGCATTGCTCTGGCCCGGAGACTGGGGAATGCCAATATACGATGACAGATCACATATTGATGAAATCCAGATGTTTGGAATCATAGTCTTGGGGCCTCGTTCATATTGACTGAAGGTAAAAAATGCCATCTGTCAGCATGTTAACTCTTGCTGTCCCATACTCAGCAGAGGCGCCAATCATAGTTTTAAGAGAAGGAGGAAGGGACTGAGTGAGGGGAGAGTGGATGAGTAATTAGGTGGTTTGGATGGATGACAGGTGGATGAACTGGAGGGTAGATGGTTGTGCTATGTATAAGATGAGTGGATGGGATGCTTTTCATGCCTTATGTCCTTGACCTCTCAACAGCATTTGACCTTACTGAGGACAGTAGAGTCCTTGCAACTCTTCCTTTCTTGGCTTCAATGACATCACACTTTCCTTGTTTTCATTCTACCTCTTGGCTGTTCCTTCTTAGTCCTTGATGCCTTAAACTTCCTCTAACTGTAAACGAAGGTTCTGTTCCAGACACTCTTCCTAGTGTATTCTCTCTCCCTAGGTGATCTTGCCTACTCTGAACTTCATTCATTTATTTATTCAATAAATATTTATTGAGCATTTACCACATGCCAGACATTGTTCCAGGCACAGAGGACACAGTGGTGAGCTTCGGTGCTCTATGTCAATGTCTCCCGGGTCTAGAACTCTAGCTCTGGCTCACATAGAGTGCCTACTCAGCATTTTCACATGAATGTCTAATAGTTCCTCAAGCTAAGTACATCCAAAACTCAACTCATTTTCTTCCTTACCAAGCTTGCTGCTCCTCCTCCCATTCCATAAATCAGTCAATGTTCTACCACCTAGAGGTTGCTCAAGCGAGAAACCTTAGAGTCATCCTTAACTCTTTTCTGTCCCTTAACTTCCACGTCCAATCCATCTGCCTCTGTTCATCTCCGGCATCGTCATGCTAGAGCAAGCCGCCATCGTCTCTCCCCTGAGTTAGTGAGATAACCTCCTAAACAGCCTTCCTGCACTTGCTCTTGCCCCTTAGACCACTGGCTACTTTGCAGTTAGAATAATCTTTTTTAAATACAAGTCTGATATATCACTCTCCTGTTTAAAACTCTCTGATGGCTTCTCATTGTATGTTTAAAAAAAATAACCAAAATCACTAATGTAGTTTAAAAGTCCTCCAGGATGCACCCTCTCTATCATCATACCTCAGCACTCTGCCCCTCACTCTCTGTGCTCCAGCCACATTGGACTCTTTCCAGTTCCTCACTTAGGCTCTTTCTCCTGTATACCTTCAAATGTGCTGTTTTCTTTTTTTTTTTTTTTTTGAGACGGAGTCTCGCTTTGTCACCCAGGCTGGAGTGCAGTGGTGCAATCTCAGCTCACTGCAAGCTCCGCCTCCTGGGTTCATGCCAGTCTCCTTGCCTCAGCCTCCCGAGTAGCTGGGACTACAGGCGCCCGCCACCACGCCCAGCTAATTTTTTTTGTATTTTTAGTAGAGACGGGGTTTCACTGTGTTAGCCAGGATGGTCTCGATCTCCTGACCTCGTGATCCGCCCGCCTCGGCCTCCCAAAGTGCTGGGATTACAGGCATAAGCCACCACGCCCGGCCAAATGTGCTGTTTTCTATCTAGAGCACCACTTCCCCCAATCACTGTTTGACTGGTTCCCACGCATCCTTCAGCCTTCGCTGAATGTCACTTCCTTCACCTTCCAGACCAGATGATATACTCCCCTAGTTCTGTGTACTTTTTTTTTTTTTTTTAAGACAGGGTCTCACTCTGTAGGCCAGGCTGGAGTGCAGTGGTGCGATCATAGCTCACTGCAGCCTCAAACTCCTGGGCTCAAGCGATCCTCCTGCCTCAGCCTCCCAAGTCGCTGGGACTACAGGCACATGCCACCACAGCTGGCTAATTTTTTAATTTTTTTGTAGAGATAGGGTCTAACTGTGTTGCCCAGGCTGGTCTCAAACTCCTGGCCTTAAGCAGTCCTCCCACCTCGGCCTCTCGAAGTGCTAGGATTACAGGTTTGAGCCACCACACCGGCCCCATGTACTTTTCTTTTCCTAAGACCACTCTGGGGACAATCGTTTCATGTTTCTATCCATTGTTAGGTCCTAAGCTCCCTGAGGGCAGAGAGTGCGCCTGTCTTCATTATTGTCTGGCATCTGTGCTATAGCGACCCCTAATGGGCATCCAGTAAACATCTGTGGAGTCATATTGAATCATTAGCTAGGTGAGTGGGTAGGTAGGTAGGTAGTTGGGTATTGTTCAGGTCTGGATTCAGACAGAACTGGATTTAAATCCCTGCTCTGAACTTTGTAGCTGTCACCACATTGTTCTGAGCCCCATTTTCCTCATCAGTGTGATAGAGACAGTAACACCTACCTCACAGAACTGCTGTAAGGATTAATGAGATAAAGTATGTGTAGTATTGACCTACAGCCAAATATATAATGATACTTGATAGACAGTTGTTGTTATTACAAATGGACAGATAATGGATAGATGATAGGTAGATGGACAGATGGATAAACCGACATATAAACCAATAACCAGATATATGGGTAATGATGGATAGGAAGAAGGAACTCCATGGGGGCCAGAGGAGCTAGGGCCAGGGCACCTACTGAGTGGTAAAAGATCTGGATCATAGAAGGGAAGAAGGCCAGATATAGGCAAGGCAGGGCAGGTGTCAGGATGGGGCAGATATAGGCACAAACAACAAACTTTGCTAGTGTGTTACTGGAGGCACTAATGACTCCTCACTTGTACACAGCCCTGATTTCACTGGATCTTCACAGAAGTCTTGGGAGTTAGATATCATTATCCCCATTTCACACAAGGAGAAATGAAGCTCAATAACGTTAAGTGATTTGCCCAAGGTCACACAGCTAGCAAGAGGCAGCTCTGTTGAATTCTGCTTGAAGTTCCTGTTTCTTGGTCACTAGGAAATGGAAGTCTTTCCATTGCAGGGGTTGGGGTAGGACACACGTGTGTACACATGAACACACACATATACCCACACACATACTCTTAAAAGTCCCAGCCTCCATGGCCATCTGTCATTACAGTCACCCTCACCCTCATTTCAACCCTCCTCATCCCTGTCAGACACCAGTCGATCAAGCCATGCCTTTTGTGGTCTGTAGAGAAAAAATAGAGATGGAATTTGTTGCTTGGACAAGCAGAGGCGAGAATGGAACTCTCATGCAAAAGAACTGGGACAAAACCAAACATGCCAAGCCAGAGAGGCAATCACACGGTGGGGAGCTGCAAGGCCAGACGTGGGTGAGTGGTCAAGGAGGGGAGGGCTTTCCCTTTGAACAAGACGCCCGACCTCTATATGTCCAATTCTGCACCAGGCTTCGCTGTGGAAGATGGCAGGGAAGGGGCAGGTTGTGCCGGCACTTGAGTTGCCTGTTCCCAATGGTCAACCATTCCCAACAGAGGGGGGCAGCAGAGGGCTGATCTAGGACCCCGGGTACCTGAGGCCTTGTTTCGAGGCGAGAGGGCTGGGCTGGCTGGAGCCTGGCCCAAGCTAGGAAGAGGGCTGCCTTGGCATGACCTCTTCTCTCCTCCTCGACAGGCCTGTCCTTCGCAGCTTACCATCAGTCACTCCCTGTTGGAGCCTCACTGTTGTCCAGCAGGAAAGGTATTCTAGCAGCTCAGCAAGGAAAAGGGACTCTCTGGAGGTCATACAACTTAGGGAGCCTCCAGGCTGGGACCTGATTCCCCTGACTCCCGGTCCCTGCCTCTGCAGAGTCGCCTCCCTGCTCTTGGAGCTGGAGTTGCCCTGTGTAAGGCTGAGGATGGGGTCAGAGCCCCTCCCCTCCCTGCCCTCCTCCTGCTTGCAGGGATACCTGTGGCAAGCAGAGAAGTGGAGGTGGCAGGCACTCCGCGACTGGGGCGGTGGGGAGGGAGGTGAGGTAATGAATGTGGACGGGAGGCGGAATGAGCGATCCATCTTTGCATGGGAGGGGAGGGGGCTGCGGGCGTTCCCCCCACGCACTCACACACTCAATCAGGCGCTGTCAGACCTCTGGCCGCCTGGCATTTTGGTGAAGAATCTCTCAGCTAAAAATTGTTGTCAGTCCCATTTCCTCGTTATCAGTGCAAGGGCTGAGGCAGCGCCCGGGGATTAGCAGGAACGGCAAGCGCCCGCACCCGCCATCCTCTGCCGATAACACTGGGCCTCCCGCCTCACCTCCCCCATTCATCATCTTTAGCACTGACAGCCCATCCCAGTCCCTGTCCCCATCCCCATCCCCTTGTGCTTCCCGCATATCCCCACTATGCTGCTCAGCCCAGCTCCTGACCTCCTGAGGGAGCGAGGCCTCCTGAGGAGGGACAGGATTCAACCAGGCCTGTGTGACCTAGACCCACATGTGGCAAAAGGGTTTGGCCAGCTTTTGGGGGTTGGGGAGTGTCATGAGCTGGAGAGAGGAACACTCGAGAGGATGCCTGCTGACAGCCTGCCTCTGGTGGGCTCGGCCTGCCCACCTGTGGTGCTGCCGGCAGTATTGGAGAAGGGATTCCTGCATCCAATGGGCAGCTGAACTAAGGATTCCAGGGGCCTCGCCAGCCTGAAATGGACTTCCAGATTCTGGGAGCTGTGGAAAGGAAGAGCCAGAGGATGCTTCCTCCCAAGCCTAGGAAGAGTATGGGGTTGAGGGCTTCATTTCCACCCCAGCAAGACCACAGCCCCCTCGTCTTGGCCATCCCCAGCGGTTTTTATGGCCCGTTTTATGGCCACTGTAATGGCCCAGGTCAAAAGCTTCAGGGAGCTGTATTCTGGGAATTATGCAAACGCGGAGCAGGCCCAGGGCCAGAGTATGGATTTTGTCATTAAACCTGGGCAGGCCATGTCGTTAGTGCAGTAAAACCCACGTCATGACCACAGGTCTCAATATAAAATTATAGAGAACACAGCGGGGGAGGGGACACAGGGGGCCCATGGCCATGCTGACACTTGCCACTCTAACCCCTGAGAAAATGGGGGTGGGATGGAGGGCAGAGGCTGCAGAGTCCCTTTGCTGATCCCTGCCAATGCTATTCCTGAAGCTTGGAGGCAGGAAGAGGGCCTGTTGTCCTGATAGGGAAACTGGGGCCAAGCTCAGAAAAGTAGAATGTCCCTGTGGCAGCAAAGCAGATGAACTGAGTACAGGTATGTGGGAATGCTGACGCCTGGTCCCCATGCTTGGAGTGAGACATCTGGGCTCCAGGAAGCCCTAAGAACCAGACTTGGTGTACCAGGCTAATGGGGGCTGAACCCCTGATATTTCCAGCTCAGCTCAGACCCCATGTCTGGGATCCACCTCTTTCTCCATTCTCCTGTCTTACCATTGCCCCCTTCAGACCCCAGTCCCTGCCTCAATTATCTGTTCCAGCAACCTGTCAACTCCCTTACTCACTCCTCGTGCCTCCCACTGAGCATCACCTCGCCCACAGATCCTGCCAACCTTGCTGGCCCCTTCCCACCCTCCCACAAATCCTTCATATCCTCCTCATAGTTCTCACCAGCACTGACTGCAGTCACGGGCTCTCTTTTTGCCTTTCCTACTAATTTGTGTTCTCCTCGAGGCCAAGGATGCATTATATTTATCTCTGAGCTCCAGTTTCTCCTAGAATAATACCTGACGTAGAATAATTGTTAAATGTTTGCTGAGTGAAAGAATGAAGTAGTGAAATCAAAAGCCGAGTACAGAGGTCTGTGTCCCATTCTGAGCCTCAATTGCCCTAGCTGTAAATAAAATGGCCTGGAGAATGTCTAGGGTCTTGTTCACCTGTGAGATTCTCTGGCTAACTGAAGGCAGGAGCAGAGCTGAGACTGGACGCCTCATCTCCCACCTCCCAGACCTGGGCCACATCTGCTGCTGTTACTCAGAGCTTCCCTCCAGCTGTCCCCGAGCATCTGAGGCACAGCCACCTGATCAGTAGGACTTCCTCCCCTCCTCAGAGACCTTGCCACACGGACTGAAGCCTCCTGGATGGCTGGAGCTGCTGTCCCAGCCCTCCAAAGGTTATCTGGCTTCTAGGACAGTCTGTTCTTCATCCCCACCTTTCTTCTCCCCCTTTCTCTTTTCCTCTCTTTTGCTTCATCATGGAGCATCTAGGCTATGCCAGACCTGATATAAATTGTCTATAAATATAAAGATAGATAAGAAATGGTCTGTCCCACAAGGAACTCACAACTTATTCATTAACTCGTTCAATTGCCTGATATACTTCTAAGGTACAGCTTAAATTTCACTTCTTTGGTTAAACCTTCTCTTTTTTCCAGTCCTCAAAACTCACAGCCAAACGAAGAATTCCTCCTTCGTTTTAGCCCTCAGATGACTCTATCTGGGCATCCAAGGGAGCCGTAATCATCCTCAGTCTGGTGTCAAAGGGAGGTGGGTTTTGTGCTCAGCCTGAACTTGAGGCTTCCTCAAGTACAAGGTTGCTAGATTTAGCATATAAAAATATGGGACATCCAGGTAAATTTAGAAAATTAGAAAATATGGGACATCCAGGTAAATTCTAGAAAATGATAAATAACTTTTAGTATAAGTATGTCCCGTGTAGTACTTGGGACATGCTTATACAAAAAAAAAATTTATTATCTGAAATTCAAATTGAACTGGGCATCCTGTGTGGAATCTGGCAACCCCTTAGGCAACCATCTTGCTCATGTCTGGCATGGCCTTTATCTCTCTGAAAGCTGATTTTGACCCCCTCCAGGAACCAGTGGGAAGAAGAAGAAGGAAGGAAAATCTGGGCTCAAACTAAAGTCCTTTGTGCAGTCAGAGCATCCATGGATATGCAGGGATGTTTCTAGATTAATAGGGCTCCTCAACCCCACACCTGTAAGCAGAGGCCACAGAGCATCCATGGATATGCAGGGATGTTTCTGGATTAATAGGGCTCCTCAACCCCACACCTGTAAGCAGAGGCCACAGAGCATCCATGGATATGCAGGGATGTTTCTAGATTAATAGGGCTCCTCAACCCCACACCTGTAAGCAGAGGCCACAGAGCATCCATGGATATGCAGGGATGTTTCTAGATTAATAGGGCTCCTCAACCCCACTCCTGTAAGCAGAGGCCACAGAGCATCCATGGATATGCAGGGATGTTTCTGGATTAATAGGGCTCCCCAACCCCACACCTGTAAGCAGAGGCCACAGAGCATCCATGGATATGCAGGGATGTTTCTGGATTAATAGGGCTCTTCAACCCCACACCTGTAAGCAGAGGCCACAGAGCATTGTGTGTCTCCACAAGTGGCAACAGAGGCGGTTTAAACATCCCAGCCGGCCAGGTGCGGTGGCTCATGCCTGTACTCCTAGCACTTTGGGAGGCCAAGATGAGAGGATCACTTGAGGCCAGGATTCGAAACCAGCCTGGTCAAAATAATGAACCCATCTCTATAAAAAAAATAAATAAATAAGGCCAGGCGCAGTAATCCCAGCACTTTGGGAGACCAAGGCTGGCAGATGACTTGAGGCCAGGAGTTTGAGACCAGCCTGACCAACAAGATGAAATCCCATCTCTACAAAAAATACAAAAATTAGCCAAGTGTGGTGGCACATGCCTGTAATCCCAACTACTCAGGAGGCTGAGGCAGGAGAACCACTTGAACCCAGGAGGCAGAGGTTGCAGTGAGCCAAGATCACGCTACTGTACTCCAGCCTGGGCAACAGAGCAAGACTCTGTCTCAAATTAATTAATTAATTTAAAAAAGAAAAAAAAATAGACATCCCATGGGGGATGTGTCCTAATAGATTTCTGAGAGGGGTGGCTGGCTGAGGAGGTACCATTCATGGCCACAGCCTCTGGAGCTGCAAGGAGGAGGGGTGCTCGTGGGCTCTGAAACCCTCAGGCCCCTCCTCTAGGCCAAGAAGCCCTAGAGGGCAGCAGCAGGCTTGGGTTTCAGGACTGGGATGCTGGGTCTGCCTCCTGGACTAGCCCAGCTTACGCGTCTGTCTGTTCTTCTCCCCTCACTAGGTAAGAAGAAAGCAGCGGCATTGTTCGACAGCCAGGCCCCAATTTGCCCCATCTGCCAGGTCCTGCTGAGGCCCAGTGAGCTGCAGGAGCATATGGAGCAGGAACTGGAGCAGCTAGCCCAACTGCCCTCGAGGTAAGCCACCTCCCAGGGAGCCTGCCTGCTGGAGGAGTCCACTCAGGGTTCTGGCCACCGGATCCCAGAAGCAGCCGCCTGGCCCATACCCCAGCCCCTCGGGAAAAGACAGGACCCTGCCACCCTTCTCCACAACTCTGTTTCAATCCTCAGATCTTTCCGCTGAATGGAGCCACCTTCCTCTTCTTGCTCTATTTTTGGAGATGGGAGGAGAGTGACCCCGCAGGCCCCAGCCTCAAAGGAAAACATGAGAGGAGCTAGACAGGGGTGAGCCACTGCCAAAGGCCCAGCACTGCCATGTTGAGCCTCAGAGCAGAATAAAAGCAGCAGGTCCTAGGCCTGGCAGGCCCCTCAGAAGTGCAGCCAAGTCCTTCCTCCAGTGGGGTGGACACTACCTTCTCTATGAATCTCAGTGTCTGAAAGATGACAATCTTAAGAATGTGCTCAGGTGTGTCCCCCACTGTCCCACCCCACCTCACCCCCAGCCTCCCTCCCTTGTCCCTGCCTGAAGGACTGGGCTGAGCCTCCTCAAGGGCCTGGTGGAGGAGCCAGGTTATCAAAAAGAGTAGAGGAGAGGTGTGACAAATTACCTAAAATCTTAGCAGTTTAAAGCAACCATTTCATTGTGCTCGTGGAATCTGTGAGGTCAGGAATTCAGATAAGGCACAGAGGAGATGGCTGATGTCTGCTCCATGATGTCTGGGGCCTTAGCTGGGAAGACTTGGTGGCTGGGAGCTGGGTCATGTGAAGGCTGCTTCCCTCACATGTCTGGGGGTTGATGCTGGCTGTCAGCTGGGACCTCAGCTGAGGCTGGAATCAAAGCACCTACACAGGGCTTCTCCATGTGGCCTGGGCTTCCTCATAGCTTGCCAACCTCGGGATGGTTGGACTTCTTGCATGGCAGCTTTGGGCTCCAAAAGCAAATGTTCCAGCCAACGAGATGGAAGCTGGATCACCTTTTATAACCTAGCCTGAAAGTCACTGAATCTCACTTCCACTGTATTCTATTGATTGAGGCAGTATTAGACCACCCAGAATTCAAGGGGAGAGGACATACACCCCCCTTTTGATGGGAGGACTGGCAAGGTCAAATTGTAGAAACGTATGTGGGATGGAAGATATGGTTGATGCTGTCTTTGGAAAATATAATCTGCTACTGAGGGACGGTCTGCCCCGCTCCTCCCAGTCCGACCCTTATTCAGTTCAAGTCATCAGACTTGACTGATCCTCCTTCCTTCTACCTTCTTACCGAATCCCCATGCAAGGTGCAGGGGATCCCATAGTGAATCAGAATGGTCCCTGCCCTTGGAAGTTCATAGCATGAGGGTAGGGAGGGTCAGGCAGTACAAACCCAGAGGGATGGAGACTGCTATACGGGAAGAACTGGAGCTTGGGGGTATCAAGGAGGCACCAAACCCAGCACAGAGCAAAGAAGGCTTCCTCAGAAGGTAAGGCCTGAGCTGAATTTTGAAGGAAGAAATATTTAGTCATCTATCGCTGTGTTACAAACTACCCTAAAACCTAGCAGCTAAAACAACATACATGTATTATCTCAGTTTCTGTGGTCATCAATTCAGGAACAGCTTAGCTGGATGGTTGTGGGTAGTAGTGGCTACTGGCTGGGAGTCTCTCATGAAGCTGCAGTCAAGATGTCAACCAAGGCAACGGTCATCTGAAGATCTGACTGGGACTGCAGGATCTGCTTCCAAGATGCTCACTCACATGGCTGTTGGCAGGAGGCCTCAGTTCCCCCACATGTGGGTCTCTGCATAGGACAGCTTGAATTTCCCTATGACATGGCAGCTGACTTCCCACAGAGCATGCAGTCCAAGAGAAGACTAAGGAGGGTGCCACAGTGCTTCTTATGATCTAGTCTGGGAAGTCACACACTGTTGCTTCTACTCTATTCTATTCTATTCTGTTCACTAGGAGCAAGTTGTCAAGTCCAGCTCATTCTCAAGGGAGAAGAATTAAGCTCTAGAAGCTCTACCCATTGAAGGGAGGAGTATGAAAGAATCCATGGGCATATAAGACTATACCAGTGATAATAATAATAATCCTTGTTGAATGCTCACTATGTGCCGAGTACTTTACATTGCATTAATTTATTTAATCTTCACAACAACCCTCTGAAGTAGGTGACAATAATTGCTCCCATTTTACAGAGGAAGAAACTGAGGTGCAGAGGAGTTAAGTGACATCTCTAAGGTTGCACAGCTAGTAAGTGATGAAGATAAGATTCAAACCTAAAGTAATCTGACTCCAGTACCCATGCTCTTAATCACTCCCCATCCCTACCCCCCGCCCACACACACCTGGGATTGGCCTGCCAGTGGCAGAAAGTGGGAAAAAAAAATCCTTCTGCAGCTGGGTTCCATATTTTGGCTGTCCAGGAGGAGTCCTGTGTAATTTGCTCCCAGAGGAGGACTTCTCCTACCAGGGTCAGAGAATAGAGGTAGAGGCTAGAGGAGCATGCCCAGCCTTGTAAAAGCAGTGTGCCCCCTAAGGGCCTGGAGAATGCGGGCCCCCAGCTCTCTGTCTGCCTCCTCGGTGAGGGCCACACTACAGTGCAGTCCCAGGTGCTCCACACCTGCAATGTCCAGGGCATGCACTTCTGCCAACAGCCTTCCTTTTTCCACACCCCCACCCATGACTCTGCACAACCCCCTTATCCCTCACATCCTCCCAGAGCATCCCCGTGTCCATTTCCCCACCCCAAGCTCCATGCTTCTCACGGCTATGTCTTGCGTCCCTGCATCTGTACCCCTCACGTCGCGGCCCAGCCCAGCACCCCTACGCCCATGCCCCCTCCGTCTGTGCGCGCCCTGCGCCCCCGGCACGCGCCCCCCTCCAACCGGGTGTCTGACAGCCGGACAGCGGGATCTGCACAGCAAGTGAAATTCCCGTCGGATCGATAAAGCCGAAACGCTGGCGGCGACGGGTCGATGGTTTTATCTGTCTCGGCCCCGCCGCGCCCGGCGCGCTGACAGTTGGACCGGCCGGCAAAGGCGTTCAAGGGCAGCCGCGCCCGCGCCCCCTCCCCTCGCTTCTCTCGCCCTCCCTCCCTGCGGCCGCTGCGCCCACCGGACTGTGGGCTGGACCGGCCCGCCGCCGCCCTCGTGATTTATCTGGATTTTTAATTGGAAAAAATTTGCGAATTAATTGATTTCAGGAACTTGCCAATTAACATTGTAATTGGGTGCGTGATAAATTCCCAAGGAGCGTGTCAGCTCCCTCCGGGCTGACGGCCGTTCAGCGGGGAGCGCGGGGAGGGCCCCAGCCTTGGCTGCCCTTGCCCCGCCCCTGCCCGCTCTCGGGAAGCCAAGACAGCAGAGGAGGTTGGGAAAAGATGACACACTGGGGTTCCTGAGACACCCTCTCCACTCCTCACCATCAGCTCCCTGAGCAGAGGGGCCTGAAACCAGCCATTTCACAGATGGGGAAACTGAGGCCCGCAGGAGGGCAGAGCCTGTGTGTGCCTCACTTCCAGGGTCCTAGCAGAGCCCACATCAGGGCAGTTCCATCCACCAAAGGCACATCTTTGGAGGCTTCCTCCCCAGCTCTCCCTCCTCCCCTCCCCTCTCCTCTCTGCCCCAGCCCTTCTTTCCCCTGCTGACTCCTCCCTCTTCTCTCCTCCAATTGTCCCTTTTCCTCTCCTACCCTGCCTTTGCCTCCATTGCCTCCTTTGCCCTCCCTGGCCTTCTTCAGCTTAGCCAGCTCCTGAGTCTGTGGATGCTGCCGCCAGGTGCCCTCCATCAACCTGGACACGTCCCCCCTCCACTTGACTGCATCCTAAGGGGCTCTTCAGACTGGCCTGGTGTTCCACCTCCTGCCTCCCTTTGCCCAACAGCACAAAGCACACCCCACTAGGAGCAGGCTGCTATTTCAGACACACTCACGGGCTCACAGAGAGAAGCAGGAACCTTCCAGCTCCAGAGCCAGGGCTGGCTGTGTTTCAGACACAGACGCAAACATATACAGGACATGCAGGTGCACACACACACCCATTCCAACACACAGATGTGCCCACACACACACCCTGAAAGAAGCCTTGTCCCATGGGTGTCATTCCCACAGGTACATGGGTGCACAGACACTTACAGGAAGAGCAATCAGAACTTCCTTTGGCAAAGTCCTTACACTTTTCAAAGCACTTTTCCATTTGAGATCAGAGGCTGTGCTAACACTCTCTCCCTCACCCCATCCTTTATCTTTCCCCTTCTCAACCCCTTCACAGGGGTTCCATCAGACCCCAGAACTTGGCCAGGTAGAACAAGGAGGGCAAAGTTAGATGGAGGACAGATTGTGGAGGGCCTTCAATGCTGGAGGACGTCCTTGATGGGGTGGAGAGTAAGCCGAACATTCATGAGCCAGGGTGAAGCCTGGTCAGAGAGAGACAAGTGGGAGGGGCATGGTTGCAAGGCCAGTGTGGAGTGTGGGTTGGGGGAAGAAACAGGAGGCAAGGGAGGAGGTCGGCCAGGGTCCAGGGGAAAGTTGGTGAGGCCGACCCAGGACAGTGGCAGTGGCAGTGGGGATGCAGAAGAGGGAATGACGACAGACCAGGTGGAGGAAGAAGCCACAGGACTTAGTTGGGGTGCTTATTGGGAGGAAGCTTTCTAACTTGAATGATTGGGAGAGTGATGGTGGCAGAGAAGCAAGTGTCTGAGGGAAGGAGGGGATGTTGGGCAAGCTCAGCCTAAGATGTCTCTGGGTTGGTGATGGGGGAGGGACTGGATGTGTGGAGAGACAGGCAGGGACATAGATAGATGGGGGCTGGAGGTTGAAGGGCGGGGGTGGAGGAAGGAGTTGGCCCCCAGACTTCCCAGTGGCCCTCAGGCAGGAGTTTCCATCCAGAGAGATGAAGTAGCCTTGGGCATGGAGAGATTGCACAAAGCTAAAAGTTGGGCTTGGCTTGGTGGGGCCTGAACTTAGAGAGATTCTCTGGGAGGTTTCTGGAGCCATTCAAGATCTGGCCTCTGAGCTGGGAAGCCAGCTCTCTGGCCAGCACTTTAAAAGGGCTCAAAGAAGCCAGAGGGAGGCTGGGTGACTCTAGAGAAGAGGCGGGGTGTGGAGATGGCAGTGCCCCCACCCCCACTTAAGCCTTATTTAAGGCCGGCCTCGGTGTTTGGTTGGGTAATGAACTAGATAAACAATTCCCCAAATAGATTAAAACGAAGTGTAACTTACAAAGGCGGCTGGTGATGATGGTTTATTCCCGGGCAGTGCACCATTTCTTTATTTCCAAGGATAATTCAGTGTAAATCACCTTAATTAAAAGTGTCAGCCCAGCCCATGAATATTGTACTTAGGAATGCGTTTCCTGGGTCCCAGTTATAATTTAAAACCCATGGATCACTAGGCAGCGAGTGACTGAGCAAGGGAGGAAATCGTTGGGGGCGGGCTGTGGAAATAGGGAGGGATGAAGGCAGAGCTGATGGGCTGGGCGGGAGCCAGGCTGCCTACAGCTGCGGACCTCAGACCTGTCTTCTATGAGGCAGGCCCTTCAGCAGACTCCTCAGCCTCTGGGGGCCAAGCACACTGGGAGGTAATCAGGTTGTTGGAGGGAAGATAGGGAGGGGGTCCCTTGCTCAGAGAGAGGCAAGGAGTCTCAGGTAGTACCAATGCAATGCAAGGGACAGTGAAGAGTGTTGCTAGGAAAAGATCCAGAGGAGTGGATCGCCAAATGACAGGCTGGGCATTCTGACCCTGAATGTCCCTGTTTCTGTTCACCAGCAGAGCAAACTGAAGCCCAGAGTCAGCAGTTCCCCTCCCCAAAGTCACACAGAAAGCAAAGAAAAAGAACTGGATTCTGCCCTCTATCCTAAGCCCTGAGTGTCTTTAGGGAGGCAGCATGGGCAATTAAAAGCCAGCACTGTGGGCTTGGCCAGATGCCAACTCAAATCCCAAACCCTCCACGGACTGTGTGACCATAGAAATGTCATTTGACCTGGTAGTCAACTTTGTAGAGATTTTGTGAAGTTTCAATGAGATAACACATGTTAAGGCCTGCGCCTGTCACATACAGTGGGTGTACAATCATTGTTCATTCCTTCCTTTTCTGCTGTCACCTGATCCAACTGGAGATAATACTCTTATCCTAGGCCAGGTAGAGCAAGCATGGTGTTGTACAGTAGATACCTCATTTCCGTACCAGAAATGGTGATGGCAGTATTTGTTTACTGAGTGAATGAAGGAGTGAACGAATGATAAAAGCCATAAACTCAAAAACTAGTTGCTCTCAAAAGCAGCTCCGTGCCCTTCTTGAATCCCCAGTGCCTACATCAGGGCTGGCATGAACCATTTATGAGCAAAACATAATTGAATGGAACCTGTTGTAGCTAGCCTTCCTAGTCTGTGATGCCCCCACTGTGTGATTAGACTGGCTGACAGCTCTGTTTTTACACTCAGACCTTGGCCTCACTCTGCTGCTGGGCCTGGTGGCCTCTGCACTGGGATATACATATGTTATGTGTGTTGTGCATCTGTGTCTACATTTGTGGGTACATGTGCATCTGGGTGTGTGTTGGTACACACAGGTGTCCATATCTACGCATGTGTTTATTGGACTTGTGCACATGAGCAGCTCTCATCTAATCTGTGTGGCTGTTGTGAATCTTTTTTTTTTTTTTTTTTTTGAGACAAAGTCTCACTCTTGTTGCCCAGGCTGGAGTACAGTGGCGCAATCTCGGCTCACTCCAACTTCTCCCTCCTGGATTCAAGCGATTCTCCTGCCTCAGCCTCCCGAGTAGCTGGGATTACAGGCGCCTGCCACCACGCCCAGCTAATTTTTGTATTTTTAGTAGAGACGGGGTTTCACCATGTTGGCCAGGCTGGTCTCGAACTCCTGACCTCAGGTGATCCACCAGCCTCGGCCTCACAAAGTGCTGGGATTATAGGCGTGAGCCACTGCACCGGACCATGCATCTGTCTTTATGGACATGTGTCTGGGAATATGCCTCTGTGGCCCTGTGCATCTGTATGCGTGTCTGAGTCTCCAGGTGTGACTGGTTATATCTGTGCCTGTTGGCAGAATTATAGAAAGTCTATGGGTATATATGTGTGCGCCTTTATACCAGGGTTTCTCAACCTCGGCACAGTTGACATTTGGGGTCAGATAATTCTTTGCTGTGAGGGGCTGTCTGGTACACTGTAGGCTGTTTAACATCCTCTACCTACTCCATGCCAGTAGCAACCTCCCCTCCCTCCGCTCAAGTTTTGACAATCAAAAATGTCTCCAGACATTGCTGGATGTCCCCTGTGCAGGTGAACATCCCTTCCCCTTCTCCCCTGTCCCCCACTGAGAGTCACTGCTGCATCTGAATCTGCCTGTGCTTTTGCTGGCTTGTCCGGTACGTTTGTGTCTGGCCCTGTGGGTGTCTGAGCTCATCTGTGGATGTTCCTTATGTCTACACTCGTTAAGTCCCTATGTGCCCCATGCATTCTGCCTTGGATGTGTGTCTGTGTGTTCTTCTGCTTTCCGGGTATATCTGCAGGTGTGCTGTACGTTATACCTCATATGTGTGTCTGTGCAGGGACCCTATGTGAATGGGCTGTGTCTGCCTCCGTGCATTCATCAGCCAGCACTTCTGTGAGCATGTGTGTGTGTGTGTGAGTGCACGCGCATGAATGTGCGAGCACAGATGTGGCAAGCGTAGTGGGGGCAGCAGGCAGGGAGGGACAGGAACAGGGATATTAATGTTTCTGAAGTGGATCTGATTTGATACGTCTTGTTCCATTGTCAGCATCTGTTTAGCAGGGATTTGTAATACTTTGTGGCTCTGGATCACTCATGCTTAGCGCAGGATGTGGCCTTGCATACCAATTTTGTTATTAAACACAGTCCTCGCCTCCCCCACAGCCCATCCATCACCTCCCACCCCAGCCCCCGCCTGCTCTGAGCCGCCCACCATATTTCAGGGCCCAGCTCCCGCCTGCCTGCCGCGCCCGATGCCGGAGGGCCTGGGGCTGACAAATTGAATCAGGGGGAGATCATTCCTGGCCTAACACAGTTTGCAGCATGTTGGAGGGAGAATTGACAAGAGCCCTGTCAGCTCCATCACCCCAATCCCACAGGAGCTAAGAGCGGGCTGGGAACAGGGGGTGGAGAGAAGGGGGTCTCCAGGACAGGCAGAATCTTCAGGGCTGATACGAGGAGTCAGGTAAAGCCCCTTTCTTCAGATCCACTGGGAAATCTACCATGCCTAGTGTCTGTGTCTCCCTCCCAGGGGCCAGCACTAGCCCTTGGCCCAAGAGAGAGGCTGAGCCACTCAGCCCATGAGAGAGGCTGGGCCACTGGGATTGAAAGGACTGGGTGGAGCTTGGCTGAGCTGGGCTGGGCTAGGCGGTCTATGCCTTCTCTGTCTTTGGGGTCTTCTTGCTACTCTACCGTTGCATGCCCTGGGCAGCAGGTAGAATGGTTACCCTGTTCTCTTCTTTCTTGGCAGCAAGAATTCCCTTCTGAAGGATGCCATGGCTCCAGGCACCCCAAAGGTAGGTGGCCAATTACATGTTTTCCTCCTGCCCATACTAACCTAGGCCTACCCAGAACTGGTTCCTCCTGAGAAAAAGGAGCTTTTCTAGTATCCTCAACTATCTCCAGCTTTTCTAATATCCTCAACTATCTCCAGGTCTTGAACATCATCCTGAGGCCTAGGGCTGCGCCGTGTGTGTGTGTAAGTGTGTGTGGTCTGTGCATGAGTGAGAGTATGCTCATCTGACTTCCTCCTCTTCCAGCCAGGAGAGGGGTCAGAGCCAAGAATGGCCTGGGAGATGTGGGTGACCCAGACACTAAGGGTGAGAAGACTCAAAGGAAGAAAGTGAGCTATAGCAGATGAAGAAAAATAAAGAAATGCAGGTCAAGATAGTGCAGGGCCCTAGAAGCCAGACTATGGGGGCACAGGGGTGTATGAATGTGCAGGTGTGTGCGTGTGTGTGTGTTTGTGTGTACTTTGTCCTGAGGGGAACAAGGAGCCAAGGAAGAGGCTGGACTCTTTTGGGGAGCTAGTCTGCCTCTCTGAACAAACCCTGTGGGAGAAAGACTTGAAAGCATCAGTTGGAGAAAGGGAAAGTGAAGAGCAAATATCTGGCTCAAAGGAGGGGCCAAGAGGCCTTAGCACAATGACATTTGTATCAAGAACTCCTCAAAGATGGCCATGGACACAGTGGGTACTACTTACCCAAAGGTGGTTTTGAGGGGATGGATACATGGGGAGAACCAAACCCTCACTCACTGAGTATCCCCTTCCCCATTCCTCGGTAGAAGACTGCATCCTTTTTCCCATAATTATTCAGAACAGGAGGCCACCCCTAGCCCATTTTATAGGGAGTGAGGAATGACTATGGAAGATTTGGGAATGGGTGGAATCAGTGAAGGAGAGTGTTTGGAGAGATTAGAGCAAAGGCCAAGGTGAGAATCTGAGGGACTCCTGCACTTGGTGTCAAGATAAGGTCCAGGAGGCAGGGAAGGAGACAGAGGAGGAACACTCAGTGAGTTAAGAGGGGCACAGGAGAGCATGGTATCTCAGGATCCTAAGGAAGAAAGTTTCTAAATGTATCAGGTGGTCAGCAGTCAAACAGGGAAAGACTGGAGAAGGGGCCCGTTGTATTTAGAAGTCTGGCAGTGACTGGTGACCTCTAAGAGGGCAGTTTTGGGAAAGGAGCCAGAGTGACAAGTATCACTTCCATGGGGTAGACCCAAATACCCTGCAAGCCTTTCAAAGGTATAGGAATGGATCGTGTACCTTCGTTTAGAAAACTGCTCACCTGCAGCAAGCTGGGAGAGGAGGAGCAGAGCACCTAGCCCTGCCTTGGGTGGGTATAGGCCTTGGCCAAGGAGTCAAAGCCCCAAAGAGAAAGGGGAGGCTGGGGGTGCCAGGCAGCTGCAGACTCACAGAGGTAGCGAGCTACACTCACTGAGTGTGGCCCAGCCTGCAGCATTTAATGGTGTGGTTCAGGAAAGTCAGAGACAAGCTTCCAAGTCGGCCACCACAGGTGACAGCTGACACCTGAGCATGGCTGGCAGGGCTGGGGACTTGGACATCAGTGAGGCCTGTGTTCTAAGGACAAACCCCTGGCAGACACAGTCTACCTCCGTCCCTAGCTCCCCACATATACAGACCCACACACACACTCAGGTCAGAATACAGACATAGGAAGTCTTAAAACATGTGTCCTGAAACCACAGACACAGGCATACTGACCATGAGACACAGAGATAAGGGACACTTGCTCACCCACTTCCAGATATATGCCCACACCCCCAAAGCTGAATAGTTCAGGGTCTATCCTCTGCCTTGACCTAGGCTTTAGGGAAGCAGGTCGTGAGTGGAAGAGGCGAGAGAGAGAAGGTTCAAGCAAGAGACTGAAAGGACAGGGAGAAGGAGGGAGGGAGGAGGAGGAGAGGGCGAGGGGGCCTTAGACAAGATTGATGGCCTCGTTGCCATTAAGAAAAAAATTAGCCGGTGGCGGCTATCATATTAAAGGGTGAAGAAGCCGTGAATTATTTTCTTAAAGATCTTATCGCTTACAATGATAATTTTACCTTCCAAAAGGCCACTTTTAATGAGGCGAAGAGCCAGGCAAAAAGTCATGATTTAATGCCGGGATTTTTTTTCAAAACACATTTTACTGCTTTTTGGTCCATGTTTAAAAAGCACCAGTGACCTTTTTTTATTCCGCTTGCCCCAGGTGTAATGCCGAGGCCTCTCAGGGCTTCTAACCTAGAGAGAATGAGAGAGAGAGAGAGAGAGAGAGAGAGAGAGAAAGCGCACAAACAGGAGCTTTTTCATGGGCCGGAGGTCGGGGTGACCCACACTGTTCCCCCTCGTTAGCATCTTCCTTGGGACCAGAGAAGGAGAAGAACATTGCCTGAGAGCACCTCCTTTCTGAGCTGAGGGCTGGGTCACCCATGAGGCCTCCCACTGGGCTTGGATGGGTGAAGAAGGAGCTCCACGTTGCAGAGAATCCCATGCAGGCCCTTTCCAGCCTCTTCTCTCCTCCAGCTCCTGGGGTATGGGCAAGTCAGGGAGCCCTGCCAGACCAGCAGCTGTCCCTTCCCTTTCCAGGGCCCTTGCCTGAGGATGTGCAGCATGGCCACCGCATGCGGGTCACATCCTAAGGCTCAGCCGGAGATGAAGGATAAATGGCTGCTCCATCTTTCCCAAATTGCTTTCTTTGGGCTGTCACTGGCGATTTGGCATGGTTTTCTAAGCTGGGGAAGACTCCTAGGGAACTGTGTGCTTCCGGCTCAGAGCTGTACAGGCTGGAGAAGGTGGGGGGAGGAAGTATGGATTGCTTTCAGGCCTCCAGGCACCCAGTTTGCAGCTGAACAGGCCTTGGCAAGAGCGGGCTCTCAGGCAGAATGTGCCATGTGGTATTTAGAATTGTGGTGATTGCACACAATTTCAAGCAGACAGTTTATTAATCTAAACTGCAGGCGTATGTAGAAGAGGCCATACAAGATTGACATGGGGGGATTAGTTTTGCTGGGGTTTTTGCTGGGGTCATCACCGTAGCACCGGGATAAATGGACCCACATACATCCCTAGCTGCACGTGGGAAACTCACATGCTATTTAATTTACTGTCTCCATTGTGGGGCTGCCATCAGCCTGTATTAAGGGCAGGCGGGGTAGCGGGTATATGGCTTTACCCACAACCCTTCATGGGGATCCCAGAGTCTCTGCTCTCCAAGGGAAAACAAAACATATATAGTCTCAGCCTACTCGGAGTGGACTGGGAGTCTCACTCCACTGGGACAGAGATTAGCCTAAGCAGGGTCCCTCAAGGGGTCTCTACCCATCCCTAAAACCAAGCCATGCTCTCCCACAACCACACTCCCAGGACTTGACCCCATGCCTTTAGAATCTCAAGAGTGGTCTTTCTATCCCTCAGCCTCCTTCTCTTTGCCTGGCTCCCCAAAGCACCACAGGACTGGGAACTCTAGGGACTGACTGTAGGTCTCATTTGGCCTGAGGCCACATGTCTTTTTTCTTCTTCCAGTCCCTCCTGTTGTCTGCTTCCATCAAGAGGGAAGGAGAGTCTCCAACGGCATCACCCCACTCATCTGCCACCGATGACCTCCACCATTCAGACAGATACCAGGTGAGGAGGGGTGGTGAGTGGCCATGAGAAGCAAGCTCACCTGGGGGAGGGCTTCAAGAGCCTGCCCGGTGCTAACTCCTCCTCTCCTCTGTAGGCCACAGGAGAGGCCTGAACTGGGTTTGGTTCCCCCTGTGTCCCGTGCCCCTAAGTGAACTCAGGAGGCATACGTGTCAGGGAATAGGCCTTAAATAGATGGATTTTAGGGAGAGATGCCAAGGTCACATGGGCTCCATGGGCTCTGAGCACCTCTGAATCATTCTATCCATCAGGAAGTATCCTATGGGGTTTGGTTTCATAAGAGACCCAGATACATAGCCCAGAATCACCTGAAGATTTCAGACTTCAAAAGCATGATACCGGCCGGGTGCAGTGGCTCATGCCTGTAATCTCAGCACTTTGGGAGGCCGAGGCAGGCAGATCACGAGGTCAAGAGATCAAGACCATCCTGGCCAACATGGTGAGACCCCATCTCTGCTGAAAATACAAAAATTAGCTGGGCATGGTAGCGTGTGCCTGTAGTCCCAGCTACTTGGGAGGCTGAGGCAGGAGAATCGCTTGAACCCAGAAGATGGAGGTTGCAGTGAGCCAAGATTGCACCACGGCACTCCAGCCTGGCGACAGAGTGAGACTCCATCTCAAAAAAAAAAAAAAAAAAAAAAAAAAAAAGGCTAGGCGTGGTGGCTCATGCCTGTAATCCCAGCACTTTGAGAGGCCGAGGCGGGCGGATCACGAGGTCAGCAATTGGAGACCAGCCTGGCCAACATGGTGAAACCCCATCTCTACTAAAAATACAAAAATTAGCCAGGCATGGTGGCGGGCGCCTGTAATCCCAGCTACTCCGGAGGCTGAGGCAGGAGAATCACTTGAACCCGGGAGGCAGAGGTTGCAGTGAGCTGAGACCACGCCATTGTACTCCAGCCTGGGTGACAGAGCAAGACTCCGTCTCAAAAAAAAAAAAAAAAAAAAAAAAAAGCGTGATACCTTAAGCAAATAACCATTCAATTCTGCCAAACCTTGGTATCAGGCCCAGATAGAGAGACAGGCACACACTGCCTGTGAGTGTCTTGGGCAAATAGGAAGGGAGTCATCACACAGTCCTACAATATCATAGCAGAGGGGCCTAAGGGTAGCATCTTAGCTATAAACGGACCTTCTCTGGAGTAGGAAGGACAAAGAACTTCCCCCAAAACTTTTGTCTAAGGAGAGGCAGAGCCCTGTCTTTAAGAACCCCAGAGCCGTTAGATGAAAGAGAACAGTGCCCTATTCCAAGGAACATTTGTCCAAATGGCAACAGGGCTTCGCAGGGAGGCCCAGTGTGAGAAGGGAAGAACAGCCCTGATCTGATACAGAAAGACAGGGCTGCAGGGACCTGTAAGCTTGGGTAGAGAACCAGGGGCCCTGCTGGCACACCTGACCCTTTGTGGGAATTAAAGAAAGGTGTTCTCTGCACCCCTTCCTTCCAGCTGACACAGCCTGGCCTGGCACAGGGTGCAGAGCTTGGAGAGTAGAGTGCCCAGCACGGCTGGACAGACTCCGCCGAATGCCTTTGCATGGGACTCAAACTGCATAGCCCAAAGTGCAAGCCCTGGGAAGGGATCCCTGCTCTCTCTAAGGGAACCCCAGTTTCAGAAAGGAAGCCCAATAAGCCCCTGGGAGACACTGCCCCGATCCAGACAACCCTGGTTCAAGGCAGAGAAATGACCAGACCCCAGGGAATTCTGATCTGATAGGGAACAGAGACAAGGCTTTGTTCCAGAGCATTCTGGTCCAGAGGAATAGACAGCCCCACCTTCAGAGGCCTGTCCTCTGTACTGCACTCACGGCATGCGCCTTGCCATCTGTTCAACTAGGAAAGAGTAACCATCAGGCAACAATGCCTCAACTCCCTGACCCACCTTCCTCCCCACAAATGTCAGTATTTCTTTTATCTCCTAGAGACTATGAGGAAAGCTATGGACTCTCTTGCCTAAAAACATACGCATGTGTTTTTACATACACACAGGCACACACACATGCAGTGTTATACATACAACTTCAGGAGGTTAGGAAAGCTCTAGATCCCATCCCAATACCACTTGGAGATCTCTGAAGCCCAGGTTAAGACCCAAGACCCTGTTCTAGACTCTAAGCACACCTCCGAAAGGGCAAATCAAACTAGGTTGTGTCCTACAAGATAAAGCTGAAGCTCCTTATCATGGCAGCGAGGCCTTCTGTGATATAGATTCAACCTATATTTCCAGCTTCCATTCCAAATACTGTCCATGAATCCTATGGGCTATGCTCACTGAACTAATGCTAAACACTCCCTGGATGAGGCATTCCTTTCTTGCCTCTATGTCTTTTCACATGCTATTTCTTCTAACAGAACTGTTTTACCCCACTACATCAAATTTCTATTTATCCTTCCAAATCCTGCCCAAATATCATCTCCTCCAGGAAGTCTTTCTGGATTAGCTATCTCTTGACCCTTGTGTGTCCTGGTTATTGCCCCGTCACCCTACATTGTGATCACCTGTTCAGGTATGTTTCCGTTATCTACAAACCATCCCAAAACTTAGTGGCTTAACACAACTCATTATTTATGATGCTGTGGTTGACTGGGCATTTCCTCACTCATGCAGCTCATTCATCCTGGAGGACTGGCTGGGCTGGAAAGTCTAAAATGGCCTCACCGCATGTTTGGGAGATTGGGTGTCTTGGCTCTCTTCCATGTGGCCTCTCATCCTCCAGTATGTTCAATCAGCTTTCTTACTTAGCAGTCTCAGGGCAGTGTCACACCAAGAGGGTAAATGCCAAAGCCGCAAGGCCTGTTGAGGCCTAGAATCTGGAACTCACACATCACTTCCACCACTTTCTATTAAGCAAAGCAAGTCACAAAGCTAGCCCATAATCGAGTGATGAGGAAAGGCAGCTCTTGATAGGAGAAGATGCAAATAATTCTGGCCATATTTAATCTTTCACAATGAATCTGACTCCACTAGACTTGGAGTTTCTCCAAGGCAAGGACCTTGTCTTATCCTTCCTTTACTCAAACATTTATTTAGTACTGACTCATGTTCAGCTTAGTGTCCTTGCCTTCAAGGGGTTAGATTTGCAGATAGACAATTATGGTCCAGTGTCTTGAGTGCTATGACAGGAGTATAAATAAGTTTCTAGGGGCCAGGCACAGTGGCTCATGCCTGTAATCTCAGCACTTTGGGAGGCCAACGCAAGTGGACTGCTTGAGGCCAGGAGTTCAAGACCAGCCTGGGCAACATGGCAAAACCCTGTCTCTACTAAAAATATAAAATAAAAAAAATTAATAATAAAGAATACGTTTCTAGGATACTACAGTAGAAGGAGGAGAAAATCAGAGTAAGCTTCACACAGGAGGTAATGACTGAAAACGGACTCAGAGAAGGAACAGAAGTTCACTTGGCAGACAAGGAAGAAAGGTTACTCCAGATATAAAGACAACACTATGTAGAGAACATAGAGGTGTAACAGAATGATGTATCTGGGGACCTGCTAGCAGTTTGCTTTTGTTAGAAAGTAGAATGCAAGGAAAGTTAGTAGGTGAAGCTGGAAAGCAACCCAGAGACTAGCTGGGTATCCCATCCCTTGCTCTTTACACAAGGCCTGGCATGTAGTAGTTGTTCAGCTATGTCGGATTTTTAAAGTCACTGAGCTAGGCCTTGAAACCAGGGGGTATTGGTTTCTGGGGTTTTGTTTTTGTTTTTCATAGAGACAGGGTCTCACTATATTGCCCAGGCTGGTCTTGAACTCCTGGGCTCAAGCAATCCTCCTGCATTGGCTTTCCAAAGTGCTAAGATTAAAGGCATGAGCCTTGGTTTCTGGTTTGAATTCTCATTTACTTAGCCCCTGCTGACTAACTAACCCTCTTTATCATTACCTCACTTAAACCTCATAGCAACTGTATTCATCATGCCCAGTCTATTACCAAGGAAACAGGCCTAGAAAGAGGTGACTCTTCTAAGAACACATAAATTGTAAGTAACAGAATTAGGACTTGAACTTGAGTCTGTCTGGCCCTAAATCCGAGATTGTTTCCCAACCCATCACTGGGCTCAGGGCTTATCTCATAAAGTCTTTCTCCCGTTCCCACTGGTGTCTCCTTCATGCAAGACGCTGTGCTGGGTAAATGGCTAGAGATGACCTTCCAAGTACAAGGGACAGATATGTAAACAAACAATCAAAATATACATGATCAAAGAGAAGCAGTGGAACTGAAAACTCAGAGGAGGCATCAAACCCAGGCTTGGGGGACAAAACTAAGTCTTGCCAGAGTCCTGAAGGATGAACAACAGTTAACCAAGCAAGGGATACTGGAGGGCATGGAGGCTCTCTGGCCTGGAGTGCAGAGCATGGAGTGCTCAAAGAGCTAGTTAGCTCTGCAAAGCTGAGTGTCAGGAATGTAAAGGGAGAGAATAGGAGTGAGAGAAGAGTCTGGCAAGGCAGACAGGGAAGGCCTATATGCCTTGATGGAGAACCACTGAAGGATTTAAAGAAGGAGAGGGTTAATTTTGTCCAATAGAAAGATCACATTGTGTGTAGTGTGGAGGATGGGTTGCAGAGAGAGAAGCTAGAGACCAAAAGATGAGACGGGAACAGCTGCAAATTTCGAGAGCTCGTAAGATTATGTATGACTGGAGCACAACGACAACCAAGGTAGGTACAACCATGGAAGAACAACTCAGGGCTGACTTGCCTTTGCCCAGTGCCATGCTGGGCTCTGGGTTCACCCAAATAATTCACACACGGCCCCAACCCTGAAGTGGTCAGTCCACTGATAAAAACTTCACAAGCGATGATAACGGCGCAGAGATGAATGTACTCTTACACAAGGCAAAGCTATTTTTCAGTTAGACCTGGAAGGATGAGTAGGAGATACAGAGGTGGAGATGAGAAAATTAGCGACCTTTCAATGTACACTTTCAGGATCTAGAAAAGGATTGAGTGTGAGGGATGGAGAAAGTGGGGTCCAGGACGACTCTCAACTTTCTTCTGTGGGCACACCTGAGTAGATAGTGGCTTCCTCTTATGAACAGGGAACCCAAGAGGAAGGCCTCTGTTTGGAGGATACTGAGTTCCATGTTGGCCATGTTGGCCGTGTGGGTATGCAGTGCCTATGGGAGCTCCAGGGGCCGTGCAGCAGACAGCTGACATGTTGGGAGTCCTCTGATAACAGAACTGGATGGCCTAGGGGTTGGGCGGGGATCGCCCACAGGCGATAGGGAATTCGGACGCCTTGTCCCCTGTAAAGCACCCAACGCGATGCCTCTGCCCTAAGGGCAGCCGCGAGAAAGGCAGGCACAGGAGGCGGGAGCCGGGGCCGGGCGATGGGGCGGAAGGAGCCCCGCAGCGGGAGGGGTCGTGGAGTGGGGTGGAAGGACTTCGCAGCCGCTAAAGATTGGGTGGGTAGGCTTCACGGGCGGTGGGAGGGACCCCGGGGAGGCTTCTGCCGGTTGCTACCCGAGTACAAACGGCAGCTTCCTGGTCTCTGTCCGGCCGCCCCCGCCGCATTGTGAACTTTCACCCCCAGCGCGCGACGGCGGCAGATCACGTGATTAGGGCCAACATGGCCGCCGCCGCCGCTTGGAGCTGAAGTGCCGCCGCCGCCGGGCAGCCACGGGGAATCCGCCCGCATCGCCGCCCTCGCCGGCCGGGCGGCCGTGGGGCCCAGAGCGCCGGAGGCCAGGGCTGGGGCGGCACCGCGCAGCGGCCACGGGGTCCCGTTAGAGCAGCGCCCGGCGGCTATGCCGAGAGCCCGGAGCGGCCGGAGGAGCAGAGGGGCCGGCGGGAGGGAGGAAGTAGGTTTGTTTACGGGCTGTTTGGGGCGGAGCAGCTTTGGTCGGGGGTCCGGTGCTGGGGCGGGGGCCAGGACTGCAGGCCGCGCCTGACGCTCTCTTTTCTTTTCTTGCATCTGCCCGCGATCTTCTCCCAGACCTTTCTGCGAGTACGAGCCAACCGGCAGACCCGACTGAATGGTGAGTCCTGCCCGGCCCCTCCCTCCGCCCCACCCCCGGCCTCCTCCCTCCCTCCCTCACTGCCTGCCGCTCCTGGCTTGCCTGGGTCTCTTCGACTCTGGGGCCCGTTGGCTTCTTCGCAGTCACGGCGCCTGAGTATGTGCAAACCAAAGCTGCCGCTCTCAGTTTCCCCGTCTGTCTAATGGAGGTATGGCGCCCAGCTCTTGCCCAAACCTCTCTAAAGGCCCTGAAGAACCCTGGGGGGGCAATAAGTGCCGGAGAATGAGGAACGAGCTACACAATTCTACTCGGGAGCTCAGCTTTGAATTTGCAAACTGCTGGGACCTCACTATACAAACCTGCAGGGCGCTGAGAATGTTTTTCTTCCAGTTTTTAATCAGTGCCCAGTAGTGTGAATACAGCCCCTCTGCTGAGACTTGACAATACAGTGAGATCTGGAGTTCCCACGGCAACAGGAACTAACTCATCCCAGGGCTCTTTGAGTTATCAGTCGGCCCACATTTCACAAAGGTGATCAGCGTGGGCTCGACAGCTCTTAGAGGCCTTCTCTGAAAGCAGGCCGTGTATGCACTACCTAGCAGCCCCCCTTTTGGATTCAAACCTCTGGAGCATTCCTGTTTGCTGAATACAATTGAATGATCCTAGCTTTTTGTGCTTACTGGGGTGTGGTATCTGGGGGGTGGCTGTAAGGGGTTTAGGGTCTCTGGGTCAGCTGGTAAGTGAGAGAGGCCATGGAGTTCAAGATCCCCAGCTCTTATCACTTGGTTTCTGCTGCCAGGCTGAGCCCTAGTCTGGAAAAGGGAGAAATTCATGATGGGCTGGCGCCATGTTAAGCACCATTCTCACAACGCCTCTGAGAAGAGTATTACACACCTTTTGTGAATAAGAAAACAGGCTCTGAGAGGTGAAAGTGGTTTGTTTAAAAGTACACAGCTGGGATGTAACTGAGCCATGATTCAATTGAAGTTTGTTTCCCACCAAAGCCCGTGTTTCTCCAACCATGCCATGCTACCTCCTTGGCAAATGCTTTGATTCTTCCTACTCGTACGTAGCCTCTGGATAGAGAACAGAACTTTCCCTACCACACTTTGGTAAGCTTAATTCAGGATTTAGAAGATGAATGGGAAGGTGAAAACCAAACCTGCCTTCCTTCTCTGAGAATTTGCAGATGAAGCCCAGTCCATTGGGGTGCTTTCCAGGGACAACAAGGGATCATCTGCTGGCCTGTGTGTCCTGAGCAAGGAGCGCATCCAGTATTGTGCCTTTCTTGACCATTCCATGAGATTCGTTTCCTTAGTCATTGAACATTGTGGTATCATCAGCACCTTCTTCCCCAGGGAGGCATTCCCTTGGTGTAGGCATGGTAGGGAGGAAGCTTTGTGTTGGCACACTGCTCCTTACTACACTTCTAGAACTCTCAGGGTCCTTTGCTCAATGCCTTTCTGATGTTTCACGTCCATTCTCCATCCCAGCCCTGGCTCTAGAGTGTCAAGGCTACCTAAGTCTGAGATTCCAAGAGTTAGGGCAGCCAAAATGAAGAGTTCTCGATCTGTGTCCACAAAGTCAAGTGAGGCACTAGGACACAGTCATGTCACCTATAGTGAAGACACAGGAAAGTGAAGAGATGGACTGGGCTACAGACCAAGTTTCCTCAAACTCCATGCCCAGTTCTGGCAGGATGGTAGCTTTCCTTTTGGTTTGGGTCTTTCTGGGGTTGCTCTGTTTTGGAGTTGGAGTAGCTCCCTGCCTCAGGCTCACAACAGGCAGGAGCTGGAGCCCTAGCACACTCACTGGGACCAGTCTTTGTTGATGCTGCTCAGTTAGGAGGTCCCCTTGAAACAGGAGGGCATTCTAGGTTGTGAAGTCAGTTCTGGTTTCCTATCTTGCCTTTGCCACTTTTTAGCTACTTGGACACGTACCTTGATCTCTCTAAGCTTTGGGTTTCTTCATCTGTTAAAATGGGATAATGCAATCTAGCTTCAGCAAGTGGTAGTAAATGAGCTACCTTGGGTAAGGTACTTGGCTGTGAGCCTGACACACGGTAGAAGCTTAAATTGTAACATAGCAGCTCTCACCTGTGTTCCCCTCCTAGATTGCATTCATGAGCTTCCCGTTAGGGTCACTGTCCATGAGAAAGTTCTTCCTGGCCCTGCTTTGGGGAACCTTTCCCTCCTTTGCTGGCTCTCCCCACTCCCCATCAGTCTGGTCCCAGAGTAGCCATCTCTGATCCTGCTGTGGCATTCTGGAAGGGACTAGAGGGAAGAGAGTTTCTTGTTTTGACCCCTTCCTGCTTCAGTGACAGGAGGGCTACAGAGAGGGATTAGTGAGCTAATTAGAAATGATTGCATTGCTCAGCATTAATTAGCAGTGTTGTGGGCTTGCAGTGTGCACTTTGGAACTGAGCCCCCTGTGGGACAACATGGCAGGCAGCCCTCTGCCTCCAGGGCCTGCCAGCCCCTCTGTACTGATTAGAAATGATGGAACAGGTTCGGGTGGGCACAATAAGGGCTGCCTTCTCAGGGTTCCCTGAGCCTTCTGACCTGGCTGCCAAAGGTCTGACCCAGACCGTCTTACCTTTATGACTGGGCCTCAGTCTCCTCTTCTGTGAAATGGGATTAGTGGACCTCAGAGAAATTCTTCCTGATAAGATTCTAGGTGGGATGCTAGGAGCTGTACCTCAGGGCTCTTGGCCCAGGAACCAAAGAGGATTTAGCTGATGAGTGAACAGCAGGCCAAGTCAGGCCATCGGAGGGGTTAGGTTCTAGTCAAGAGATGCTCTTTAGAGTTGTATTTCCTGACACCAAAAGAGTTCATGGTCTTGGCCTTCTGGAGAGATACCTAGCAACATGGAGTGTCTTTGCTCACTGGATTTTTATTAAACACTGCAAATAGAAAGGTATGGGTAGACCTTGCACCAGCTGCAGCCAAAGAGTGGACTTACTCACTGGCTTAGTTAGCACCAGTCTCCTCCCCAGGTGCTCTTGGCAAAGCCCAGTCCCCAAAGGAGCAGGAGGTATTTCAAGATGAGGGCCAGATCAGGCACTGAATAAAAAGGCCAATGGCTGGCAAGAGGTCAGGATGTGTCAGCTCCACTGGGACCCTGGGGGCTGCAGTGACCGTCTGCTTGTTCTGTGCTTTGTTTTCGGTTTCCCCGTGCAGCTCGGATTGGGAAAATGAAACGGAGGAAGCAAGATGAAGGGCAGGTATGTCCCCTGTGCAACCGCCCCCTGGCAGGATCGGAGCAGGAGATGAGTAGGCATGTGGAGCATTGCCTTTCTAAGGTAGAGGGGCCATCACCACCCACCTTCCTTCCCCGCTCCCTTCCCCCGACACTAGCTGCTGACTGCCCCTGAATCTGTGGGCTCTTGGGGTCTCCATGTGGTCTCAGCAGCTTCTTCCCTTCTGACCACTGCTCTCTCCTTTTGCTTTCACTCTCACTCATTCCCTCCTTGGGCTCCAGCGGAAAACTATTGGGAAGAGGCCCAGGTCTTTGACCTCTAAATTGGTTTGCTTCAAAGGAGCCCTAGAGCTGAGGGCCCACTTGGCACACCACAGCTGGGGCTAGAGCTGTGCCTTCGTTGCAGACTGTGGGGAGCAGGTGGGGATGGCCTGGGCCCAGCATGATCCTGCTCTGCTCTTCACAGAGGGAAGGCTCCTGCATGGCTGAGGATGATGCTGTGGACATCGAGCATGAGAACAACAACCGCTTTGAGGAGTATGAGTGGTGTGGACAGAAGCGGATACGGGCCACCACTCTCCTGGAAGGTGGCTTCCGAGGTACAAGCAGCTGACACGTAGACATTGGCACTCTGGTGCCAGGCCTCTGCTGGGTATCCATCTGCTGGAAGCCAAGAGGCCGAGGCTGGTGGCTGGTCATCCATCCGTTCCACCACGTGGGGACTGCTGCTGGTGGGGCTCCTTTGTGACCGTGCTGCCTGCCTGTGATGTGCATATTAAAATGGATGTATTTGGGTGGGGAAATGGAATTGTGAGGCTGCAAGCTAGGAGTGACGAAGGGGGGCTCTCAGCTTCGGGTGATGCATTGAAGGTGACAGCCAAGCCGCGTTAGCACCTGCATAAAATATTAAAGGGACGGTTATGCATTTATCACTCCATCCCTCTTAAGGCTGATAAATGAGAATCCAGCAACCTGCTGTACACCTCCAGCACTGGGGGCCCTGAGGGCTTCCAGGCAAACACATTGGATTTTCCTCCTCCTCCTCTTCAGCCCTATGTCAGGGAAATCAGTTACAGAGGAGAGTGAGTTATGGCAAAATTTGACCTCCCATGAGCTTCATTGGTGAATCTAATTTTAGCTCTGATCCCATCCCTTCTCCCTGGGCGCCCTCTGCCCTGAAGCAAGAGGGGCCTGGGCCCAGCTGCTCCCTCCTTCCCTTGGGCTCTCCCCAGTTGCTACAAAGGAGTGTGCAGGGCCCTGCCCATCTCCAGTGCCCTCCCAGCTCCTTGGAAGAGCAAGGCTTGACACCCCCCACCAGGTCAGACAGCAGAATTGGTTGGGTGCCCAGGGTTAGTGACTTGTTAAACTCCCCAGCCTTGGGCAGGGGAAAAGGGGAGCTGTCTGCCTCTTGGCCTCCAGCTCTTCTCTCTTTCTGTGCACAAGCACAGCTGGTACTGCAGCTTGTGGTCATTAAGTGAGCCAATCTGCTTCCCGTCTGCCTCTCTCTCTGGGCAACACCTTTGGGAATACTGCTGTGTATGGTCCCTGGGGAATCTCACAGCAGCTGGGAAGAAGTTCTCTGCCTTCGTGGGGCCGTGCTACCTGGGCAGATGCTGAGGAGTGGTCTCTGCAGGGCCGTCCAGTGCAGACTGGTTCCACGAAGGGGCTAAGAGCCCAGATGAGACATTATGCCTCTGGGCGTCTCTCACATTACCCAGGTGTTTGGGGGCAAGCCAAAACATAAATCAGGAAGGTTAGTCAGACCAAACAGTCTCCCTGAGCCGGAGCTGGAGAGTGTTAGTTTGCCATTTCACTCATCCCGTACTGGAGCCTTCGAGTATCTGAGGCCCTAGAAGAGTGAGCAGCAGGGCTGACGACTGTCCCATGAGTTGGACACATGGGTGTCCGATGGCAGCCACACAGGGTCAGTTTCAACGTGCTGCTCTGGTTAGCTCTGTTGGCAGCTGCAACTGCTCACATCCTCCATTGCTGTGGCACCTTCTTAGGTTCCTTGGCACAGACCTGGACCTGATGGCTTCTGGGCACCAGACAGGGCTTATGGAGGATAAAGCTGCAAAGGGCCTGCTGATTTGACAAGAGTATTTCCCCTGTGCCGGGATGCACTTGCACAGCAGTGTGAGGGGCTCTTAGGCCCCGGGCGGGTATCCGTTTTCCCTGAGTGTTTACACTGTGAGGTTGTTCCTTTCAAGAATTCCTGAGGGGAGTTCAAAGGGGGCTTTTCTTTGAGCGATTTGGAGAGCGAGAATGAGAGTGAGACTTGAAGAGGGAACAGGGGCCGGAGGTGCCTTTATCTGCAGAGAATTGCTCCAGCTTTCCTGATAGAAGCTGCTGCCGCCTCTTAAACAGCTTAGTGCAGTCAAAAGACAGGCAGACTTGAAAGGCTGTTTTACAGCGAGATCAGCGGGGGCCACGAGGCAGAGAGCGGGGCGCAGTGGAGCGGAGGAGGCTGAGGCTCCTCAGTGGGGGGGCTATCAAAGGGAGGCCCTGGCTGATCCCTACTGCCTCTGCCCCCAAAACCCTGTCTGCAAAAGCTGGCCATCTGTCAGCCTACCCTCCCTGGCCAGGACTGATAGGCCCTAACTCTTGGGGGGTTGGGTGTGGCCTCGCCAGGCGGGCTGGTGTCAGTGCAGCGCATTGATCGCCCGCCGGGCGGGCCGGGCTGCAAGCCGGGCAGCGCGTGCTTAATGTGATTGAAAGGCAGTTAAAATGGCGGTGACCTTTTCAGGAGGAATTAGATTGCCTGCCAAGACCGGTTAGAGGGAGTGATAACGCCAGCTGAAGAAGCTGCCCAGCAGACTTCAGAGAGAAGGAGGCAGAGGCAGGATGAGCAGGCGAGTGGCGAGGCCCATTTAAACTGCGCTGTGCGTGCTGACAGAACAGAGATTGCTGTCGTTGTTAGATATGAAAGAAGTGAAGAATTGCAGATAAGTTCCTGTATCCGATCACCCCCATCCCTCCTCCCAGAGTAGGGCCTCTTCTTCATCCTCAGCAAAGCTTCCCACCAGGCCCCTGGAGGTTGGTCTGATGGATCAGATCGGTTACCTCAAATGTAATCTGCTGTGGGAAGCAGTGAACGGGCAAGAGTTTCGGTGGAGACACTTGGCTGAGGGCAACAGGCCTTAGAGATGGGGACCTGTGGTTACTGAGGAGGAGCTCCAGATATCTCAGGCCTGGGAGTACTCGGATTGATATTTTAGGACAAAATAAAGAAGCAGACAGAGCAGGTGAGCACTGAGGTAGGTCCCACTGGAAACAGATTTTTGAAAAGACTAAAGGAAATAGGTATTACTTCAAGAAAGTAAGTTGGAAGGAATTTTTGCTGCCTAGGAGGCACTCTGACCTTCCCAATTCTAGAAGAAATACTTAAGCTGTGTGTCTAAGTTGTTGATTGTCCTTTCAGAACCATAGATTTTCTAACCTGCTACTGCTCTTTACATAAAGGACAGCACACAGAGCCTAGTGCGCCACCAACATTCCACTAAAAGAGATCCGCAGTTAGGGAGAAAAGATGTTTTTCTTGGGTACCATGCCAAACCTGGGCAGAGCAAGGGGCTTCTAGGCTAGAGAAGCAGACTACAGGGGAACCTAACTATACAGCCCTTAAGACAAGCCTGCTTCCACCTGTAGTCTAAGGAGGTGTGTGACTAAGGAGCCATGCCTTTCCTCTCCTGTCCTCCATCCAGCTCCTGGATCCTGGAGAAGAGACCTATAGTGGTGAACCATGGTCCCTCCTGTGTGTTGGTTGCCAGTGAGAGTTCACCCAACTGCATTGGGGAGCCCAGAGCTCCTCACATCTGGAAGGGACATGCTGGAAAGAGGACATGGGAATGATTGGTTTCAAATAAGGTGGCAATGATGTGGGCACAAGAGTGGTGAGATGGAGAAATTTCCCAGGAAGCTTCACAGGAAATGGAAGCCTGCAGCTGTATCTTTAAGCCCTGGCGGTGACTGCGTTGCTAAAATCCAGCATGAAGCCCCTCTGAACCAAACAGGAGGAGTGGGTAGGGAAAAGAAGGGTGTTAAGACAGTCAGCAGTGCAGGGTCTTTGTCCTGCTCAGGTCCTGGCCTGAAGCGTTTCTTATCTTTCATGAGTTCCTTACATTTAAGCCGGTTCCAAGTAGCTGGATGAGAAGTCATGAAGCAAACAGGCAGAGCAGCTGTGGCACAAATCTTTTCTCTTCTTTTCTTTTCTTTTCCTTTTTATTTATTTATTTTTGAGACAGAGTCTCACTTTTTCACCCAGGCTGGAGGCTAGAGTGCAGTGGCACGATTTCGGCTCACTGCAACCTCCACCTCCTGGGTTCGAGAGATTCTCCTGCCTCAGCCTCCCGAGTAGCTGGGATTACAGGCATGTGCCACTACAACCAGCTAATTTTTGTATTTTTAGTAGAGACGGGGTTTCACCATGTTGGCCAGGCTGGTCTTGAACTCCTGACCTCAGGTGATCCACCCACCTCGGCCTCCCAAAGTGCTGGGATTACAGGTATGAGCCACCACACCCGGCCTGGCACAAATCTTTTATCTGGCTATTTCTTGATAAAACTTCAGCGCCAGAAGTATGGGGCAAGGGGGTAAGAGGTGTTGTAAGCCCCAGGGCATGGGCACATAGGCCTTGCCCTAGCTGCTGCCTTCTTTGGTGTGCTAGTTCTCAAAAGAAGGGAGCCCCAGGTGCTAAAAATGTCCCCCAGTGCAGCTCTGCTGTTGGTCCAGCCAGTGACAGGTGTTGGAACAGCACACTGCTGGAGGCGGTCTTGGAGTGGAGAGGGTTGGGCTGCTGCCTTGTGACTCCCTACCATCTTTAGTTCTCTCTGTCGCCTGTTGGGAGGGGTGAGGAGAGGTGGCAAGGAGCAAGGCACCTTCTGTCCCCCGTGGCAACTGATGGGATTTAATCGCCTTTTGGAACACAATTGTTAAGCTAGGACAGAGGGAGTGCAGGCAGAAGGAGCAAGTATCAATGGTTTTAAACGGCGTCTGTCTCTCTGCGTCTCTCCTGACGTGAGGCAGTGAAACGCGTTATCGAGGAGGCCCGGAAAGTGGCTAAGTGCGTTTGACACACGCCAACTCCCTGCCTCCACACTGGATAATTGCATTGTCAACTGTTCAGCGAGGTGGCAGGTGACACTGCAGGCCGATTGATTGTCCCGCATCGCAGCTCCCCAGACTGTCAGCTCCCCAATCGATGGCGTTTACACAAGACACCGTAACTGCATCTGTAACTAATTCCAGTGTAAAACTCGCCGGAAGCTGCTGCCCCTGCCCTCCGTGTTGGAGAGCACAGGCCCCTGGAGGGCCCCGAGACGTTTCCTTTCTCCCTGGGCTCTGGTTTTGTTGGGAGCAGCAGGTGAGGAAATCGATGCCTCCTTTTTTGTGGTTTCAGGTTCCAGGACGATACTGCCCCCAGTAAACGGGCATCTCCAGTTTCTCAATCGATCATCTGATCAATTGATTAAATTAACACTGATTTTTTTTTTCTCCCTTCTCAATAACCCAGGAAGAAATGAGTTTATGGGAGAAGGGTCGTTTTTATAAAACGTAGACCTGTGTTTCATTTCTGCACTTAACTCTCTCCCTCTTTGTTGCTCAGTTTTCACTGTGAGGAGAAGGATATTTTTTTTTGCACTACCCACCCCGCCAGGAATGGACAACTCTGGCACCACCCTGCTGGGTATCATTGACCATCAGGCTTAGGTTGCCTATGGGTGGGGGCTCAGGCCTTTATGCCACTTTAAGCTGGGGCAGAACTGTAGCAAGAGGCCCTCCCTGGTGACTGAAGGGTACTCTGGGCCATCTTGGAGGTCCTGGGGGCTGAGTTCCTTCCCTAGATAGCAGTAGTAGGAGTGGCAGCTTGCCTGTTATCGCTGGAGCTACATGGAAGAGGAGCCAGAGACTTGGAAAGGAGCTGTCTGTGCCATCTTGCCTCTGAGTACTGGCTTGGGATATTCCAGCAGCTGAGAACATCAAACGACTGTGGAGCCTTCCTCTCCAAGCGGGAGGGGGGGCAAGCTGGCGGGGGCGCTGTCTGCATAAAACGGCTTTATGGCCGTTTCTTTTTATTATGATTCTGCCAGAAGTCAGCAAGTGACATTTCATTAAGAAAATAAAGTTTAATGTGCTGGGAAAGAGGTTGGAGCAGGCTGGGGCAGCACAAGAGTGAAATTGGCAGCAGCAGCCTGTTCTGAACACCTGTGGGGGTAGGGAGAGGTTCCCAACATCTGTCTCAGCTGGAGGATGGGGTCAGGGTCAGAGTGAATGGCTCAGACCAGAGGCAGAGGCCTTTTCTTTGGCAAACAAAGTGTGTCGTGCTGTCCATCCTGCCTCACTGGCCAGCGGAACAGAAAGCTGCTGCCCGGCTGGGAGCTGGGATCTGATAAGGAAAGTTGTATCCTGAGAGATTTCTCTAGGCCACCAGCTAACTAGGACCTAATAGAGCAGTGTCGCCAGTGTTTAGCCAGTACTGCTGGGGTGTGCTGTGTGGCACCAGCCATCAGCCTGGCCAGCTCTGCTGGGTGATGCTGAGATCACAACAGTGAGTCAAACTTGGGACCCTTGCAGCTTCCACTCTGGTGAGGGACAGTGACAATAGGTGGTAATAAATATGATTTTGGAGTTACACAGGATTCTGGGTGGACACCAGGGAAGGGACACCTGTGTATAAGAACGTGGGAAGCCCCATCTGCCACGCAGAGCACCATGAGGATAGGGATCAGATCTTGAAGCTCTCTATTCTCAACATGGAGCCAAACAGAGGATGAGCCCAATAAAGGTTGAAAGAATGGCATTGAGGTGAGAGTTCTTTCCTTTAGCAGGGATTTAGAGAGCAGCTGCTCTGTGTGGGCACTGTGAGTTAATGGTAGGAGGCATGGTTGGGCTGAGTCAGACTTGCCAAAGGAGCAGGCATGTATATTGTAGACCAGGAGGGAGAAGGTTCTAGGCAGAGAGCAGGAGGTGCGGAGGCATGGGGGCATGAGAAAGCACAGGATTTGGGAGACCACAGTAGCTCTGTTTAATGGAGTATGAGTCCTGGGCCAGGCATGGTGGGCAGTAAGACTACAGAGAAAAGGACTTCAGGCTACAGGGCTGCTTTCTGCGTTGAGAAGCTGGGGCTTTTCCTGGCAGCTTTGGGGTACCCTGTTTTCTCTGCTTTGCCATGGAGCCATATTGGGCTCACATGTGGTGCCAGGGTTCTCTGCTTTCCACTTATAAGGCAGGGCTAGGCAGGGCCAGGCCGAGCAGAAGATGTGAGGCCAGCTGCTGAGCTGCGTGTACTTGGGGAAGGGGGGTTGGCAGGACTTGGGTGCCGCAAGCTGTAAGTGAACCTGATAGCTACATTCTGATTGATGGTGGAGTTTGTCTCCCAAACTGTCAGAGGGTTTATGGAGGTGCCACTCACCCACAAGGCGGGAATTGCTTGTCAGGACACCTGGCCGTGTACAGGAGACAGAGCTGTAACTTGGTGTTTTCTCAGCTTAATGGCCCTGCTGCTGACCTGACCTGCCTGCTGCCTCAAGTGTGTCAGTGCCTCAGGGTAGAGGGCAAATGAGGACTGTCAGGGAGAGGTGGATTGCAGGCTGTGCCTGGCATCTTTCCTTCCCGATGCTGCTTGCCTTTGGGATTGGTGGTGTCTTTGTGAGACCAGAGACTGGTGGGGTAGAAGGGAGAAGGATCAAGACTCAGTGTTTTTCAGGGCTTGAAAAATGGAGAACATTCCAGATGGAGTGAATAGCATGAGCAGGGGTCTTAAGAGCAGCATATACAGGCTATGTTTGTGGTTTGGTGAGCAGCCTGTGTGTGCACATGCTTGGGGTTTACAGAGTGAATTAGTAGAGAGCAAGAGTAAAGACATAAATGGACCCAGATCTTCATGGATCTGGCTGAGGAGCCTGGGCTTGGTTGTGCATGCAGTGGGGAGCCATCAATGGTTTTGGAGCAGGAGGAAAGGTGGTCAGAACTCAGTGGTAAGCAGAATGAAGGAACAGATAAGAGGCCTGAGGACTCCCTACAAGACATACCCTAATGAGAGTATAAGGACCTGAGAGGAAAGAGTGGACAAGCAGAAATGTCTGAAATCATCAGGCAGATACTAAGCTGCTTCCTCACTTCTTTAAGGATTTCCTTGCTGATCCCAGTAGCCACAGAGTCTCACATTCTTTTGTCCCTGGCAGGGCTGTGCTGGCTAGTGAGGTGTGGTCTGAGACCCACTAGGAGGAAGTGGGGAGCTGGGGGGAACAGCTCTATAGCACTTGACCCTAGGCTATCAGGAAGGGTGGTCCTGGATGTCAGAGAGATCGCCTGGCAGGTGAGCAGGCCTGGTGTAGCCCCAGCAGCTCGCCCCTCCCTCTGAGCTGAGAGTCCGTCTGTGGCTGTGCCAGATGCACCTCAGGGGTCAGCCACTTGCGTGGCCCATGGCCTGGCCTCCGCTCAGCCTGGTTGCCTTCATGGACTGCTTTGAGAAGTAGGTGTGCATGCCTGTCCTCCCTCGTCTGTCCCTTCTTAATCCCTTTATAACTGCACTTGTCCAGGAATCTGGGCTGAGTGAGGTGGAGATGAATAATTAATGTCAGGCGCTTCAGACACCAAATATTTGAACAGCTGCCTGGTGTTTTTGCTGGCAAGGACCTAGCGGCCAAAATCAGGATGTTGGCCGGGGGTCCCACTCTGTGGCTCTGATTGGCCTTAGCCAGCCTGTTCTCTCCTCTGATGGACTTGTCAGGCTGGATAATGGGGCATAGGGGAGGCCCCACTCTTTTCCTGTGAAATTCCTAGACCTGAATTTTTCTGTCCTCTTACTGTTCTTCCTAGACCTGGAAGATAGGTGGACAGCAGGCCTGGGCTGAGTGTCCCCGAGGACGTGACATAATATATGAATGGGCTAGTTTATGAGCAGAGACCACTTGGAGCAGCATGCAGTAGCAGAGAAAGATGAGGTTTGCAGAGTGAAGGGCCTGAAATGTCAGGGTCAGGGGCACTGAAGTATCTGGCTCTATACATCCCAGGCCCAGGTTTCCCTCTGGGCCTTATCAGGTCCAAAGCCTAACCCCTACCTGGAGGCAACAGGAGGGGCACCCTTGGCCTCGTCTTGTCCCCAGGCCCTCCTCACACCCTGCTTCCCACAGGCTCTGGCTTCATCATGTGCAGCGGCAAAGAGAACCCGGACAGTGATGCTGACTTGGATGTGGATGGGGATGACACTCTGGAGTATGGGAAGCCACAGTATCCTTGGAGCACTATGGGGGCTGGTGGGGCTGATAGGGCAGGCACAGGGAATAAGAAAAGTAGCTCTTCTAGTATTCACCTGCACCACCCCCCGGGCCAGAGTCTCAGCTTTGGCCAGGAGGGCCATGCTCTCCTGAGGATTCAACCCTCATAGCCTGCTGCAAACTAGGATCCATTGTCCTTGACCACCATGCCAGATACACAGAGGCTGATGTCATCCCCTGCACAGGCGAGGAGCCTGGTGAAGCCAAGGAGAGAGAGGCACTTCGGGGCGCAGTCCTAAAGCAAGTGTGGGCACAGGCTTGGGCGGGTGGAGCAGAGAAACAGGAAGCCCTGAGGCAGGGGTTAACGCAGTACTGACCCTCAGGGCTGTCCTGCCCGCCTTCAGGCCTCACTTTGTTTTTCCTCCCTCCTTTCCTCCAGTGGCGGCCCTCCCAGCACGCGCATCACACCTGAGTTCTCTAAATGGGCCAGTGATGGTAAGTCCTGCCCCAGGTTAGGAGTAATGGGGGAGAGGGGGTATCCCTAGATGGTGGTGACTGACTCAAGCCCAACCCCTCACCTGTGCTGCCCAGTCTGGCCGGAGTGTGAGTTGCCCCTCTGTCCCAGCAGAGATGCCATCCACCAGCAATGGTGAAAGCAGCAAGCAGGAGGCCATGCAGAAGACCTGCAAGAACAGCGACATCGAGAAGTAAGTGTTTGGCCAGGAGAGAGCCCTGGGACCACAGTTCAGTGGGAGGAGGGGCCCTTTGCTAGCAGGAAGGCCTGCTGCCAGGGCTTCTGGCCCTCCCAAGTGCAGCTCAGTGCTGCTGCCCTGGGCACACGGCCGGCAGTGGAGCCCAGCTGGTGCTAAGCGTGACTCTGTGAATTGATCACTGGGCCACGGCCCCAGAAGCCTTGGCGGTGGGAGGAGCAGTCCACCCGCCTGCCTGCCTGCCTGCCCGCCTGCTGCGGCGGCCTTCGCCCGGGGAATGTGATGTATGGCCGCCCAGCCCAGCCGGCACACTTGATTCATCTCCAGTTTCTGTTTCTTAATCGGGAGCTAAATTGGTTTCATTTTTCTTGTCCCGGGTGGCACTCGCAGTGGATTTTAGGCAGGAACATTGGGTATCATCACTTCTGGTAGGAATTTTTGGCCTGGGTTCTCTGGCAGAGGAAAAGGGATCCATTAGCACTTTGCCCAGGGCTGAGCAACCCCTGGCCTGGATCCCTGGGAACCACAAAGATTTGGTATCAGCTGGGCATCTTCCTGCCTTCCCAGAAGCCCAAGGAAGGCCAGTTCTGGCCTCAGGAGATGGCATTGTCCAGTCTAGGCTGCCTGGTGCTGCTGCCATTGGTCATTGCTTAACTCCAGTACCCACCCCACCTTCTGACTGCAGGCTAGGTTGCCTGGGGTTAAAAGGCAGCCTCTTCATTCCAGGGCCAGTGTTCCATCTTTGCCTCCTGCCAGGAGAGTGGATTGGAGGCCGGTGCAGGGCCGGGTCGGTGGCCCAGGGTCACCTCCCATTTGTTTCCCTCCATTTTGTGTTGTCATAAATTCATTCCAGCCCGTTGTGGTTGATCAGTTTATCTCGGCCGGGGCCGCGAGTGCTGCTGGCATGATGTATGGGCCGCGGCGCAGGGCCCGGCTGCCCATGAATCACCGCAGCTGCTCCGTGTCAGCGCCGGAGCGGGCCGTATGGGTTCTGCGCAACCAGCTTGTGGTGGGGAGGAATGACGTATGGATGTTTATTTAATAATTCTCTCCTACTCCAGCTGAGCAGGGCGGGCGGGGTTGTAAGGGGCACCCACCCTCGTCTGGAGGGGCTGCTCATAAATCAGAAAGACAAGATCATTAATCAGGGATGGCGCCCGAGGGGGAGGTGGGGGCAGAGCCAGTGGCTTCCATGAAGGTACAACCCACCCAAGGCTGGGGGGAGCCAGGATTTCTGTCCCACCTGTGTGAGCACAGGCACCCGTAGGCAGGGATCTCTATGATGAGGTGGAGACTGGCTCAGTCATGTGCAGAGCTCTCCACTGGGTCTGGATCTGCTGAGACTGGGGCCCATCAGTCCCCGTGATTTCTCTATTTCTTGCCCTAGATCTGTTTTACTACTCAGGGAAAAGGAATGGTAGGATGCCATGGCTCCTCCAGGAATCTCCCCACCCCATGCCCTGGAGGGACTCAGGAATAGCTCACAGCCAGCCTGGACCAGGGGTTGGAGGCTTGGGTATTTCGCCAGAGCCAAGATTGGAGGGCAGGTGTGTGCTGAGCACATCCAGGATAGGTAGGCTCTGGAGTTGGCTATTGGCCTTCAGTGGGGCCTTGTAGCTCTTGGAGATGGCATGGGAAATGGCTTCATTCTCTCCTGGCCTCATCCTTCTTTGCCATTCCAGCTCTAGTTCTCTGATTTGGGGTTTGGGAGTTAGTTCTCCATTCTGGTGTAGGCTGCCCCCAGCTGCAGGCCTTAGTTTCCCCATCTTTGACATAACTATATAGGACTAGGCAAATTCTCAGCTTAGTCCTTGGAGTGGAAGGGAGCACAGCTACAAATCCTTGTCTCCTTATCAGGAATTTACCTGTAATCCAGATGGGGATGGCACATATGGCATTGTGCAAAATGCCAGGGAAGGAGCCTGCTGTTCGGAGGCTTGTGAGGAGGGAAGGGATGGTAAAGGCTTCCAGAGCCAGAGAGCTAAATGGAAGCCCCCAGGGAATCAGCCAGTACCAGGAGGAAAGAGTCAGAGCCTTTCTTGGCATCCCTGGAAAGAGGCAAGGCAGAGGGAATCATGGACCCTAGGGTGATGGATTTAAGTGTCCCTGATACAAGGACACAGCCACTAAGGAGTCACGCTCTGTGTTGCTGCTAGCTCCCCAAAGGAAAAAGGCCAGAGATTGAAGTTGTATTGCCCATGAAATGGGACCACTACCCTCCCTGCACTCCCATTACCACTCACATCCAGCAATGACAGGCCACCTGTAAGCTCTCAAGCTTCCTGAGCCAATTGTCTCCCCTAAACTGCAGAACAGGTGCCCCCAGGAGACTGTCCTTGCCCAAAGTCCACGTCCCTTATGATTCCCCCGCCTCAGTCCAGCCTCTGCTTCCTGATTGAGTACATCTGTGAAACCTGAGCTGTTCGTACCCCCACTCTTCCAGCATCCTCAGCAGCTTCCTGCTGTCCACGAGATAAACTTCAGCTCCTTCAGGTGTGGCATTTGAGGTCCTCTTGCATGCCATCTCCTTTCTTACTGTAGCACTTTGCCTACATGTGGGCCTTCTAGCCAGACTGGGCTCTTGGGCCTCTTGGCCTCTGTTTCTGCTGTTCCCTTGGCCTGGAGCCCCACCTCCTCCTGGGTGTAGCCAGTATAGTCATGGTCAATCACACAGTTATTAGTTGATCATGGAATCAGTCTGCCAGGTTTGAATCCCATCTCCCTGACTCTGTGGGGACCTTGAGCAAGCTACTTAATCTTTCTGTGCTTTAGTTTCTTTGTATATAAAATGGAGATATTAGAATCTTATGGGGTTTTTGTAAGGTGTAAATAAGATAATTATCAATCCCTCAGTACAATCTCTGGCATTTAGTAAGTGCTTAATAAATTTTAGCTATTTTATTTGTATTATCATTATTATTCCCTAAGGCCAGTCTCCTATACCATCTTTTCTACTTTTCCAGGAAGCATTCTTCTCCATCTGTGAGCTCCCCTGGATCCTGTTCATTTGTTTTAGGAGGGTGGGAAGGTTCCTTGAGAGAGTCCTAGCTATTCCCTGTTCAGCAGTGCAGCCCAAGGAGTCCTGGAAATGCAGGAGGGACCTTCAGGTGCAGGGCTTGGCCCACACACAGGACTACCAGGGCATCTGATATATCTAGGAAGTAACAAGGAGCCCTGGAGGCAGGCCAGGGCTGTGGCAAAGAGACCTAGATCATGTGGGACACGCCTAGTCCCTGCATCTGTCCCCCTCTCCCTGGAGTTTGGACGGGCCCTTTCTTCAGCAGGTGTTTGCTCACGTCCCATGCCTGAGGTGGGGCTCTTGGCCATAGTCAGTATTGGTGGAGTGAGCAGCCCGCCCTCAGGGAACCCATACTCAGGAACTTTACACTGCTGTGGTGGAGTTCACACGGGGGGCTGTGAGAGCCACTGTGCAGTGCTGGCTCAGGGGTCTGGAAAAGGCTTCTGGGAGGGCATGGGAACAAAACTAGATCTGAATGATGAGGCAGAGCTAGTGAGTCAGGCGAGGGGGTGCAGAGGGATCACAGTGCAGAGGCCAAGGCAGTGAAAAAGGTGGCGTGGATGGTGACACATAGGAGTCGAGCATAAAATGCGTGGCAAGGTCCTCAGGGGTACGGCGGGCTGGGGCTGGACCAAGGAGTGTAGTGGAGCTCTCTACTCCAAGGGGGACATTGGAATGTTGGAAGTCACACCACGAGAGATTTGCTTTGAGAACATAAATTCCTCTAGGCGCTGGGAGAGTGGAATAGAGATGAGGGGCCTGGAGGCAGAAAGGCTGTCTGGAAAAAGTTAGTGGTGGAATTGGTGGAAGACATCTGAGAGCCTGGACTCATGGTGGTGAGGAGAGATGCCGGAGATACTAGGAGAGATGACAGATTTGGGTGGTTGGGAAGACTGCGAAGGAGTGGTTGAAAATGGTTCCCTGGTATCTGGTGTAGAAATTCATCCGAATGGGAATGGAGGAATAGAGAGGGTGAGGAGTTTAGTTCTGGAATGTGGAATTTGCAGATTCAGGTTATCAGAGAAAGGGGGCAGGCAGGGATGCCTAGGGGACATTTATGTATTTGGTTCTGGAATTCAAGGGAGGCGTAGGCTGGAGGTACAGATGAGAGATGCCAGCCTGCTACCCAACCATGCCTTCCTTTTTACAGAATCACCGAAGATTCAGCTGTGACCACGTTTGAGGCTCTGAAGGCTCGGGTCAGAGAACTTGAACGGCAGCTATCTCGTGGGGACCGTTACAAATGCCTCATCTGCATGGTGAGTAGAAAAGAACCTAGGGGTGCCCTTGGTCAGGCTTCCACGCCCTCTGGGGGAGTTGGAGAGGGTGGGCCTACCTCAGAGTGACCCCTTCTCTGCCCCCTCCTCCCTAGGACTCGTACTCGATGCCCCTAACGTCCATCCAGTGTTGGCACGTGCACTGCGAGGAGTGCTGGCTGCGGACCCTGGTGAGGTGGCATGGGGGTCGGGGAATGGGAGGCCGCTCCGGGCACTGCCCAGATGTCTGTGCTTATGCCTGAGCCTGCCTGGGGGAAGTGGGGAGCATGGCGCAAAGGAGAACAGAGCCAGGAGCCAGGATATTTACCCGCAGGATATTTACCCCCAGGCTCGCTGCCTCTCCTCCCCAACTGCAGGTTTAGGAACTTCTCCCCCTCCATGAGTTCACTGCATTCTCCCTTCCCCGCCCCGGTCCCCGAAGGCCCACTGCATCACACAGACTGGTGAGGCCTGGGGTCAGGAGGAGGCTGGCTGTAGGTAAACAGGACCAGGGCCTTGGCCCCTCCCCCTCCCATTACTAAGCTCCTTCTGCTCCTGCCCCTGTTCTTCGCTCAGGAGCAGCCATTAAAATGTCGCCCGGAGACAGTAATAAAAGGCTCGGACGTGGGCTCTGTGTCCTGATCAAAGGCCGCGTGTAATCTCGTTAGGGCTGCGGCTGCCACAGCTGGACCCAGCCTTGTTCTCATTACTGGGGCTCCTGCTGCGGGGCTGGCCAGGCGGTTTGATCCTGGCGTCCCCCCAACACAGGAGCGTGCCTGCCTGCTCACAGAAGCTGCCTATGCGTCCCCAGCCTGGGCTGACAGGACCAAGGTCTCAGCACACACTGGTGCAGAGAGACATGGCTGCAGGCCCAGGTGCTCACATGCGCACACATGGCTCATTGTGTAGACCAGAGCCCTCCCTGTTCTCCCTGCAGGGTGCCAAGAAGCTCTGCCCTCAGTGCAACACGATCACAGCGCCCGGAGACCTGCGGAGGATCTACTTGTGAGCTATCTGCCCCAGGCAGGCCTCGCCTCCAGCAGCCCCACCTGCCCCCAGCCTCTGTGACAGTGACCGTCTCCCTTTGTACATACTTGCACACAGGTTCCCCATGTACATACATGCACATACTCAAACATGCGTACACACACACACATTTACACACGCAGGACTCTGGAGCCAGAGTAGAGGCTGTGGCCCAGGCACTACCTGCTGGCTCCCACCTATGGTTTGGGGGCCATACCTGTTCCAGCTCTGTTCCCAGGGTGGGGCAGGGAGGTGGGGGTTGGGGGAGTAGTGGGGCACGGCTCCTAAGATCCAGCCCCCATACTGACAGACGGACAGACAGACATGCAAACACCAGACTGAAGCACATGTAATATAGACCGTGTATGTTTACAATGTTGTGTATAAATGGGACAACTCCTCGCCCTCTACCTGTCCCCTCCCCCTTTGGTTGTATGATTTTCTTCTTTTTTAAGAACCCCTGGAAGCAGCGCCTCCTTCAGGGTTGGCTGGGAGCTCGGCCCATCCACCTCTTGGGGTACCTGCCTCTCTCTCTCCTGTGGTGTCCCTTCCCTCTCCCATGTGCTCGGTGTTCAGTGGTGTATATTTCTTCTCCCAGACATGGGGCACACGCCCCAAGGGACATGATCCTCTCCTTAGTCTTAGCTCATGGGGCTCTTTATAAGGAGTTGGGGGGTAGAGGCAGGAAATGGGAACCGAGCTGAAGCAGAGGCTGAGTTAGGGGGCTAGAGGACAGTGCTCCTGGCCACCCAGCCTCTGCTGAGAACCATTCCTGGGATTAGAGCTGCCTTTCCCAGGGAAAAAGTGTCGTCTCCCCGACCCTCCCGTGGGCCCTGTGGTGTGATGCTGTGTCTGTATATTCTATACAAAGGTACTTGTCCTTTCCCTTTGTAAACTACATTTGACATGGATTAAACCAGTATAAACAGTTGCTGCCTGTGTGTTATGTGTGTGGGGTGGTGGGGGAGCTAACTAGGGGAGGTGGGCTGAGGCAGTTAAGGGGTTAATTCCTGGTGGCAGGATGGGGGAAAGGACTTAGCTATAGGTGTATGACACTGTGCAGGGTTGGTCTGCTCTGGGGCCGTGGAGCATTTGGTTTGGAGGGGGGTGGGGCTGGGGATCTGGGCTCCTGACTATTGATGGGTAGGGGCTCTAGGTTAATTCTTTATCGATGCAGAATCGTCAGCTCATTAATCACAGAAGAGGTCAGAGCTTGGGGGTACAGAGGGGATGCAAGCTCTATCCCCCAACCTAGGCTAGGAGTGGCCACAAGCTTGGGTACAAACACAAGCCCCAGGCCTCTATCCCTTTCTGGTCCCCTGAAACATACCAGAGACCACAGTGGGATCACCCTATCAGCCTCCCAGGCTTTTGTTCTATTCTCCAAATGTATCTCTAGTGACCATCATCCCAGTGTAGCTACTGCCTAGATTCTCAAATGGAAAGAATGGAAACCCTATTATCCAGGATGGACCTTCAAGTCTCCCATGTGCTCAGAGAACCAAGGCTGGAGAGATGGCACTTTGACCCCCACAGCTCCCCACTGCCAGTGAGGTAGCTCAGCTTCCTAGATGCCTCCCAGGCAGGTGCTAAAAGTTACATGTAAGTCTTCACCCACAACAGAAAGCTGTTTGGAGAAAAACAGTCAAGGCCCCAGAGTAGCCCCATGACTCCAGACTTGCTTTGACACCTTGCACACCAGGCCCATCTGCCCAAATCCCCAGCCTTAGTTGCCCATTTTCTCTGGGATACCCACAGTGAATTCCTCAGAATTGGGTCCAGTTGGCAGCTCCTGCCACCCTTTGCACCCAGATGAAGCACAGACAAGTCCCCCTTGGAGCCCAGCAAAGGCCCTTCACAGCTCCACGCCCAGTTTGATGGCACCCAATATCCTGAACACAGGGATCCTGGGGATGTACACAGCCTCTGTCGAGGCGGGTGGAACAGCTCCAGCGATGGCTGAGGGTTTGGGAAAGAAACAGGTTTGGAAGAGAAGAGTGGGTAGGTGAGGGCAACGGAGAGATGAAGAGGAGGCTCTTAATGCCCAGTTCCTGTCAGGCCGACTTCTTTGATGTCTTTAGTCTCCCCTCCCACAAGCTTGGACTCAGTAGGTCCTTGATGGCTGGTTACTGCCACCCTGGGGGCCATATGGTCTCTAAAAGGGGCCATTAACCCAGAGTGAGGGCATTCCACTGAAGCCCGCCCTGCTGTGGGAGCCTTGAGCTGTCTCATGGCACAGGCTGCACTGCCACCTGTTGGCCATGGCTAGGAATGCAGCCACACAGCATGGGAATCCCTGCCACCATAGTGGGGACTCACCAAGGACTGATGGGATGCAGACAGAACGCGGCTCTGGGGACAAAGGATCCATCATCCCCAAGAGTCAGCTCCCATCCAGAGCTTTTCTAGCCATCTCCTTCACTGCCCCCTAAGCCCCGTGATCACCACGGTAAGCTCATTCAATCAAATATTTATTGAATACCTACTATATGCCAACATTGTGCAGTAGTGACTTCTAGAATGATCAATGATACTGAACTATCAGGCTGAATTCACCTCTTCTGCCTAGAGAGTATCTAAGTGGGTCTCCCTTCCAGAAGATGAAGGAGTTTGCTATTTCAGCCCAAATCCCCTTACCCTGGTTCTGGTCTTTAGGGCTTGGGAGTTAGCTCATCCCAGCTCCTGTTACAATGCTGCTGCCTTCCTGCCCCCCACTGTCTCTGGCAACTTTCAGCTTGCAACTTTCCCAGACCCAGCGGCTTCCTAGCAAAGTGTGGTAGAGCCAGGCAGGCCCCTAACCTCAGCTCCTCATCTGGCTTCTACCTCAGACTCCCAGGCAATGGGGTCAGAGGAGCCTCTCTGAGTGAACTGCCAAGTGGGAGCCATGTGAATGGTACTTTACACTGTAGGGCTTCGCCCTGCTGGAGCAAAGATCATAGCCCCTATCCGCAGCCTGACGCTACCCCTGACCGATATACCTTCCCTCTGGCATCTCCCCACAAAGGTCACCTTCCATTCAAGGAATCAAAACTCAACTCTGGTAACAGGCACAAAGTTTCAGTTATGCAAGATGATGAAGTTCTGAATTATGCAAGATGCAAGACTATTCAGTTCTAGAGGTCTGCCGTGCACATAATCTCTTAAATTTTAAGTATCGTACACACTTACAATTTTGTTAGGTGATCTTGGCCAGGCGCGGTGACTCATGCCTGTAATCCTAGCACTTTGGGAGGCTGAGGTGGGAGGATCACTTGAGCCTGGGAGGTTGAGGCTGCAGTGAGCCATGATTGCACCATTGCACCCCAGCCTAGGTGACAGAGTGAGACCCTGTCTTGAAATAAATAGATAAATAAATAAGTAAAGAAAAAAAGAGAGTAGGTCTCATATTAAATGTTCTTACCAGAGTTTAAATTTTAAAAAATCAACTAGGGCTCACCCTCAACACCCCCCTCCATTTGTCAACCTCTACAGCCTGCATGCCACAGGAATCAGCAGCCTGACTGTTGCACTTGTCCAAACACAACTGACTGCAAGGCTCCCACAGACACATGCCCAGGCACTCCTGCCCCTTAGGATTCTGTGGTAAGCAGACCACCAGCAGACAGAGGCCCCCAGGAGACAGGCCCATAGGAATTTTCTACTTAGGGGACCGCAAAGTCCCAAAGGGCTACAGGGAGTTGAACGAGAAGAGTGCCCGACAGATTGCAGGTTGTGGGGAGGTGTCAGGCATTTATTTCTGGAGCAGAGGTGAGATGGAGCAATGGCCTCAGCAGCGGACGCAGTTGCGCATGAAGTCGACACAGAGGCTTGTGTAGTAAGTAGGGTAGTCACGGAGGTGGCTGACGTGTGCAGATGACACGAAATCCACAGAACGCGCCAGGACCCGGCGTGCCAGGCGTGCCTCCACCATGCGTTCTATGTCTCTGGCCAGGACTACTTCGTCAGCCCTCGAGTAGAGGTAGAGCTCGGGCCAGCGAGAGCCCGCGTCCTGTAGCCTGTCATAGAAGTGGGTGTGGAAGAGGGCTGTGATGGGAGCAAGCAGGACGTGGAACAGGACGACCACCAGGGCAAAGGCCACCAGCAGCAACAGGCGCAGCATGGCGGCCCGGCGCTCCAGGATGGCTGCCAGGGCCCGCAGAGCCCCTACCAGGTTGCTGTCACCAGGAGCGCTGTCAAAGATGGTGCCCACCACACGCAGGCGGCAGAAGCGACGGGTCTGCAGGAGCTCCAGCACGTAGCGGTACAGCATGACGCCACCGTTGCTGAAGACATGGAAGAGCAGGGGCTCCTTCTCAATCTCATAATCAAAGAGCAGCTCGAGCAGCTTCTGGGCCAAAACACGAAGTGAAGGGATACCCAGTGACTCGGAGAAGAAGACCATGTGCCACGGGGCTGTGTATCGGATTACGATGCAGCCCTGGGGAGAGAGGCCTGGTCAGTCCTCACAGATGAGGTGGGGGTAGTGGGTACAAGCTAAGGTCAGAGGGGCCCAGCAACCCCAGCCTGTAGGACATAGGCCATGGGGCCCACAGCGTCAGCAATGCTCTGGGTCCTGCTTCAGCCTGAGCCCACCAGCCCGCTGCCCACAGACACAGGTGCCTTCTGGGCAGGGAAGGTATACTTAAGGCCCATTTTTGGACTAATTGCTTCATGCTGGCCAAGCCCTCTTGGCCTGGAGTGGTATTTGAGGCCCAGAGCCTGAAGCATATACTGGAGACACCTGGGCTGACCAGAGGAAGTCTCTTTACTCTGGTTCCCTCCTGTCTGTGCCCCGCACTCCCATCCTAGGCCTTGCACATTTGGGATGGGGCCTCACTGCTTGGCTATACCCTGTCCCAGCACCTCAGATCTGCACTGTCCCTACCTCCCAGACAGAAGTAGTACCCCCATGAGACCAGTACCCGAGAGCTGGCCTGCAGGCGCCAGCCCTGACCACCAGAGGCCACTTCTGAGCCAGGCCCACATCACTTTCATCACTGGTCACTGTCACCTTCCCTCTCTCCCAGGCTCCTAAAAACAGAGTCCATACTCTCTGGACTCAGGGACCTGACACTCAAATGTCCCTGGTTCCCCGGCCTGGGATCACTCCTCATATCTGCCCTGAAATTCCAAATACAGTAAACACTTGTTCCTCGAATTCTATAATCTGGGCCCAAACTCCCTCTAGGTTTCTATATTCCTCACGCTTGGGCCAAGGGTGCCACAATCTCCACACAGGTCCCCTTCTAGGTCAGTTAGAAAAGCCACCATGCCTGGCTCCTAATCCCCTCTCATCCTCCTGTTCAGAGACAAAGGGCCCTTTGTCAGGGGAATGTGACTTTGGAGAGTGCTGGGGTCAGACAGGTCCGGGTTCAACTCCTGGCACCACTATGTATCAATAGTAAGAACAAGGAGCAGCTTACTACTTTCTGAGTCTGGGTCCCCATCTATAAGATTACGGTGAAATTGGGATAACACCCACCTCATAAGGTTATGGGTAAAATTAGATGAAAAAAAATGTATCTCAAATGATCAAAGCAGTACCTGACACAAAGTAAACTCTCAACCAACAGCAGCAGTAATTAGTGATGTGGTAGTGACAAGGAGAAAATCGTATGGCCACAGTAGTTAAATGACCCATGGCTAAACAGGGATGGTCAGCAGAGGTACCTTGCCATCAGCCGCCTGACCTCCTAGCCCTGGAGTGCCTAAGCATCCCTCCCAAGACTCTGAAGAGGAGGCTGCTTAAGGCCACCCACATTCTCCCAAATGCTCAAATCTGACAGAGGCCTTTCAGTCCCCACTGTATGTTTCTCCCTGGCAGCATCTGGAATCACACACTCCTAGAAATATTATCTTGCAGCCCAGTCTCTTCAATAAGCCAGTAACATGAAAAAAGGGGCTGTTCTATAGCCTGGACGACATAGGGAGACCCCATCTCTAAAAAAGAAAAAAAAAATGGTTGGGCACAGTGGCTCACACCTGTAATCCCAACACTTTGGGAGGCTGAGGTGGGCAGATGACGAAGTCAGGAGTTCGAGACCAGCCTCACCAACATGATGAAACCCCGTCTCTACTAAAAATACACAAATTAGCCAGGCGTAGTGGCACATGCCTCTAATCCCAGACACCTGGGAGTCTGAGGCAGCAGAATTGCTTGAACCCAGGAGGCAGAGGTTGCAGTGAGCCGGGATCACGCCATTGCACTCCAGCCTGGGCGACAGAGCAAGACTCTCTCTCAAAAAAAAAAAAAGAACAACAACAAAAAAAATACTAGCTTGGCGTGGTGGTGCATGCCTGCAGTCCCAGCTACTCGGGAGGCTGGAGGCAGAATGATTGCTTGAGCCCAAGAGTTGAGGCTGCAGTGAGCTATGATTGCACCACTGCACTCCAGCCTGGGTGACAGAGTGAGACCTTGAATCTAAAATCAGGTGGGGAGGGGAAGAGTTCTGGATTTAAAAGAGCCTTAAGAAGAAACAAAATAACTAGATGCAATGTGTGATCTTAGATTGGATCCTGTTTGGGGCACATCCGCTGTAAAGGATGCTTTAGGGACAATTAGGGAATCTGAATATGGACTGGAAACTAAATGAGATCAAACAAGAAGGTGGAGATCATGATCTGAAAAAAGCAGGATACAAAGCAGTAGATTCAATAGGTCTCATGTAGGTAAAGAGAAGATATACCCCCCCAAAAAGCTGGAAGGATATACACTAAGTGTAAATAGAGGTCATCTCTAGGTGCTAGAATATGGTGTTTTTGTTTTGTTTTGCTTGTTTTGTTTGAGACAGGGTCTCACTCTATCACCCAGGCTGGAGTGTAGTGGCACGATCACAGCTCACTGCAGCCTCAACTTTCCAGGCTCAGGTGATCCTCCCACCTCAGACTCCCAAGTAGCTAAGACTACAGACACGCACCACCGTGCCTGGCTAATTGTTTCAATTTTTTTTGTGGAGATCAGGTTTCACCATGCTGTTTAGGCCGGTCTCAAACTCCTAGGCTCAAGTGATCCTCCTTTCTGAGCCTCCCAAAGTGCTGGGATTACAGGCATGAGCCACAGCATCCACCTTGTTTTCTTTTAAATAATAAAATATTAGAGTTTTGGGTTGGACTTTTTTTTTTTCTCTACATTCATCCTGTCCTCCCTATTGGAAAGTCTTCCTTTCCAAGACTACCCCTCCCCCAACCCTGCAACCTCAACACCTCTGCCTTCTCTGGGATCTTACTCCATCTACTTTCTCCCTCATGCCTTCTGCCCAAGTAGCATCTTTACCCCTGCCCTGTACAACGGCCCATTTCCCAAAGACTCTGCAGATTCTGCCACACCTTCCTGGGTTTTCATATCCATCTCTGGCCACTCCTCCTTTCCTTGTAGGACCCTCTTCATCTTCCACTCCATTAAGTTTGGGTTCCTCAGGACTGTCCTAGGCCCTCTTCTGTCCCTCTACACACTCCCTGGGGGATCTCATCCACTCCAGAGCCTATGGATTCTCTTCTAGTGTTCCGGTCTCAAAAAACACACCCCCCTCTACCCAGGAGGTGCCCAGCCAGAAACCTGGCATTACCCTGGGAACCTCCCTATCCCTGTGCCCATGCCCAATCTCTCATTAAACTACCATTCTACCTCCTGACAAACTCCTCAATCCATCACCTTACCTCTACCGACACCCCCAACTCCAAGGTCCTGACTACCCTCTATCCCTGGATCATGGCAAGCCCCTCTAAACTCACTTCTGGCTTCCTGCCCCACCCCTCCAATCTCCCCGCTACTCTGCAGCAAGGAACTTTGTTTATTTTGAGACAGGGTCTCACTTTGTTGCCCAGGCTAGAGTGCAGTGGTGCGACTTCGGCTCACTGCAACCTCCACCTCCCAGGTTCAAGCGATCCCTACCACCTCAGCCTCCCTGGTAGCTGGGACTACAGGTGTGCGCCACCATGCCTGGCTAATTTTTGTATTTTTAGTAGAGATGGGGTTTCACCATGTTGGCCAGGCTGGTCTTGAACTCCTGACCTCAAGTGATCTGCCCGCCTCAGCCTTCCAAAGTGCTGGGATTATAGACATGAGTCACTGCGCCAGGCCAAAAGGGACTTTCTGATTCACGAATCTAACATCACATCCCTGCTTAAATACCCTGAGGACCCCCTCCAAGCCCCACCTCTTGCCGGGTACCTGTCCCTTCATTCTTCATCCCAGCCATACTTGACTATTCCTGGTCCCCCTGCCTGCCCTCAAGGATCTCAGGCTAATGAAGAAGCCAGACAAGCCGAGCCCAGTGAGCAGAACTCGCAGCTGAAACTGCCCGCAGTGAGGCTGTCTGTAAAAAGCAACACCAGAGCCCCAGCCTCGGAGGTCGGGGAGAGACTTCAAGCTCAGAACTACATTTTCCCCCAGTCTCTCTCCCATTCCAGGGCCACCACACACCTCAGTCAGGCGGGATGTGGACGTGGGTGAGTGGAGGGATGCTGAGGGAAAGGGGGCTCAGCTGGCCTTTCTCCCAGGTGCCCCCCCACTGCTCAGTCCAAGGCTTCCAGCTGGCAGTTGGAGCTGTCTGTATGGGTACCCCTGCAGGAGGCTGTTTGGGGGAGAGATCTGGGCTGAGGAGGGGAAGGTGGAGCTGGAGGCCCAAGATGTGAGAGAGGCTTCCAAAATATAACCAGGTCCTGCTAAGGCCCTCTGCAGTTACCACAGTCTCTATATCCAACCTTGGTTGGATGAGAAGAAGCGTGAATCTCTTTTCCAAGAGGCCCTACTAGTCTGGGAATGTGAAAGGTGCCATGGGCAGTCATAAGACAGAAACTCACCTGGTGGGAAAGGAGGAGGTCCTGGGAGTACAAGCTATGTCCAGACACCCAGCCCTGGCTCCTGCTGCCCGCAGAGGCACTGGCCAGTTAATAGGGACTGGAGCCTGGGCTGACTCTACAACTGTAGGGCACATCAAGGGTGGGCTGCCCATTGTGGAATGCAGGGAGGAAGGAAGGGGAAGCCATCAGGAGACCAAAGGGGTCACGCCAGGCCACAGAGCTGGCAGCCAAGTGGGGATAATCCCACCAAGTCCCTATAACCCCATGGCCTTCCTCACAGGCTTTTTTTTTTTTTTTTTTTTTTGAGACGGAATCTCACCCTGTCACCCAGGCTGGAGTGCAATGGCACAATCTCTGCTCATGCAACCTCCACCTCCTGGGCTCAAGCGATTCTCCTGCCTCAGCCTCCCAAGTAGCTGGGATTACAGGCACGTGCCACCAGGCCGGCTAATTTTTGTATTTTTAGTAGAGACAGGGTTTGACCATGTTGGCCAGGCTGGTCTCGAACTCTAGAGGCTGTTCTTAAAGCCATTCCCAGTCCTGCCTCAAAGGTGGTCAGCCCTCACGGCAGCCCAGGGGAGAGGGCACCAGAGTACTCACCCTTTTGTGGTAGATGGCACTGTACTTGGCAAGGTTCTTGTCCTTGCAGCCACCCCAGCCCAAGAGAATCACCACAGGCTGCCGAGTTTCTGCCTCCTTCCCACCTGGGCTGGGGCTGTTCTCTGAAACACAGATGTGGACTGTCAACACCAGAGCTGGGGTGGGGGCGGGGGTGACTGCCCAATCCAGAGTCAGCAGCACTCCGGCTGCTGCAGGCAGGGAACAACGGGTGCCAGGCCCAGGCATCCTGCCAGCACGCATGCACCAGTTCCCACCCCGTGCTGCTCCAGCTGCCTTTCTGCAGGAGGCACCATGGGGTCACCGGACAAACCAACACAAGGGCACCTTTCTTTAGAGACTCGAAGACAGCCCAAGTGAGGAAAGTAAATACCTTGTCCACGCCCTTTCCTCTTCTGATCCAGGGCTCAGCGAACTACAACCCCGGGGCCAAACTGAGCCCACTGCCTATTTTTGTATGGCCTGCGAGCTAAACTAATTTTCACATTTTTAAATGGTTAAAAAAAAAATCGGCTGGGCGCGGTGGCTCACGCCTGTAATCCCAGCACTTTGGGAGGCCGAGGCGGACGGATCGTGAGGTCAGGAGATTGAGACCATCCTGGCTAAGACAAAAAAATACAAAAAAAAAAAAATTAGCCGTGCGTGGTGGCAGGTGCCTGTAGTCCCAGCTACTCAGGAGGCCAAGGCAGGAGAATGGCATGAACCTGGGAGGCGGAGCTTGCCGTGAGCCGAGATTGAGCCACTGCACTCCAGCCTGGGCAACAGAGTGAGACTCTGTCTCAAAAAAAAAAAAAAAATCAAAAGAATATTTTGTGACACGTGAAAATTATATGGAATTTAAATTTCATTGTCCACAAATAAACTTTTATTGGAACATGCCACACTTATCATTTACTTAGGGTCTATGGCTACTTTTACACTAAGAACAGCAGAGTAGAGTAGTTACAACAAGATCGAGCGACTCACAAAGCCTAAAATATTGACTGGCCCTTTACAGAAAAAGTTTGCCAGCCCCTGTTCTAATTCCATGAGCAGATGGAAGAAGAGGGTCTTTTCTGAGATGGAGTCTTGCTCTGTCACCCAGGCTGGAGGGCAGTGGCACGATCTCAGCTCAGGGCAACCTCCATCTCCCGGGTTCAAGCAATTCTCCTGCCTCGGCCTACTGAGTGGCTGGGATTATAGGCACCCACCACCATGTGCAGCTTTCTTTTTCTTTTTTTTTTTTTAAGAGTAAAAAAGGGGGTTTGCCATGTTGGCCAGGCTGGTCTCGAACTCCTGACCTCAAGTGATCTGCCCACCTCAGCCTCCCGGGAACAAGAAAGTCTTAAAAGGAGAAATGGATAGGACAGTGCAGGCAGGGACATGAGGCTGACTCTGGCCCATACCAAGCCACCTACCCTGTCCTGCCAGAGAATAGCCTATATTTATTGAGGTTTAACCCTTATAACAATACTCTAAGGCAGGTCCTCTTATTACAGATGAAGAAACTGAGGCAGAGTGAGGTTAAGGTACTTGTCTAAGCAAAGTGTAGGGCTGGGAATCTGGCCCCTGCTCCCCACCCTAAACTACTCCAGCACCATCTGTGCTGCCACCCCATCCACAGCTGGTGATATGCTAAGAGGCACAAACCAGCCGCCACCACCACCAGGGCTGCCTTTGAGGAAGCCTCCCTGCAACCTTGTCAAACAGACCTCATCTCATTTCCCCTGCAAAGTGAATACCCGCCCCCTCAGGGGGACTTCTGTACAAGGACCGTCTGTAGCCAGTTAATCTGCCCTCCCAAAAGGGCCGGCATGCACCCTTCCAAGGACCAAGCCACTTGGCTATGCTCAGCTGCCACCCTGAAATTTATGGATGCCGGTGGTGACCTGGCAACAGTAAATTTCAAGGCTAGTTAAGAGGATGGTAAATATAAATCACTAACCTTTGGACAAAAGGAAGACAACAATTTCCTGTGGAAATTAATGTGATTGAAAAGTTCAATGTTCCTGCTCTCTAGTGGTGGTGACTCTGGCCTTCGGAGATTAACTGCCCGCACCGGTGGGGGTCCCAGGCCTGGCTGCAACTCAGCCTGGAGCAGAAGCTGCCAAAGCCTCAGTCCCCTGCTGACACCTGCCAGCCCTCCCGGCCTCCACAGGTGCTGGCTCGGCCTCTGATAAGGGAGACAGTCCCACAGGTCTATCTCAAGCAGCTCCAAATATTCTCACCACTTTTCTCAGCCTAGTGTCCCCATCTTCTGCCAGATGGCTCTTCACCTGCACTGGCCTTTCTGGTGGAGAGGCCCTGGGCCTCAGTGGGGCCCCAGGCCAACCTTGCTGGGTCTGACTCTGCCCACGAGGCTCAGGCTGCGGCGGCCTCATGGAGGGTAATCAGCAGCTACCGTTTGAACCTGCTTTTGCATCTTCGAGACCCAGCAACTCAATTTCCAAGACCCTGTTCTGGGAGGCTCCCTTACCTCTGCAGCTGTCTGAGAACAGGCTCCCCCTCCCCTGCCTACAGGGTTGCCCCCATGTGCCACCACCGAGACACCAGCAAAGGGCTTTGGGATTTATCGCAAATACAGAGAAAGCAACCAAGGGAGGTCACATCCCCTGGCAGCCACGGGATGTCAAGGCCAGCCCCCACCAGCAGAGATGGTGCACTCCCAATTGCCAGAGGTTCAAACAGCTGCTGCTGGGCCTCCCAACTGCCCCTCCTCCTGAGGCTGGGATTTGTAACTCCGTTTTGCTGGCAACCTTGGCTTTACCAACTCAGGCAGGAATGACTCTTCACCCTCCATGAAGGCGAAGAAACCCTCAGAATTCTGGCACCCTGGAGAGACTGCCTACTCCCATAGCCCAAGCTTTCTGTAATATTCTTTATTGATTTCTTTATTTTTGGAGATAGGGTCTCGCTCTGTTGCCCAAGCTGGAGTGCAGTGGCACAATCACAGCTCACTGCAGCCTCAACCTCCTTGGGCTCAAGCGATCCTTCTACCTCTGACTTCTGAGTAGTTGGGACCACAGGCACGTGCCACCATGGCCCGGCTCATTTAAAAACACTTTTGTTGTTGTTGTTGTTGTTGTTTGAGAAGGAGTTTCACTTTTTCGCCCAGGCTGGAGTGAAGTGGCGCGATCTTGGCTCACTGCAACCTCCGCCCCCTGGGTTCAAGAGATTCCCCTGCCTCAGCCTCCTGAGTAGCTGGGACTATAGGTGCCCACCACCACACCTGGCTAATTTTTGTATTTTCAGTAGAGATGGGGTTTCACCATGTTGACCAGGCTGGTGTCGAACTCCTGAGCTCAGGCAATCCACCCGCCTCAGCCTCCCAAAGTGCTAGATTACAGGCGTGAGCCACCGCACCTGGCCAAAAGTCATTGCTATGGCTATTGTTATTCATTGCCACATCAGGATCATGATTCTTCCACCCTCTTGTACAAACTCCTCCCCTTTTCTTACTTATTCCACTGGCCGTATCACCCTCTCCCCTTCCTGCTGCTGACATCTGCAGGCCTCTGGCAGCTAACTTTGAGGCACTGAAAACTTTGGCCCCTGGCTGGATCTCCCACTCTATTCAGACTTACCAGAACCCTGTACAAGCAATCAAATATACCTTGTTCCTAAACCACTAAAAACTTCTCCAGCAAAAAGTGCTAACACACACAGCATGATGTGTCAGGCACTATTGTAAGCATTTTACATATCAACTCATTTATTATTCACAACACACCTGTAATCCCAGCACTTTGGGAGGCCAAAGCAGGCAGATCACTTGAGCCCAAGAGTTCAAGACCAGGTTAGGCAACATGGCGAAACCTCATCTCTATAAAAATTAGTTGGGCAAGGTGGCACACGCCTGTAGTCCCAGCTCCTCAGGGTGCTGAGGCAGGAGGATAGCTTAAGCCCAGGAGATCAAGGCTGCAGTGAGCCATGATCATGCCACTGTACTCCAGCCTGGGTGACAGAATGAGACCTTATTATAAAAAAAAAAAAAAAAAAGCCAGGTGTGGTAGCTCACGCATGTAATCCCAGCAATTTGGGAGGCCAAGACAAGCTGATCACCTGAGGTCAGGAGTTCAAGACCAGCCTGACCAACATGGAGAAACCTCATCTCTACTAAAAATACAAAAATCAGCCGGACGTGGTGGCACATGCCTGTAATCCCAGCTACTCAGGAGGCTGAGGCAGGAGAATCGCTTGAACCTGGTGGTGGGGAGGTTGCGGTGAGCCGAGATCGCGCCATTGCACTCCAGCCTGGGCAACAAGAGCGAAACTCCATCTCAAAAAAAAAAAAAAAAATTGCAATACTCTTATGAGCAAGAATTCTCATTTTACAGACGAAAACCTGAGGCACATACGAAACGGCTTGCTCAGGGTTACATAACTAACAAGCAGTGAAGCTGAAATCCAAACCCAGCTGGTCTAACTCTAAAGACCAGCTTGTATCCGCTATCCTAGCCAGCCCTGTAGATAACAAAACCATCTCCATCACCTCAGCTCCAAACCTGTATACATGGCTGCCTCCTGTACATCAAGAGACCCCATAAATGACCTCATCTACCTGCTTCTCCCAGCCAGAACTTCAATATATGCTGCCTCATTTGGTCTTGCAACCATCCTAGGAGTTAGCTACTATTACTATCCCCATTTTACATAAGAGAAAACTAAAACACAGAGAGGGGAAGTCCCTTTCCCCCAAGAACACACAGCCAGGAAGCAGCAGAGCCAGCGCCCACTATCCGGACCAGCGTGCTCTACCGCCTCCACCACCGCGACCTTGCACTTGCTCTCTGCTCTCCAGCCCACGATGCTGATGCTCCGTGTTCATGCTTTGCTAATGCCCATTCCACCTATAGAATCAGCTCACTACTTACTTCCAGGAAGCCTTCCTTGACGCCCTCCCCAACCCCTTCTCACCACCCCCCACCCCAAACCATCAGACTGAGTGAGGTGCCCCTCCTCTGTACTGCCACAGCACCCACCACCACACCACTGCACTTAACACACACTATACTGACATCATCAGGAACAGGTAGGAGGCTACTGTAAAATTCAAGGCAAGAGATGGTGAAGGCCTGAACCAGAGCAGTGGAGAGACAGATAGGGAGGGGTAGAAATGACAGGAAGAAAACGGTCACAAGAATTCTGGAACATGTATCAAAAGTCTCAAAAACATGCAATCTTTGCCGGGCGCAGTGGCACAAGCCTATAATCCCAGTATTTTGGAAGGCCGAGGCAGGTAGATCACTTGAGGTCAGGAGTTGGGGACCAGCCTGACCAACATGGTGAAACCCCGTCTCTACTAAATACAAAAAATTAGCTGGGCACGGTGGTGGGGGCCTGTAATCCCAGCTACTTGGGAGGCTGAGGCAGAGAATCACTTGAACCCAGGAGGCGGAGGTTGCAGTAAGCAGAGATTGCACCATTGCACTCCAGCCAGGGCAACAAGAGCGAAACTCCATCTCAAAAAAAAAAAAAAAACATGCAATCTTTGACTTGGTAATTCCACTTATAAGAAAGAAAAACGTTAAATCATGGAGAAATATTCAATAATACATTAAGCAGATCATAGACATAAATGTAAGAGCTGAAACTACAAAACTGTTAGACGAGAACATATGAGTAAATCTTTGGATTAAGTAGCAGTTTCATAGACATGCCACCAAAAGTACAAGGAACAAACAAACAAAAGAGATAAATTGAGACTTCATCAAAATAAAAACTTTTTATTTCAAAGGACATAATCCAAAAAAAGTGAAAAAAAGAAAAACCCCACAGCATGGAGAAAATATTTGCAAATCATGTATCTGATAAGGGAGTAATATCCAGAATACAGAGAAAACTCCTAAAACTCAACAGCAAAAAGTAAACCCAACTCAAAAATTGGCAAAGGACCTGAATATATTAAGCAGGTCTTTCTCCAAAGAAGATTTACAAATGGCCAATAAGCACATAAAAACATGCTCAACATCATAGCCATTAGGGAAATCAAAATCAAAGCCACTATGAGGTATCTCTTTATACCCAGGATGGCTATAATTAAAAAGTCAGATAATAAACAAGTGTTGGTTGTGGATGAAACCAGGACCCTCATACACTGCTGGTGGAAATGCATAATGGTGCAGCCACTTTGGAAAACAGTATGGCAGATCCTCAAAAAAATTAAATGTAGAGTTACCACATGATCCCACAATTTCACTACTAGGGATACATCCAGGAGAGCTAAAAATATACATCCACATGAAAACTTGCCCATGAATGTTCATTGCAGTCATAATAACCAAAAGGTGGAAACATACCTCCTATCATCTGTGAACAGATAAGCAAAATGTGATACATCCATACAATTAAATACCATTCAGTCATAAAAAGGAATGAAGTACTAATACACGTGATAGCATGGATGAACCTTGAAAACATCATTCTAAGTGAAATAAGTCAGATACAAAGGGGCACATATTATATGACTTCATTTATATAAAATATCAAGAATAGGCAAATCCACAGAGAATGAAAGATTAGTGGTTGCCAAGGGCTGGGGGGAGGAGGGAATGGAGAGTGACTACTAACAGGAATGGGGTTTCTTTTTCAGATGATGAAAATGTTTTGGAATTAGATGGCAGTGATATTCTTACAATTCTGTGAATATACCAAAAGCCAGTGAATTGTACTTTTTTTTTTTGTTTTGTTTTGAGACAGGGCCTCACTCTGTCACCCAGGCTGGAATGCAGTAGTGAGATCATGGCTTACTACAGTCTCAACCTCCCAGGCTCAAGCGATCCTCCCATCACAGCCTCCTGAGTGCTAAGACTACAGGCACATGGTACCACACCTGGCTAATTTTTTATTTTTTGTAGAGACAGGGTCTCACTATGTTGCCCAGGCTGGTCTTGAACTCCTGGGCTCAAGCAATCCTCCCACCTTAGCCTCCCAAAGTACTGGGATTACAGGCATGAGCCACCGCGCCTGGCCAGAAGTACATTTTTAAAGGGTGGATTTTATGGTATGTGAATTATTTCTCAATAATGTTATTATTTTTAAAAATAATAGTAATACATTAAGTGAAAACACAAGTTATAAAGCAATATCATAACAGAATACCCATATACACACACATACTACACAAACGCACACTTTTTTTGTTGTTTTTTTTTTTTTTGACAGTCTCACTCTGTCGCCCAGGCTGGAGTGTAATGGTGCAATCTCGGCTCACTACAACCTTCGCCTTCCAGGTTCAAGCGATTCTCCTGCCTCAGCCTCCCTAGTTGCTGGGATTACAGGCGCCCACCATCATGCCCGGCTAATTTTTGTGGTTTCAGTAGAAACGGGGTTTCACCATGTTGGCCAGGCTGGTCTCGAACTCCTGACTTCAGGTGATCTGCCCACCTCGGCCTCCCAAAGTGCTGGAATTACAGGCATGAGTCACCGCGCCCAGCCATGTATTTTTTTTAATGCATAGAAAAAAATACATCAAATATTAATAGCAATTATTTATGGGATTAGAGGCAATTTCTTTTTCATGATTTTTTTCCCACTTTCTAAAATCAGTATGTATAACTTCTGCAATGAGAGTTAAAATATTATCTCAAACAACAGGGGAGGTGGTCCAGCAGAGTCAAAAGCAGTTGAGAAGTCAAAGAGGCCAGGGATGCCCAGAAGCCCCTCAGCAATGTGGAAGGATTCTTTTCAACCCTAGCACTTCTCGAGTACCCCACAAAGCAATTTAATCTCACAAGCTCCCTGTCCTCTAGAATTTCTCAACAAATAACACTGACACAGATAGTGCCAGAATTACAAATACGTATATTGTACAACAGTTCAAGCCATAAAACTCAAGCATAAATTAGATTGTGTATACCCCAGGGGCATATGGGGAAGACAAAGGAATGGGCTGATAAGGCATAAGGGTCTGCAGTACAATATGTACTTTTTTATTTGCAAGCCAGAATGAAAATAGAAACCATGTTTTCTTTTTAAAATGCAAAAAATTGGCCAGACTTGGTGGCTCACGCCTGTAATCCCAGCACTTTGGGAGGCCGAGGTGGGCGGATCATGAGGTCAGGAGGTCAAGACCATCCTGGCTAACAGGTGAAACCCCGTCTCTACTAAAAATACAAAAAATTAGCCGAGCGTGGTGGCGGGCGCCTATAGTCCCAGCTACTCCGGAGGCTGAGGCAAGAGAATGGCGTGAACCCAGAGCTGAGATCGCACCACTGCACTCCAGCCTGGGCGACAGAACGATATTCTGTCTTAAAAATAAAATAAAATAAAAATAAAAATAAAATAACATGCAAAAAATTGAAAGAGTCTTAATTTTCTCTACTCCCCAGAAAAACTTTCTAGTGTCTCACAGTTCCTATATTTAAATCAAATTTTTCTTTTCTTCTTTGAGACAAGGTCTTTCTGTGTTGCCCAGGCTGGAGGGCAGTGGTGTAGTCATGGCTCACTGCAGCCTCGAACTCTTGGGCTCAGGTAATCCTCCTACCTCAGCCTCCCAAGTAGCTGGGACTATAGGCAAGCACCACCATGCTCAGCTAATTTTTGTATTATTTTGCAGAGGTAGGGTTTGGCCATGTTGCCCAGGCTGGTCTCAAATTCTTGGGCTCAAGCAATCCACCCCCCTCGGCCTCCCAAAGTGTTGGGATTACAGGCGTGAGCCACTGTACCCGGCCAAATTACTTTATTTTTTATTTACTTTTTAAAAGAAGAGCAGAGCAGAGTAGCATAGTATCTAAGAGTACATACTGTACAAAATCATATCTCGGTTCAAATCTCTGCCTCTGCCACTTAATAACTATGACACAGACCTTAATCAAGTTCTCTAAGCTTCAATTTCCTTATCTGTGAAATGGGGACAATGATACAAAGAATTAAATATGATAATAGCTATAGAGGGCTTATCATGGTGCCTGGCAGAAGGAAAGAGTTCAATAAATTGAAATTATTATTACTTCACAAGTAATGCATACTCACTGTAGAAAAAGTAGAAAATGAATATCTAATAAAATTGGAATCATATTGTTTGTAATCTGCTTTCTTCCGTTTGGCAATATATTGTGAACATTTTTCCCTGTCAGTTTATATATTTCTACACCATTATTTTTAGTGGCTTCAGAGAGGCTATAGAATGTTTCATAATTTATGGTGACCAAATCTCCCATTATTGGATATGATGCTGTTTCCAATTTTTTGCTGTTATAAAAATACTTTAATGGACACCCCTTTCTTTGTGCATGTCCCTAATTGTTTCCTAGAAATGGCATCGTATTCAGGCAGCCCCTCCTAATGGCAACTGAAATCTCGGCATGCACAAGCTCTGGAGTAAGGCTCTTAAGCTGAAATCTGGAATTACTTTGGGCAAGACACTTTACCTCCCCACGAGCATCTGTTCTTCATCTGTAAAACAGGATTAAGGGTTCTCCCTACTTCACAAGGTGGTTGTGAGGATTAATAAAATAATGAAAGGAGCTCCTGGTGGGCCTGGCATGTGGATAGAACATGGTTAACAGTGTTAAGTACCACAGACATTCAGAGAAAAGGAGGCCTGCAAAGAGGCCTGGATCTCAAATCCAGGGTCTAGTACAGCACCAGCACCTGGCATAGAGCAGACACTTAGAAAGCATCCTATTTTTTTTTTTTTTTTTTGAGACGGAGTTTCGCTCTCGTTACCTAGGCTGGAGTGCAATGGCACAATCTCGGCTCACTGCAACCTCCGCCTCCCAGGTTCAAGCGATTCTCCTGCCTCAGCCTCCTGAGTAGCTGAGATTATAGGCATGCGCCACCACACCCGGCTAATTTTGTATTTTTAGTAGAGATGGGGTTTCTCCATATTGGTCAGGCTAGTCTCGAACTCCTGACCTCAGGTGATCCGCCAACCTCGGCCTCCCAAAGTGCTGGGGTTACAGGTGTGACCCACCACGCCCAGCCAGAAAGGGCTCTTATCTAGAGGTGAAAGAAAAGAGATCATGATTCCAAAAATAAATACAACTCCTCTGTATTAAAAAAAAAAAAAAAGACCTTTGGGGTCCTCGTAGACAAGACAAGGATCAAATCCCAAACGACTCTCTTCACCTGGGTCTTTGAGGTCTGTCCATCATGACAGATCTTCAGGTTTTCATCTAATTCTCCACCCACAAAAGCACAGCGCGGCCTCCTGCCAGGCCCCTGTTCCCTCCAGCCACTCACTGTCCCCCTTCAGGGATTTACTTCTGCACTTTCTCCCATCCAAGTTCCAAGCAGGCCTGACACTGCTTAGCTTCTGAGATCTGCATGTTCAAGGTGGTATGGCCATGGACTTGACTTCCACACTTTCTGCTGCTCACCATGGGGGTCTGTCAGCCCTCCTGAAGCTTCAGGTCCAGCTTGGGCTGCTCTACTCTAGGAAGCCTCTCCCACCACAGGGCCCACCATGGTGGTCCAGACCCTTCAGCACTGTCTCCTGGGTGTCCGAGACAACTTCCTGAGGGTTAAAATGATGTCTATATTTCTTTGACCTCAGCCAGTGATGAGCAAAAAAGGCATGCGGTAAAACCTGGGGAGCAAAAACCCCCTCACTTCCCCTCTCTGTGATCCCCTTAAGACCTTCTGTTTACTTTAAGAGCAAAATGTTTGTCCCATGACCAGGCCCCAGACTCATTAATTCTATGAATGAATTTTTCTTTATGTTTACTGAACATGAGAGCCACACGGTGCCTTTAAGAAGGTTGCTGGCCTATGAGCAAGTCACAGAGGGGATCTAGGTGGGACTTGGCTGACCATTCTCTGGATGGGAGGAGGGGTGGCACGGCCTGGGCCTGGGATGTCAGAGCAGCTCTGGCTTGGGCCTACAGTGCTGCCAAGTGATTCCATTCAGCTCACTTGGTACATCATCCCTCCCAGGCCCTGGTGACAGTGAGTGAAGCCATCAAAAACACGACAACAGGAAAATATAGTGCTTATGGGAGCCCCAGGAGAGACCCTTCCCAAATGAAATGAAGTAAGAGAGGGTATTGAGAGACTGAGGGGATCACTGGCCTGGGAAAAAGAGAGGGAGGAGGGAAGACAGATTCTGGGTCAAACGACCGGCTTTAGCAAAGGCCTGGGCAGACGACCATCGGTGTGGGCAGCCAATAGGTACTGGCTGGTAGGATTCCCAGCAGAAGGATGTTGGGCTGCCAAGCCTGACCTACAAGGCCCAGGGCTCTGAATGACCCCAGATCTGCAGCTGCCTTCCAGCTAGCTAATGTGCCAGCATCAGCTTCTCTGTCAGCTCACAGCAGTGATGGGCTCTGTGGTTTCGATTTTTCAAATACAGGGGAAAAGTAATTTCAGGCCAGGTGCAGTGGCTCATACCTGTAATCGCAGCACTTTGGGAGGCTGCGATAGGAGGACTGCTTGAGCCCAGAAGTTTCAAACCAGTCTGGGCAATACAGTAAGACTCTGTCTCCATATAAGAAAATGAAAATTTTTTAAACTGAAAAAAAAAAGTGTTTTTAAAGGCTGGGCACAGTGGCTCACGCCTGTAATCCCAGCACTTTGGGAGGCTGAGGCGGGTGGATCACCTGAGGTCAGGAGTTCAAGACCAGCCTAACCAATATGGTGAAACCTTGTCTCTACTAAAACTACAAAAATTAGCCAGGCATGGTGGCGGGTGCCTGTAGTCCCAGCTACTTGGGAGGCTGAAACAGGAGAATTGCTTGAAGCCAGGAGGCGGAGGTTGCAGTGAACTGAGATCGTGCCACTGCACTCCAGCCTGGGCGACAGAGTTAGACTCCACCTCAAAAAAAAAAGTTTTTAAAAAGTAATTTCAGAAACTAAATATGAATGTCCTATACACTTCTCCACCATTAAACAGTAATTGCAAAAGACAGACAATCTCTGGGGCTCCAAAAGACTGTCACTCTATCAGGCCATGTTGGCCTGGAGGGAAGCTCTGCAGATAGGAAGCAAATGGATTCAGGGGACCACAGCGTCGTGATCTCCTTCTGAGGGGTTTGACAACCTCTAGCTCTCCTCTGGAGCATGGACTGTGAGAGGGAAGGGCAATGAATTAAAGCCAGTCAGGAGCAGCAATAAGGAGGAGAAACAACTGAAAGCCGTGGAGGTGTTTCCCTTGGAGGAAATGTGAAGGCACGAAGCTGTCCTCTTGAACAGAGGAAGAGAGATTCCTTGCTCTGTATCGTTCCCACCACAATGCTCTAGCCCTGCAGTTAGCACACCATTTTGAAACCACCTGCTTATAAATTCACTCCCCTCCCCAAAACCTCAGCTCCTTGGGCGTGTGAGTCACTTCTGAGTGGCCAACAACGATCCCACAGCCAGGACACAGCAAATACTGAACTGAGAGCGGAAATTACAGGAAGGCCTATTGTGGCTCAAGAAAGGGAAGTGCTTTCTAACAATCCCAGCTGCCTCCAACAGGCTAGAATGTTTGGGCAGAAGCATCGCCCCAGGGAAGGGTCTGCTAGCAATGGAATGCACTCATGCCAACAGAGGGAGGCAGGACAAAACAGTCTCTGAGATTTCTTCCAATTCTAAGACCCAGCCTCCTGGAGCAGCAAAGGGAGCCATGGGATCCGCCACTGCACTCCGGCCTGGGCGACAGGGGAGACTCCATCTCTTAAAAAAAAAAAAAGAAAGGGGGGCTGAGGGGGAACCACAGGGGAGCAATGCAATGGCAGCACCTGCACTGTGCCAGGGACACACATCCAAACGCTACCTCGTAACCCTCGCAATCCCACGAGGAGGTAGGCACTAGTACTCTTCCCATTTCACAGTGGAGGAATCTCAGGCTCAGGGAGGTTCAATAGCTTGCCAAAGACATATAACTTGTAAGACATGGAGCTGAAATGTGAACCAGGACCACGAGGCTGCCCTCCTGGCCGTGCAGAAGGCAGCTCCAACCCTTTGCAGCCGAAGACTCTCCAAAGGAAATAATATTAACTGACTTCATGGCTTGCTGACGCCAAAACGTGTCCAAAGTATTTTTACATCTATAAACCCAAAAGCGCTAAGCCAGCAGATCCAGTTCTAGGGAAAAACAGCTGGTCTGGGGCCATCTGTTCTGCGGGAGTCTAAGGGCTGCCCTCTCCTAGACTCCAACCAAAGAACATGAGATGCTACGGGAGGGATCTGGGAAGGCTCTCCTTAAGGAGGTAAGTTTTATGGAGAGCAGAGTATAAGATCAAACCTTTGCATTAGAAAGATCACTGTGGTAGCAGTTTAAGAGGCTGGGCTGCAGGCAGTGAGACAGGAGGCGTGAAGGCGATGCTGGACTAATGCAAGTGAGGGACACGCTGGCCTCAGGCTGATCATACTTCAAGGCCCTTCTGCCAGAATTCCCAGAGAGACCAAACTTTCCACTCTCTGGACCCCGATCTACTCACACTGTCATGGATGCGGGCCTGCTGTCAATCCTAATTTTGTGGAGAATCCTACATGTCTTTCTTTAATGTAAGGAGAGAAACAATGCTGATCGTAAATGCCAATTACTGAACTCACTCCATGCCAGGCCCTTTACACAATCTCCAGATGGCCCCAACAGCCCTATGAGGAAGGTTACTATCCTTATCCCGGTTTTGCAGAGGAGGAAACTGAAGTTCAGAGAAGGTAGCTTACCAAAGGTAATCCAGCTCCTAAAGGAAGGAGTCAGGATTTCAGTCGAGTTCTACCCGACGGCAGAGACTGCACTGTTAACCACTGCCGAGAAGAGTGGAGAGGGACGGCTAAGGGTTCTGAGTCCCGGGCTTCTGCGAGGATCGGTGACCCCGCGAGCCTCCCCCTCCACGCCTTCGGGAAAATAATAAGTGATAGGCTAGATGTGGGAAGCCCAATCCCAAACAAAGGAATCAGGAGGGATCCAGCTTTCGGCAGCCTTCAGCTATGAGAAGTGATTAAAGGGCATGGACCTGAGCACCCCGGACAGGAAAGACAGAAAAAGAGGTCCCAAGCGAGCAGCTGACTCGGGCAGAGGCGGGGCTCGCCAGGGAGGAACACTCTGGGGCGGGACTTACGAGGGGCGGGGCTCTCTGAGCCTCTCTAAGTCTAGGACCTGCCAGACCCTATGAGGGGGCGGCCCGAGGGAGGGCGGGGCCGCATGAGGGGCGGGGCTACAGCTGCGCTCGCAACCCACAGGTTCATGAGGTCACCTCCCCGCGCCTGGACCCAACCCTCATTCCATACTCTGGCTCCAGCAGGGCTGATCCGGGATCTCGATGGTGTAGTCCAGCTCTGCCGAGGCCATGGTGAAGGCGCCGGCCCAGAGCACGGGTCTCCAGCCGGAACTCCCGCTTGCGCACCCGTGCCTCACCCGGGCGCCTCCTGGGCGCCGCCCAATCACCACACACCTCCCCCAACACGGCCCAATCCCTGCGCCGCGCTCTGTGACCTCCCGCCTTAGCAACCACCGAGTCTCTTCCAGAGCCTCTCGCCTCACCCCACTAGCTCGGCCCTAGCAACCATGCCCCGCCCCTATTACTGACCCGCAGCCATTGGCTAATTCGCTTGATCTGGATCAGGTATTGGTCAGCCGGGGCGCCGGTCAGGAAGAGTCCCCACCCTCTCATGTAGGTGAGAGGCGGCTGAAGAGTTGCTGTATTCTGGGAATGGGCAGGGTCACTCGTCCGAACAGAGTCCTATCCTACGCGGCGGAAGAGTGTGCCCTTTGACTTGCATCGTCTACCTACCTCTGCCATCCTCTACCAGCCGCAACTGCGAGGGCTGGAGGTATAAAACCGTACAAAACGGCCTAGGGGGCGCGTGCCGACCCAACCTCCACCCAGTGGGGTTGAGGCATATTCTGGATGGATGGATGGATGGATGGATGGATGGGTGGATGGGAAGCAGTCTTCAGTTGATGACTTTAGAGAATGCCCTGTTGATAGGGCCCACCGAGGAGCTGGGAGTGCAACTTTCTTGCATTTATCTATATTTACATACTATGTGCCAGCATATTTACATACTATGTGCCAGAGACTGGGTGGGCTAAATAAGGTTCCTTAGGCCCTAGTGAGAATCAAGCTTTTGGCCCTCCCTCTCCCATGTCTTAACGGGAGAGGGAGAGAAACCATGCATGAAGCAACTCTGATTCTGCGTGTGAGATAAATACTACAGAAGAGTAAGGATTTGAGGAGCTCAGAATCAGAGAAGGGGCATTTATGGCAGTGGGGTTGGCTCTTGAGCTGGGCCTTGAAAGACTTTTAGAGATAGGGAGGGGGAAAGACTCTTTGCATGCCAGGCGCGGTGGCTCAAACTCGTAATCCCAGCACTTTGGAAGGCCAAGACGGGAGAATGGCTTGAAGGAGTTCAAGACCAGCCTGGGCAACATAGTGAGACCTTCATCTCTACAAAATTAAAATTTTAAAAATTAGCCAGGCATGGTAGCGCATGCCTGAAGTCCCAGCTACTTGGAAAGCTGAGGTGGGAGGATCACTTGAGTCAGGAGGTCAAAGCTGCAGTAAGCCATGATTGTGCCACTGCACTCCAGCCTGGGTGACAGAGTGAGACCCTGTCTCAAAAAACAAAACAAAGAGCCCAGTGTGGTGTCTCACCCCTGTAATCCCAGCACTTTGGGAGGCTGAGGCGGGCGTATCACTTCAGGTCAGGAGTTCGAGACCAGCCTGGCCAACATGGCGAAACCCCATCTCTACTAAAAATACAAAAATTAGCCGGGCATGGTGGTGCACACCTGTAATCCCAGCTACTTGGGAGGCTGAGGCAGGAGAATGGCTTGAACCTGGGAGGTAGAGGTGGCAGTGAGCCGAGATTGCTCCACTGCACTCCAGCCTGGGTGACAGAGCGCGACTCTGTCTCAAAAAAAAAGAAACATTAGTGCAGGAACTGGATTGAGGATTGGGAGAAGGAGGGAGACCAGTTAGGAGGTTGTTTCAGTAGTGGGGAAGGATTATGGTGGCACAAAGCATGGAGTGGCAGCTGAAATGGAAAGGGCAGGATGAATTCCTTAGACACTTATAGCTAGAAAAAAATGGACTTGGTTACTAATTGGGTGTGGGGGAAGTAAGGGAAATGAAGGATGACTTCTAGATTCCTGGTTTGGGCAAACAGGAAGGAGAGGAAGCAGGGGTTTTTAGGAGAGGGTCAGTTCTGGGCACGGTGAGCTTGGGGTGCCAATGGAACATCCAAGTGGAGGTATCCAGAAGGCCATTGGATATGCCTAACTGGAGTTCGCCAGATAAGTCTAACTGGAAGTTGCAGTGTGGGAGTCTATGGGGCCTTATAGATGCCAGCCACACCAATAGATTTGTTGAGCTTGCCCAGGGAGTAAGTGTAGAGTCAGAAGAGACCTAGGACAGAGCCCTGAGAAACACCCAAGTTTGAGGGTCTGGCAAAGGAGGACGAACCTGCAAAGGTAATCAAGATGAAGTGTCCAAAATGGTAAGAAGATCAGTAGTAGTATGTGGTGTTTCAGAAGCCAAGGAAGGAAAGTGTTGAAGGCTTATGACTAATCAAGTAAAATAAGGCCTGAAAGAATCCACTGGATTTAGAAACAAGGAAGTTGTTGGTGACCTTTACAAGTGCAGTTTCAGTGGAGTGATGGGAGCAGAGGTCAAATTACAGTGGTTTGAGAAGCAGATGGGATTGAGGAAGTGAAGATTCATGTAAGATACATTTTCAGAAAGCTTGGCTATTTAGGAGAAGAAAAAAGAAGGCAATATCCAGCAGGAAACACAGGTTTTTATTCGGATGGAAGAAATGTTGATGTGGATCCAGCAAAGGGGAAAAAGATAAAACTATAAGGGAAAGAAGATAACTGAGAATGGTGCCCTTGAAAAAAAGACTTCACCAAAGTGTTGGTGAAGAAATTCACTTAGAAGGGTGGAGGAACATTTGTTTTGTGGCAGAAGGGAAGCATTACGTTGAGGTTAATTGGTGGGTTTGGTGACAGGAAGCTGAGGGAATTCTTCGATGGTTTCCATTTTCTCTGTCAAATAAGAACATTATATCAGCCAGTGAGAGTGGGATTGGAGATGGTGTGCGAGATTGAAAAGAGCAGAGAAAGATTAAAATAGCAGCACTGGAGAGTGGCAGTGAGATGACTAAGGTAGCAAACAGATTTCTGGGCAGTTATCATGGCCCTGTCGAGGTTAGTGACCATTAATTTTCGGAAGCAGCAGTCTGCAAGGTTGTGTAATATGCATTTTTCCCTCAACAACATTCAGCCACCTAGTGGTGGGTACACAGAGGTTAGTTTAATTGATCTAGGTTTGGGTTTTACCAGGCGGATACAATGGAAGGACAAAGGACAAGGAAGTTGAAGATTGTGGCAAAACAGTGATTGAAATGAAGGGCCTTAGTATCTAAACTGGATAGGAGAGTGAAAAAAAATGTATGGACTAGAGGTCCCAGTGAAGTCAGAGAATCCACATCTGAGATCATTGAATGAGGGAGTTGTGATCAGAAAGTGGAAGAATGAAGTTTGAGTAGTTTCCGGTGATGACAAGGTCCACTGTGTGGCCGTGGGAGTCAGTGACCAAAGTGGAGTACAGGAGACAGTCAGGATGCTGATGTGGCCACTGAACTCCCCCTGGATGATAGAAAGACTTGAGGGGAGGGAAGGGAAGAGGATGCCCGTGAGCTAGGTACCAGTCTCTGATGGGCAGAGCAGGTTTTTCTGGAGTCTCTAGGTGACAGCATGAGGAGGGGCAAAGGCTGAGACAGCTAAATGGTATGACCCTTGAAGTAGTAAGGGCTTTTACAAGAAGGAGGTGGAATAAGGAACTGAGTTGGGCTTTGGCAAGGAGACATGAGGCCCCCTCCTAAACCTGAAATCCTGGGGGTGTAAGAATCTAAACAGATTCTACCAGGAGGGCCATGCAGAAGGGGAGCCCTGGGGTAGAGCCAGCTTTGGATGCAGGCTGGAGGTGGGCAGGTGACTGGAGAGGCTGAGGATGGAGGAGACTTAGCTGATTGGGAAGAAGGGTTTTCAAGAGCAGAGTAAAAAGGTTGGGAAGGGAAGGAAGGCTGGGAAATGGGTCGAGGAAGATGAAGCATAGAGCAGTGAAGGGGCAAGGAGAGTGTGGTTGACCTCGCCAGTTACATGTTGTGGAGAGAGGATGAGGGCAGGTCTGTGGAGCAGTGTTGGAGGCAGAAGTGAGTCTGGGGAGAAGAAGAGTGGGGGCTGTGGGTAGGAATGAGGGCAAGTGGGGAGAAGATGAAGGCAGAGGATTTCATAGGAAGGAGATGGGGGAAAGGAGTTCTTGTGGGGAGAGGATGGAGAAAATGGACAGATGTGAGGAAAAGGTGGGGGCAGATGGAGTCTACCAGGAAGTGATGAGTAGCAGGGGTAGGGGTATCTGCCAGGGTATGACTGGGGAGCAGAAGAGGGTCCATGAGAAGGAAGTGACAAATTGGAGTGCATATGCCCCTGGGAGAGAAATAAGGACACCTTGTTTGGAAGTTTGAGGAGATAATGTTTCTCTCTCCCTATCTCTGAATGGAGAACTGAGAGTTAGGAGTCAGGGACGGGAGCCCAAGGAGAAGGCCTGTCTCATTCTACATGTGAAACCTACAGGAATAGGAGGCAGTGACTTGCTTGTTGTCTCCGAGGCCATGTGGGGACAGTGAGCCAGGCTGGCAACCCATGCCTTGGAGGCCTCTTTGCTTTCAGAAGGTGTCTTTTGATTTGCCGGGGGGGTGGGGAAGCCCTCTGGGAAATTTTATTTAGAAACAAGACCTATTGACCTCTTGATTTTTAATACCTCCCCTTCGCTTGTTGCCAAGGACCTTTGGCTTAGCATGAGAGCTGAGGCTTTTGAGATTGTGTGATTTTAGTTTCCCTGCATGAAGAAGAACCATTTGGCCACTATAGAAATGATTTATGGATGAGTCCAGATTTATTAATCACCTCTGAAGATGGAGAGGAAATTAAAAACAAAGAGTCCACTCTGGGCTGAAGACAAAGTAGGTCTGTTATCCTTGCAGAAGACTTTGCCAAGGTTAGAAGGCCACAAACAAACCAATTTGGACCGAGGTTCTTAATCTGGATTTTTAATTTCGCGTGCTTGATTTTTTGCACCGTTTTCTCTCTGAGGTAAAATAATGACTATTTTAATTGGCTGCCACTTACAGAGAGATCCCAATAAGCATGATGGCATACATATATTTTTCTCTGGCATTCCATGTGTGCTCCAGTTCTTATGATCAAGCTGGTGAAGCTGACTTTTACTGCATGCTGCATGCCATGATCAGTTGACTATAAATTAAATCTTCTTTTCCAAAAGCCATTTTCCATTAGTGCTAATTTGTTTGCTTCTCATTTCCACTGATCATTAGAGTCTCTGGTTGTGAGCACCAAATTGGAAATAATTTCTGTGACATTTCAAAAAAAATTTCTCCCCTTCTTGAATGCCATTTGGCTGCAGCTAAATAACATTATGGTTTACAGAAGAACAGTTCACTCCAATTACAATTTAACTGACCGTTCATGGCACTGAATCCCTGTCCTTAGTGTCCAAAGATGACACCGCTGCTGACATTGCTGTTTCCTGTCATAGCTGTAAAACACCTCGTAGACTTTGCACTGGCCTTCTTGGATGGAGATTCTGCCACTCCGCACATGGCAGCTTTGGGAAGTTGGTAGTTTTATGGACCTGCATATCATGGACATTCAGATATAATCATCTCAACAGGAGCTGGGTGATTTCTTCACACATTCACTCAGCGAGCATTTATTCAACATCTGTTTTGTGCCAGGCATTATGCCAGGTCCTAGGGACACAGAGACAGGGAAGACCAACCCCTGCCCTTGAGGAACTCACACTCTAGTGGGAAGGATGGGTAAGTTTTAAAGCATATTAGAGGAAGAGGTGGCATGGATGGGACCAGAGCTGCAAACCCCTAGTTGTCCCAGGGAGTTTGCCAAAGGGCAAAAAGGAACCTGGCCATTCCTGATGGCAGAGCAACACTGAGATGCAGAGGGCCCTGGAAGGGCCTGGGGAGTTGAGAGTGCAAGGTTGTTGTAATGTGGAAGTGACTAGAGATGAAGTTAGATTGGGGCCAAGTTTGTTTGTTTGTTTGTTTGTTTGTTTGTTGTTTTGAGACACTCTGTCACCCAGGCTGGAGTTCAGTGGCACGGTCTTGGCTCACTGCAGCCTCAGCCTCCCAGGTTCAAGTGATTCTCCCGCCTCAGCCTCCCGAGTAGCTGGGACTACAGGCGCGTGCCACCACACCCAGCTAATTTTTGTATTTTTAGTAGAGACGGGATTTCACTATGTTGGCCAGGCTAGTCTCGAACTCCTGACCTCATGATCCACCGCTTCAGCTTCCCAAAGTGCTGGGATTATTGGCGTAAGCCACTGCGCCCAGCTGGGGCCAAGTTTTGAAGGGCCTTGAGTGCCATATTGGGTTTAGACTTTATCCAGTAGGCCACAGTGAGCTAATGGAGAAATCTGGGGGTGAAGCAAGTAGGAAGGGTAGAAGCTTACGGAAAAAGTAGTTAGGAGATGGCTTTGTTTGTATATTTATTTGGGTTGGTGGGGATTGAGCAAGTGTTTAAGAGGAGTCAGGGAAGATGGGAAGATTGAAGACAGGAGTAGAACCTAGTGCCCACGGAGAGGGTGGGTGCTGATACGATGATCGTAAGAGGAGAGGGTTGCGCTTGATGGCCCCTATATTCTCTGTGAAGTTGGAAGCAAAGTTATCCAGGCATCCTCCTTGATTCCTCCCCGTCTTTTATCTTCCACAGCCAGTCAGTCACCAGGCCCTGTTTCTTCAAATGGTGTGACATTTCTACTTTTCTCCAACCCTAATATCATCAGCGTCTTTGTCAAGGCCGTAGGAATGACTTCCTAACTGGTGCCCCCACCTCCAATTTGCCCCCTTCCGATCCCCTTTTTTTTTTTTTTTTGAGACGGAGTCTCGCTCTGTCACCCAGGCTGGAGTGTAGTGGCGTGATCTCGGCTCACTGCAAGCTCCACCTCCCGGGTTCACGCCATTCTCCTGCCTCAGCCTCCCGAGTAGCTGGGACTGCAGGCGTCCACCACCATGCCCGGCTAACTTTTTGTATTTTTTAGTAGAGAGGGGGTTTCACCGTGTTAGCCAGGATGGTCTCGATCTCCTGACCTCGTGATCTGTCTGCCTCAGCCTCCCAAAGTGCTGGGATTACAAGCGTGAGCCACTGCGCCCGGCCGTGAGGCTCCATTTCTAAAAAATTTTTTTAAGTTAGCCAGGCATGGTGGTGCACACCCATAGTCCTAGCTACTCAGGAGGCTGAGGCAGGAGGATCGCTTGAGCCCGGGAGTTCAAGACTGCATTGAGCTATGACGGTGCTGTGCACTCCAGCCTGAGTGACAAGAGTGAGCCCCTATCTCGAATAAATACACTGATAAATAAATAATAATAAAGATAGGTAAAAATCAAGGCTAACAAGAAAAATGCCTAAATAGAGGGGTTAAGGATACAAGGGAGGCAGGAGTAATGAGTAGAATGAGGGCCCTGAGAAGGCGGGGTGGATGGAGGCAGAGCTCTGGTAGATGGCTAGAGAAGGAGAGGAGAAGGATGGATGTGGATAGAGATGAAGAAAGAAGAGGAGTATGACGACATTCTTACCTAATGGCCTATAACTTTCTTTGTTAAACCCAAAAGTAGGCCTTCTGAGAATAGATGGAAGAGGTGGGAAGGTAAGGAGCTTGGAATTGTAGACTTCATAGGTGGGATGGTGCTAGCCAGTCACAGATTTGGGGTGTGGGTTTTGGGTATGAAAGCTGTGTTGGTTGGAGGTGAAAGCGGGAGGTCGCTGGAGTCTGCATTCCATGTCTCTTCTCTGTGCGCCAACAGAACCTGGGATATATCCCATCAGAGCGCTCTCCACTGTTCATTAAAATCACCTTTTTGCTTGTCTCTCTGCCCTGCCAGTCTGTAAGCACCCGAGGGCAAGGTCTATGTTTGTCACGTTAACCAATCCCAAGCCCAGTGCTCGGCTCAGAGTTGGCACCTGGGAATCTGTTTAATTAACTAATGTGCAGAGCTAAGGAAATTAAAGTGCACATTCTGAGCACAGTGTGTTGGATGTCAGTTTAAATAACACTTATTGAGTGCCTGTGTTTTACCAGAGACCCTGCTAGCCACCCAAATTACAAAGATGGAGCACACTGATGTTGAAATTGCCTAGTGGCTCTTGAGTAAACAGGAAGGCTTACGTGTCAAAGTCATTGATCGGCACTGCGGCAAGGTAGAGAGGGAAAGACAGATGGCCTGACCTCAGAGGAGGAGGAAGGGTTCAGGAACAGTAGTAGGGATTTAGAGAATGGTGTTTGAGGTGTAGGATAGTGGGCAGCCCCCTTCCTGATTTAGAAGCAGCAGCAGCATGGGTTGAGGCAAGGGGTGGGGTGGGGTGTCAGGTTTCACCTGGGGCCGAATTTAGATGGAAATTCTTTGGCCTGAAATGTTTGAAGCTTTATCCTCAGGTAGTAAGGAACCACTGAAGAGTTTGAAGCAGTGAAATCTGTCAGATTTGTACTTTTAAAAATCTCACATCAAAGCCTGGCCTGGTGGCTCACACCTGTAATCCCAGTACTTTGGGAGGCCGAGGCAGGAGGATTGCTTGAGCCCAGGAGTTTGACACCAGCCTGGGCAACGAAGCAAGACCCCACCTCTACAAAAAATAAACAAATATAAAAATAAAAATTAGGTGGGCATGGTGGCATGCACCTGTAGTCCCAGCTACTCAGGAGGCTGAGGTGGGAGGATCACTCGAGCCCAGGCGATTGAGGCTGCGGTAAGTTATGATTGTGCCACTGCACTCCAGCCTGGGTGACAGAGCAAGGCCCTGTCTCAAAAATAAAAATAAAAATAAAAAATCTCACATCACTGTGGAGTTTAGGCTGGGGCAAGCCCGAAGACCAGTGGAGGCTGTTGCAGTAATCCATATGCGGAACAAGGGTGTGAAACTGAAATAGCGGCAGTGGAGGTGAAGACAGACAGACTGATCTCAGGGAAATTTAGGACATGTAATTGGCAGGAGCTGGCAACAGTTCAGATGAGGGCAAGGGAGAGGAATAAGTCAAAGACAACTTTTGGCTGACTAGGAGGGTGGTGACCCAAGCACTGAAATAGGACCAACACAGGGCAAGGGGCAGGTGTGAGTTGATGAGTTCAGTTTGGGACCTGTTGACTTGAGGAGCCTGTGACACATACCAGTGAAGAGTCTGCCGGTCACTTAAGTACATAAAGAGATCTGGAGCTCAGGTGGGAGGCCCAGACTGAGGAGACGGATTTGAGAGTCGTGCGCCTATAAATGTAATTTGAAGTGATGGGGTGAATGAGGTCACCCAGGGATTACAAAGCATGAGAAGAGAACTAAGAACGGGAAAACGACCTGCAAAGGCACTATCCTGCAATGGCAACTGAGGATTCAGAGAGTCTGGAGTAGAACCAGGGGATTCTGGGGTTAGGAAAAGAGTCATTCACAATCCATCAGAGAGACCAAGCACGCTGGGACGGTGAGCTAAACCACTAAATCTGACAACAGGAGATTATTGGTGACACCTTGGAGCACAGAGGAGAACAGGATCCATGCCCTTGGCTTAGTGGGGAAAAACCTGGACTTTGGAGTTATATGCAGATCTAAGTTCAAATCCCATTCCCATCCCTATTTGAGACCTTCAATAAATGAGCAAACCCTTCTAAACCTTAGTTTCTTCATCTGAAAGTTGTGGATAATGATGACCTCCTGAGGATCTTAAGAGGATTAAAACAAAGAATTTAGGCAGGGTGCGGTGGCTCACACCTGTAATTCCAGCACTTTGGGAGGCCAAGGTGGGAAGATAGCTTGAGGCCAGGAGTTTGAGATCAGCCTAGGCAACACAGAGAGACCCCATCTCTATAAACAAAAACAACCACAGAGAGAGAGAGAGAGTGTGTGAGTGTGTGTGCGTATGGTGTGTGGATAGCTCTTAATCAACACTCAAAAAATGTCAGTTTCTTCTCCCTGCCTTCATTCCTTCTGCCTTCACCAGGAAACACAGCTAACATCACTTTTTCCTTAGCGGTCAACAAGCTTAGATACAATTTATCCCAGCAACTGACTCTTGAAATTGACACATTTTGGTCTTTTTTCCACTGTTTTCATCTTATTAATTATTTTTAAAAATGGTAGTTAATGGGTCTTTTTTTACCCTCATCAAGCTTACTATTAAAGAAAGGTTGAGATAAATAATACATGACTGGAGGCTCTTAATTAAATATACTTAATGTCTTTTATCTCCCCCTACTTCTGAAAAACCTTAGTGACATAACCCCGCTGAAGAAATATAAAAAAGCATTCAGTCACAAAAGTTCATGGAAGGAGGCAACAGGAGATGAAAGAATTCAACAAATATTTGGAAGGCAGAAGGCAGGTGCAGGGAGGCTAACCGGCTTGAAGCAGAGGAAATTGCAAGCAACTGCCAACAAGGGGAGCTTACCAACAAGAAACCAGTCAATTCAGCCAGTTTGACCTCTAAGAGGCTTAATGCTTGAAAGCACAAATTACCACTGAAGGTCAGAAATGAGGTATGGAGCCCAACCTAGGGGGATTCACTGACCTCTGTGTGCAGAGCACTTGCCTGCACTCCAGACCCTCAACCGCCAAGAAAGAAATGACTCTAAACTTTCTTGCTGCATGAAGAGGAAGGAAGTTGGACTCTGTAGGCCTCCTTGCACAGGGACCTCAGGCAGGGCTTGAAGGGCAGGAATGAGACATAGAGTTGAAAACTGATGAGTAGAGGGAAGGTCTACACACAGCATTGTGTGAGCCCTTCCCCCACCTGACTCCCAACATGCCATGGCGAGGTGTCTGTAATAGCACCCCTGCTCTCTCACCCTCCCTGGGAAAGTAGGAAAGTCTTCTCCAGAGACCCTGATATCTCTATGAGGGTGTTAAAAAAAAACAAACAAGCTTCCACTGACTGACATTTATGAATTCCCCAGTGAGAAGACTAGTTGCCTAATAAATATCCAAACACTGAAGGATACAGTGATTTAAAGAGCCCACCAAGGGCCTACTATAGTAAATTAAAAAAGACCTTCACCAAAGCATATCATTATACAACTTCAGAAAGGTTTCAAAATCATCAGGAGTGAAAAAAATAGACAAAGGCACAGGAATCAGAATGACTTCAGATTTCTCATCAGTAACAGCAACTGGGGAGGGTGAATCTGAGGGAAGCTTTTTTTTTTTTTCGAGACAGGGTCTTGCTGTGTTGCCCAGGCTGGAGTGCAGTGGCGGGATCATAGATCACTGCAGCCCCGACCTGGTCTCATTCGATCTTCCCACCTCAGCCACCTTAGCCTCCCAAGTAGCTGAAACTACAAGTGTGTGTCACTATACCTGGCTAATTTGGGGGTGAGGGGATGGAGGTCTCACTGTGTTGCCCAGGCTGGTCTCAAACTCCTGGGCTCAAGTGATCCTCCTGCCTCAGCCTCCCAACATACTGGGATTATAGGCATGAGCCACCATACCTGGCCAGATAGCTTATTTCTTTTTTTTTCTTTTTTTTTTTTGAGACAGAGTCTCACTCTGTCACCAGGCTGGAGTGCAGTGGCACAATCTCGGCTCACTGCAACCTCCACATCCTGGGTTCAAGTGATTCTCCTGCCTCAGCCTCCTGAGTAGCTGGGACTACAGGCACGCGCCACCACGCCCAGCTAATTTTTGTATTTTTAGTAGAGACGGGGTTTCACCATGTTGGCCAGGATGGTCTTGATCTCTTGACCTCGTGATCTGCCTGCCTCGGCCTCCCAAAGTGCTAGGATTACAGGCGTGAGCCACCGCGCCCGGCCCAGATAGCTTATTTCTAACGCGGAGTTATATACCCAGCCAATCCAACATGTGGTCAAAAACAATATTTTTAGACTTTCCAGGACAAAACAAGGGAGTACACAAAGAAGGAAGAAGATGTGAGAGACAGGAAATGGGCATCCGTCAGAAAAACTCGGCAAGAGGAAATCCCAGGACAACATTTGCATACTGGCCTTAGTGAGCAACCAGTCTAAACTATAGTAGAAAGAGATCTGTGGGACAGAGGTTTCCAGGGAAAAGATGGAATTAATCAGTTACAGATTGAACATTTGGAAAAATAATCACTACATATTTGGGACATTTGGAATGAAATAGCCCTTGGTACTTCAAACCAAACAATAGGAAAAAAATGACAATTATTAACTCCAGGTAAAACCAAACTGTAAGAAAAAAATGTAATAGTAGTTTGCTACTTGAAGAGTTTATTTACTTGATCAGTCATGTTAACCTGCCGGGCACAGTGGCTCACGCCTGTAATCCCAGCACTTTGGGAGGCTGAGGCAGGCAGATCACTTGAGCTCAGGAGTTTGAGACAAGCCTGGCCAGCACAGCAAAACCCCATCTCTACTAAAAATATAAAAATTAGCCAGGTGTGGTGGCACATGCCTGTAATCCCAGCTACTCAGGAGGCTGAGGTAGGAGAATCGCAGGAACCTGGGAGGCAGAGGCTGCAGTGAGCCAAGATCACACCACTGCACTCCAGCCTAGGCAACAGAGTGAGACTGCATCTCAAAAAATAATAATAATAATGTAAACACTATTGATTTAACTCTAAAGTATGGGAAATAATGTTGGAGGATAGAAAGAAAAAAAATGGGAGTTAGAGTGGTGCAATAAAACTGATTCCTCCACTGGGCAAGGTGGCATGCGCCTGTAGCCCCAGCTACTCAGGAGGCTGAGGCAGGAGGACTGCTTGAGGCCAGGAGTTTAAGGCTGCAGTTTACTATGATCGTACCTGTGAATAGCCACTGCACTGCAGGCCGGGCAACATAGTGAGACCTCATTTCAGAAAAAAAAAAAAAAAAATGAAGACCTAATTCCTCACCTGCCAGAATGATAAATACATAAATATTGCCTAAGGTTGATACATCGAATGATAGCAGTGTATTAGTTTGCTAGAGCTGCCATAACAAAGTGTTATAGACTAGATAACTTAAATGACAGAAATTCATCATCTCACAGTTCTGGAGGCTGGAAGGCTGAGATTACAGTGTCACAGGGTTGATTTCCTCTGAGGCCTCTCTCCTTGGCTTGCAGATGACCATGTTTTCCCTGTGTCTTCACCTGGTTTTCTCTCTGTGTATGTCTGTATCCTAGTCACCTCTTCTTATAAGGACACCAATCATATTGGATAAAGGCCCACCCTAATGACATAGTTTAAACCTAATTTCCTCTTTAAAGACTGTATCTGCATTTACAGCCACATCCCGAGTTACTGATGGTTAGGACTTCAACATAGGAATTTGGGGAAAACACAGTTCAGCCCATAACAAGTAGTATAAGCTCGTTATTTGGAAATACAGGGGTAAACAGCAGAAAAAATAGCCAAAAGAGTTTAAAGTAGCCTCCTCTGTGAGGAGAAACTGGAGGGCAGCAAGAGGTGAGGCAGGTGCTATTACTATTTGATTTTTTTCAAAATAGCAAGTGGCGGAGCTGAGCCTTGAACCCAGTCTGACTCCAGATCTCATGTTCTTCCACTCTCCCCCAAGAGTAGGAACTCCTCCAGCGCCCTGCAGCATCGTATTCATCTTTGCATCTCCCACGGTACCTTATACAGAGCCACAGGATGGGCCTTCACCACATACATAAGATTTACAGCTGCATCACAGTGACGTTTAAAGCTGATGTTTGTTGATGCTTCTTTTCCTGTCTTCAAAGAAGATAGGGGAGACTGAGGTCCAAGGAAACATTGAGGAGCCGTAATGTGCCCTGCTTAGAGGTCCCTGCCTTTGGCGTCCTGGAATCGCTGGGTGCATCTCTAATGGCACATTGAGTTTTGATACTAGAAAGGGTCCATTTAAGGCAGGGCAAGGGCACACGGTGCTTTCCTGCCTGATAAAGCTAGTGGTGGTGTCTCAACCCCACCTCCCTGGGGTCTAGAACAGCCATTCACCCCCATTTTCTTGATGTCAGTTTGGCAACTGAAGGCAGCCACAGCCTCCCTAGGTTATTCTCAGATTTATGACTGCAATGGCATTCACAGTGATTGATGCAGGATCCCATGAGGGGGTTTGGTCATTTTTGTGTTCAGGTTGGTCCGCAGTCATTCACCTGGTTCTTAAGGCCAGCTAGATTTCGTGGTTATCTCCATCCTGGAGGCTGCGTGGACGCCCTTCTGGAAGCACGCATCCCATGTCCTCTGGGGAGTAGTAGAGGTTGGTGTGTATGTATGTCTGTCTCCGCATGCCTCAGATTATTGCTTCCTAATAAAATTCTGATAGCTGGGCCCCATCAATATCTCAAATACATGTGAGGAAATGTTAATTTAGAATCAATTTTAGGATGTTTCAGACTGTAAAGTCCTTTTAACTAGATCTCTGGCGAAGATGTAGAAGCACTTTATGGGACTGTAAATTTCATGTTGAACAGTCTTCGTGAAATACACATCTCTCCTACACACAAGCTGTTCTCTCCATATCAATCATGGCCCCTGCAAGTAATGTTTCACAAATATTCTGTAAATCACAGAAAACTCCATGATAATGTGAAATATGACTTTCACTTGTCTGTTAGACAAAAGAATCACACATGCCTCTCTCCCATCAGCACTAACATTTGTTATGGATAATAACACTTTCAATCACAACTATTTTTGGAAAACAGGTTTATCTTAAACCTTCCCTCCCCCCACTGAAAATACTCTCCCAAGGACACAGACTCCTACAAACCACAGCCCATTAATCCAACTATGGAATGGGAACATTTTCTTCCCACTAACTTTTTTTTAAGTTGTTTTTAAGAGTTAGTGTAAAAGCCCGAGGTACAAGGTTAAGGAGCACTTTAACTTAGGTGATTGGCATAAGAGGGAGGCCATGTCTCTCAAGACCTCAAGCCTCTGACCCTGTATGAAGTAAGCCACAAGAGAGGCCCAGATTTTGTTTGTTTCTTGTTTTTCTTTTTTTAATTTTTGTGTTTTTTTAACACAGTCTCACTCTGTCGCCCAGGCTAGAGTGCAGTGGCGCGATCTCGGCTCACTGCAACCCGCCTCCCGGGTTCAAGGGATTTCTCCTGCCTCAGCCTCCCAAGAGCTGGGATTACAGGTGCCTGCCACCACGCCCAGGTAATTTTTTGTATGTTTAGTAGAGACAGGGTTTCGCCATGTCAGCCAGGTTGGTCTCAAACTCCTGACCTCAGGTGATCCACCTGCCTGGGCCTTCCAAAGTGCTGGAATTATAGGCATGAGTCACCACGCCCGGCCTTGGCAAGCACTTTTATCTCAGCTGGATGCTCTGGTCTTTTAGTTGCTGGCATCAGTAGGGACGCCAAAGAGCTAAAATTTTAGTTCTTAAAGAGCAGACATTTAGCACACTGATATTCTTAATCCCATTACACTCCAGCTAGAGCCTCCCTGTTCAAGCAGCAGGTGACCAGTTCTAGAGTATATTTTGCGCATAACTACATCCATTTGCATGATAAAGCCACACCCTGCCTGCAGTTGATTGCTAGAAAAATAATGGAGTTGCATGATTCTAAACATTCCGGTAACCTGTCTCTTTTCCCTCCCTCTGTAGCCAACTTCAGGACTGATTGATCATGACTTCTATAAAGGAGCAGGCAGCAATTAGCAGGCTCTTAAGTTTTTTACAGGAGTGGGACAACGCTGGCAAAGTCGCAAGGAGTCACATCCTCGACAAGTTCATTGAAACCAACCAAGGCAAGACTGCCCCTGAACTGGAGCAGGAGTTTTCCCAGGGAGCCAGTTTGTTCCTGGTACGCTTGACCACCTCGCTTAGAATCACGTATCCTTTACTGAACAGAAAAAAAAAAATTAGGCACCGGGCACGGTGGCTCACGCCTGTAATCCCAGCACTTTGGGAGGCCAAGGTGGGCAGATCACAAGGTCAGGAGTTCGAGACCAGCCTAACCAACATGGTGAAACCCTGTCTCTACTAAAAATACAAAAATTAGCCAGGCGTGGTGGCAGGTGCCTGTAACCCCAACTACTCAAGAGGCTGAGGCAGGAGAATCACTTGAACCCGGGAGGCAGAGGTTGCAGTGAGCCGAGATCATGCCACTGCACTCCAGCCTGGGCAACAGAGTGAGACTCTGTCTCAAAACAAACAAACAAACAAAAATTAGGCAGCCTTCAAAAATGAAAAGGAGAGGAGATTGTCAAAGGGGTTTTCTCTTGATTCTGATATTTTAGAACAGACATCTGGTGTTTAAAAAAAAGTGATAAAAAAAAAATCCTTAGAGTCAAGAACTCTCTCAGCTTCCTGTGTTCCCAACCTATAATTGTATTTCTTTCTCACCCCTAACCTCTTTTGCTCCCATCAGAGTTGAAGTAGGTATACCTTCTGTCTAGGGCTAATCCTCTATTTGTACTGCACTTGAACCCTTTCCTATCTCCTTATTCTTTCTCTCCTATAGCTTTCACCTTTGCCTCATAACCAGCGTTTTTTCAGCATTTATATATGCTGAAATCTCTTCTACTTTAAAAAATAAAATTGAATCCCTGTTTCAAATCTATATTCCACCCAACCCCAATTTCTGCCCTTCATGGTGAAGCTTCTTTTGTTTGTTTGTTTATTTGAAACAGAGTCTCTCTCTGTGGCCCAGGCTGGGGTGCAATGGCACAATCTCAGCTCACCGCAACCTCTGCCTCCCCAGTTCAAGTGATTCTCCTGCCTCAGCCTCCTGAGTAGCTGAGACTACAGCCATGTACCACCACACCTGGCTAATTTTTGTATTTTTAGTAGAGACAGGGTTTCACCATGTTGGCCAGGCTGGTCTCAAACTCCTGACCTCAAAATGCTGGGAGTACAGGCATAAGACACCGCGCCCAGTGAAGCTTCTTGAAAAGGTTGTTGAGGGGCGGGGCGCGGTGACTCACGCCTGTAATCCCAACACTTTGGGAGGCCGAGGTGGGCGGATCACCTGAGGTCAGGAGTTTGAGACAGCCTGGCCAACAAGGGAAACCCCGTCTCTACTACAAATACAAAACTTAGCTGGGCATGGTGGCACATGCCTGTAATCCCAGCTACCCGGGAGGCTGAGGCAGGAGAATCATTTGAACCCGGGAGGCGGAGGTTGCAGTGAGCCAAGATCGCGCCATTGTACTCCAGCCTGGGCCACAGAGACAGACTCCATCTCAAAACATTTTTTAAAAATTATAAAAATAAAGGTTGTTGAGTCTCCCTGTCTCCACTTCCTCTCCTCCCTTTTCTCCACTTGCTGCCATCTGACTTCGGTGCCTCCCACTCCACTGATGCAGGTCTTGCTAAGGTTACCCATGTTTTTCCAGTTGCAAAACCCAGGGACTGCATCCTCAGTCCTTATAGGTGACCTCTCAGTGGCATTTGTCAATCAACCTTTCCCACTTCTCAAAACACTCCTGGTTTCTCTGATACCGATTATCTTGGTGTCTATGCATTTCCCGCTCTTCTTCAGCCACCCCTTAAATGCTGTTCCTTGGGATTCCATCCTCGTCCCTCTTCTCTACTCACTCTCAGATTCTCCCTGAGGGACTAGTTCATTGTCAAGATTCAACACCACTCTTGTATGAGGGCTTTCAAATAAGTATCCCTGCCCAAATTTCTCTCTTGAATCTGAGTTCCATACCTATATATCCAACTATTCCATACCCATATATCCATCTTCACTCATATGCCACAAGATGAGTGTCACATATCTGACTTAGTAAACTAGGGGAATATGGTGCCATTATGTGGAAGAGAACATAAGAAGAGGAGTAAGCTTGAGGGTAGATAAGCTTGTTTTGGGACATGTTGAGTTTGAGATGTCTGTGCTCAGGATCCCTGGAGGCAGGTCAAGGCTAAAGACAGATCTGGTCACCGTCAAGGTGATAGTTCAAGTTATAGGAGGATTTGAGGATATTCCTGCTCTGTGTGCCCATAGCACTCTACAGATTTATCTCAGACCCTTTTATTGTATATTTCTGTCCTTGCCTGAACCCTCTCGCCTTCTCTAAACCCCTTCCTTGACCCATGCACAGTGACTTACACCTATAATCCCAGCTACTTGGGAGGCTGAGGAGGGAGGATCACTTAGGCCTTGGAGTTTGAAGCTGCAGTGAGCTATGATCACACCGCTGTGTTCTATCCTGGGCGATGGAGCAAGACCTCATCTCTATAAAAATAAATAAACCCCCTCCTTATTTGACCAACTCCTACTCTATTATTCAGGTCTCAATTTAAACATCACTTTCTCAGGAAGCCCATTTCTGAGTCCCAGGCTAGCTTAGGTTCCCTTCTTATATATATTCATAGACTTCCTCTGCCTTAATAATCATAACATTTTATTGTTATTACCTGCTTAATATCTCTCTTTCCCCCCACTGGATTTTAGATCCAGTGGGCAAGAATCGCATCTGTTCTACTTATCTTTATATTTCTAACATGTAGCACAATGCCTGGCACATGTTTGCTGAGTAGAGGAATGAATGACCCAGCATCTGCAGCTGGGAAGAATTAAAGGTTTAAGTAAACACTGCTCTCTTTCTTACATTTAAGTTATTGATAAAATTATTTTTCAGACTCAGGCCTGTAACACAGGCCAAAGGGAATAACCATGGAATACATCTGTAGGTTTACCCAAATGTTCTTTTTTTGTTTGTTTGTTTGTTTGAGACAGGGTCTTCCTCTGTTCCCCAGGCTGGAGTACAGCAGCACAATCATAGCTCACTGCAGCCCCAAACTCCTGGAGACTCAAAGGATCTTCTCACCTCAGCCTCCCAAGCAGATAGGACTATAGGCGTGCACCACCACACTCAGCTAATTTTTCTGTTTTTAAAATTTTTTTAGACACGGGGTCTTGCTATGTTGCCCAAGCTGGTCTCAAACTCCTGGCCTCATGCGATCTTCCCACCTTAGCCTCCCAAAGTGCTGGGACTACAGGTGTGAGCCACCACACCCAGTCTGTTCTCAAATATTATTGTGCATAAAAGAGGTTTAAAATGCAGATTACCAGTTACCTATCCACCCACACTCCCAAGGTTCTGCTTTAGTAGATTGAGGGTGGAACCCTGGACCCTTATTTCTAACAAGTACTCTGTGTGGCTGTAGTGCCAGTGGTCCCCGGGTTATGCTTTGAGAAACATTGCTGCCTATAACCTGGCTCCTGTCCCCACAACTCATGACACTAGCCTCACCAAGTCCCTAGCTTTGTGGCCAAATCTAGAGTTCCTTTTTCCTTCCTTGTCTTACTGAACAATATTTTCCACTTGGCCACAGGGTGAGATGAGTAAGCCAGGGTGGTACAGGTGCAGGGTCAGATCCTGTCTATTTAACACTGTGATGTCTTATTCATCTCATCATGGATTTGTTGTTGTTGTTGTCTGAGACAGAGTCTCACTCTCACTCTGTCACCCAGGCTGGAGCACAGTGGTGCCATCACAGCTCTGCAGCCTCAACCTCCCGGGCTTAAGCCATCCTCCCACCTCAACCTCCCAAGTGGCTGGGACTATAGGCATGCACCACCACATCCCCAACTAATTTTATTATGTTTTTGTAGAGACAGGATCTTGCTGTTGCTGTTTCCCAGGCTCATCTCAAACTCCTGGGCTCAAGCAACCCTCCCACCTTGACCTCTCAAAGTGCTGGGATTATAAGTGTGAGCTACCATGTCTGGCCCATCATGGACTTTTTATATTAATTTGATTGTTTTAAATAGTGCATTGAAATATTATGTGATTACTGAGTTTTTTGGTGCCCCTTTTAATTTCAGACCCCAAGCAAGTGCCTCCCTCACCTCACCCTAGTCCTGGCCTTGCTTGACCACTGCCCCCTCTTAAGCTGTCCTCTCTTCTACCTTTTCCCGCTGTTTCTCAGTTGCTATTGCAGGATCTCTCCCACTCCAATCCCCCACTTAAATGTCAGTGTGTCTGAGCATTCTGTGCTTTTTTACTTGGTCATTGCACTTATTACATTAGGCATTACATCATTCTTCTTCATTTCTCAAGTGCCAATCATAGTGCCTAAAATTTAGTGGGTACTCAGTCAGTGCTTACTAAATGAATGAACCATGCTTTTACTGAACAGTTGTAGATTCAGTGTTCTACACCTAGAATTATTCATAATTCCCTAACTTTTTGCAGCCTTGTCGTACAACAGATAAAATAGACTGCGTGATGTGATAACAGTGTTTTGAATTAGCAAACCCACTTCTCCTACTCAGCCCTCCAGTTATGGTGGATTTTGGAGGAAAACAAGTCAATATAATAGCATCACAGCATCATTATTTTTTGCAAAATTGACTACCACATAGTCCCAATAAGCCTAAACCCTTTTTTCAACCTTGAACTTTCAGAATAGATCAGTAAAACTAAGGATTTATGTATTAAATGATAAAATTAGTTACCATTTATTGAGTCTTTTTCTTTTTTTCTTTTTTTTTTTTTTTTTTGAGACAGAGTCTCACTCTATTGCCCAGGCTGGAGTGCAGTGGTGCAATCTCGGCTCACTGCAACCTCCGCCTCCCAGGTTCAAGCGATTCTCCTGCCTCAGCCTCCCGAGTAGCTGGGATTACAGGCATGCACCACCGTGCCCAGCTAATTTTTATATTTTTAGTAGAGACGGGGTTTCACCATGTTGTCCAGGCTGGTCTTGAACTCCTGACCTCAAGTGATTCACCCTCCTCAGTGCTGGGATCCCAAAGTGCTGGGATTACAGGTGTGAGCCACTGGGCCCAGCCTATTGAGTCTTTTTATGTTCTAGGCACTGAGATATATACTGTACAAATATTATGTCATTTGGGCCTAACACCCAGCCTAATAGGTGATTGGTATTATTCCATTTTATAGATAAGAAAGATGAGCCTTGAAAAGGTTGAGTAATTTACTAGCACATGGTAGAGATAAAGTTAGAACCGGGTGTCTGTCCGAAAGCCTATACACCATCATGTCTCCTACTCAGTGGACCGTGCAGACCACAGCTCCACCTGCGACACCACACTGGGAGTTCATCTGCAAAGCGCCCTCCCTCCATTTGTCTACAAGCCAGAAGGCCTAACAGTAAGAGTTAGAATCCTAGTCAGACTGCCTAGGTTCAAATCCCGGTTCCAGCAGTTCACTGTGGGACCTTGGACAAGTTATTGACCTGAGATTGTTACCTCATGTTACTCAGGAAGTAAATGGAAATGCTAATAGCACCCACTGGAGGGCCATGGTGAGGATTATTTGAGACAATGCAAGCAAAGCAGTTAGCACAGTGCCCCGCACACAATAGGAGCTGGTACTTGTTAGCAACTGCTGATCTTGTGGCCCCAACATTGCTCCTTCATCCCCTGTTCTCTAGATCCAGGACTCAAACCATGTGTTCTGGAACTAATTCCTGGAAATAATAGACCAGAAATATGTATAGTGAGTGACTATGAAAACAAGACTAGCTGGGTGTGGTGGCTCACGCCAGTATCTCAATACTTAAAGGGAGGCAGAGGCAGGAGGATCGCTTGAGCCTAGAAGTTCAAAACCAGCCTGGGCAACATAGCAAAACTCCATTCTCCACAAAAAGGAAGAAAAAAACAAACAAAAAATAAAGCTGGCATGGTGGCTCACCTCTGTAATCCCAACACTTTGGAAGGCTGAAGCAGGAGGACTGCTTGAATTTACAAGTCCGAAACTAGTCTGGGCAACATAGCGAGACCCCTGTCTCTACAAAAAATACAGAAAAAAAATAGCTGGGTATGGTGGCACGTGCCTGTAGTCCCGGCTACTCAGGTGACTGAGACAGGAGGATTGCTTGAGCCCAGGAGTTCAAGCCTACAGTGAGCTGTGATTGCACCACTGTGCCCCAGCCTGGGCAACAGAGTGAGACCCTATCTCAAAAAAAAAAAAAAAAAGACTAGCCCAGGACAGAGGAAACAGAAGGTGACAGAAACAAAAGTTGGCCAGCCTAGCCTGAAGAAAAAGGGGAGAATGCACTGAGGAAGGAACAGGGGCAGAAGTTGAGGGAGCAGGGTGGGGACAATGTAGGAATAAAAAGACCACCGTGTGGGCTGCTGCCTGGCCCCAACTATGGCAGCAAGAGGCAGGGGAGCCTGGCTCCAGAGCCAACACTATTTTTGCAGTAAAGAGCCTTTCCTAATGAGCCAATCTGTCTCTACTTCTATTGGCATCCTGGGAACCAGGGTGCAGCAGAGATAATTTGCTTCACACACCCCCCGCCCAAACAAAGCACCATTACCTCCAAACCATTACATTAGCCTTTATCAGCCTTGGAAGCTCTCAGTCATCCTCCATGAGCTGCAGTAATTTCAGCTAATTTCTTAAGTGTTCTAAGAGCCTCTGATGTGTTATGAGCCTAGTAATTGTTGACTGGTTCCTTTTCTGTTGTGGCTTGATTTCATACCTTGTATCTGAGCTGATGCGTGCTTTGGGTACTTTATTATAATGAGGCTTTTTGCAAAGACTCACATTAAAAAATAACATTAAATACTGAGGTTGTTTTAAATCAGAGTTTAATTTTTCCACCATCTCCTATTATTCTTATTAGGAAGCCAATTCTTCATAAGGATAGTGACCTCCAGTGTAAAACTTTGAACAAGTACAAAAATTGAGAATTAATGATGAAGCTGGTTCTTTTTAGGGAAATCTAAGAATGAGGCACAAAGTCATGAACTATGCTGACACCAAGGATGCAATGGGCATGGCTTAGAGAGCTTTGGGATATTGACCCCCAGCCTTCTCCAGGGACCCTTAATTCATCAGAGCCTCCTTGTTCCCTAGAAAGCCTGTAAGAGCCAAGGTGGCTGAACTGCCACAGAGGAGCTTCCTGGAGAACAGTGAACAGCCAGCACCCTCTTCCCCCAACCCTGTGTGTACTGCCACTTCCCCTTCCGCTGGTAGCTCCTCTCAGGGTAAAGAGGCACAGTTCAGCTACTTGGCCACCCTGGGCCCGGGGTGGTACCAGAGATCAGGCACGGGCTCTGGCTTCTGTGTGAAAAACCACCCTGAAACTCACTCTTTAACGTGTCATACAGCTATATGACTGACTCATGTTTAGAAAAGCTTCTCAGGTCCATTGGCATCTTCTTATCAGCTGTAAGCAGGTGAGTTCTGTTCTAGCGTGATTCTGGGGGTCTCAGTGGCATCTCAGGCTCATGATGTCTTTGGCATTCACACCACCCAGGGCCACGGATTCCTGTTAGCAGTGGGTTCCTTGTAGCTCTTGGGATGGGCCCAGAGGTAATGTCCACCGGGCTCCTGCTCTAGTTGCTCCCCCATCCCTTTCTCTCCAGTGGCGCTTCACTAGTCAGCACCCTCTCGGTTGTGAATTACAGAAAACCAACTCATATTGGACTCAGAAAAAGGAAAATTAGTGGCTCACTTAACTGGAAAAACCCAGAGGGTAGAAATACATATTTCAGCCCTAACTAGATCCAGGGCTCAAACAATGTCATCAGTACTTGGCCTCCTTCTCTGTCTTTTCCCCCATTTCTGTCTCTTCTCCTCTGTGTTCATAGACCTCTGTATGCCATGGTCCTCAGGAGCTCTAGACATACCAAAAACAGAGCAGATCCTTTCCACAGCTTCCCAAGAAAGTCCCAGGCTTTGAGCCTCATTGGACCAATTTAGGTCCCATGCCCAGCCCCAAACGAACTTCTGCAGTCAGAAGGGTGACATACCCTGTCACCTCCTCACCCCACCAAAACTACATGGCCCATGAGTGGCAGAGGGGTGATTCCCCAAGTGACAGTTGAGGTGGTATTACAAGAAGAAGAAGAGATGCTGGAATGGCAAAACCAAGAACTGTCCCTAGTATGTAATTCCAGTCTTTCCTGCTGGAAGGAAGAATTTCCACACTCGTATCACTTTACCTATGGACATTTCCTGGATAGGAGGGCAAAGTATGTAAAGAGGGGACCTTGGGATCTCTTTGAAAGCTCAGTGCAAAGGAACTTGACAAGAGTTTTATTTCTACTTTTCTATCCCTCTGGACAGTAATCGGTACCTTATAGAATTTCTTGAGGTTGGAGGTGTCCTAACCCTCTTGGAAATACTTGGGCTAGAGAAGATCAAGGAGGAGGCCAAGAAGGAATCTGTCAAACTACTTCAGGTTATTGCGAACTCTGGCAGGACATACAAGGAACTCATTTGTGAAAGCTATGGTGGGTACTGTGTGTGACAAGATGTGTCTCCCTAGGGGCCTGAATGACATGGTGGCAGAACCCACCACTGCTATAGGAAAAACACATCATGAAACTGGTTGAACAGGAAGCTTTTTGTGCTCCTGTCCATGTCACCACTGGAAGACCCAGATTTATGATTCTCCTGATTCATCATTTGCTCACATTTTTCAGTAGTGGTTTTAGAAATACTTCTCCTTTTTAAATATATCCTCTTTCAGGCATCCATTCAAAGATTTGTTGAGCTGTGGCCCAATATCTTTTGTGAAATTGAGTTATGAGGCCGGGCGCGGTGGCTCACACCTGTAATCCCAGCATTTTGGGAGGCCAAGGCAGGAAGATCACCTGAGGTCAGGAGTTTGAGACCAGCCTGACCAACATGGAGAAACCCCGTCTCTACTAAAAATACAAAAAAATTAGCCTGGTGCAGTGGTCGGGGCCTGTAATCCCAGCTACTTGGGATGCTAAGGCAGGAGAATCGCTTGAACACAGGAGGCAGAGGTTGTGGTGAGTTGAGATCACACCATTGCACTCCAGCCTGGGCAACAAAAGTGAAACTCCATCTCAAAAAAAAAAAAAAGAAATTGAATTATGAATAACTCAAGAAATAAAATTGAAGGCCAGACGCAGTGGTTCACACCTGTAATCCCAGCACTTTGGGAGGCCAAGGCGAGTGGATCACCTGAGGTCAGAATTTGAGACCAGCCTGGCCAACATGGCAAAACCCCCTCTCTACTAAAAATACAAAAATTAGGCCAGGCGCGGTGGCTCACGCCTGTAATCCCAGCACTTTGGGAGGCAGAGGCAGTCGGATCACGAGGTCAGGAGATCAAGACCATCCTGGCTAACACGGTGAAACCCCGTCTCTACTGAAAATACAAAAAAAAATTCAAACGCATGGTGGCACGCACCTGTAATGGCAGCTACTTGGGAGGCTGAGGTGGGAGAATCGCTTGAACCCGGGAGGTGGACATTGCAGTGAGCCGAGATCGCGCCACTGCACTCTAGCCTGGGCTACAGAGCAAGACTCCGTCTCAAAAAAAAAAAAAAAAAAAAGGAAATAAAATAAATTTGAAATAAAATTATTGAATACCTACTGTGTGCTAGGTATATGCCAGGTGCTAGGGATACAAAAATGAATACAATATAATCCCTGTCCTCAGACAGTTTAGAGTCTGGTGAGAAAAGTAAATAATATAGTTTTTATTTTTTTCTTTTTTGAGACGGAGTCTCACTCTATCGCCCAGGCTGGAGTGTGGTGGCGCAATATCAGCTCACTGCAACCTCTGCCTCCTAGGTTCAAGCAATTCTCATGCCTTAGCCTCCCAAGTAGCTGGAATTACAGGCATGCGCCACCATGCCTGGCTAATTTTTGTTATTTTTAGTAGAGACGGGGTTTCGCCATGTTAGCCATGGCTGGTCTCAAACTCATGAGCTCAAGCGATCCACCCACCTCGGCCTCCCAAAGTACTGGAATTACAGGCATGAGTCACCGCACCCTCAATAATTTTAATATAGTCCATGAAGTGAGGCATGTAAAAGAGATGCCATCCCCCACATCTCCCTTTTTCCTTTTCTTTTTCTATTTTTTTTTTTTTTTGAGTTGGAGTCTCGTTCTGTAGCCCAGGCTGGAGTGCAGTGGCACGGTCTCAGCTCACTACAACCTCCACCTCCCGGGTTCAAGCGATTCTCCTGCCTCAGCCTCCCCAGTAACTGGGACTACAGGCGCGTGCCACCAGACCCAGCTAATTTTTGTATTTTTAATACAGACAGGGTTTCACCATGTTGGCCAGGCTGGTCTCGAACTCCTGAACTCAAGCCATCCACCTGCCTTGGCCTCCCATAGTGCTGGGATTACAGGCGTGAGCCACAACGCCTGACGAACATCTCCCTTTTTCAAAGCACTTCCCACCCTGCATTCTCATCAAGGTTCTCCTGCCTGTCTACCCCATGGCCTCTCGAAGCCTCAGTGTCTTCATCCATAAAGCGGGAGAAACACCTTCCTCTTGGTATGGTTTCTGGGATTAAGTGAATTAGTATTTGTAAAACCATTTTGCAAACTGCTGAGTGCTATACAAGTGTTATCATGGCCGGGCGCCGTGGCTCACGCCTCTAATCCCAACACTTCGGGAGGCCAAGGTGGGCGCATCACGAGGTCAGGAGATAAAGACCATCCTGGCTAACACTGTGAAACCCTGTCTCTATTAAAAATACAAAAATTAGCCAGGCCTGGTGGCACACACCTGTAGTCCCAGCTACCTGGGAGGCTGAGGCAAGAGAATCGCTTGAACCTGGGAGGCAGAGGTTGCAGTGAGCCGAGATCGCACCACTGTACTCCAGCCTGGGCAACAGACAGAGACTCCATCTCAAAAAAAAAAAAAAAAAAAGAGTTATCATATAGCAATAAAAAAATGCATGTTTTATTTGTAAATTGTGCAGAGCCATTTTAAACTTTAAAACAGATTTTGACATGCCTATGCTGAAATAAAATCCTCCAGCCACATAACTCTAAGGTAAACAAGACAGTGATGCAACATGAGAACCAGGCCTCAATTTTGCTTTGGTTGAACAGGCTTGGTTGAAGAGCTTTTAATCCTATTCATATTATATAATCTTGAGTGGGGATTTTTTCATAAATCCCTTCCAATTTAGCATTTCCTCTCTTCTTTGCTCAGGTGTACGATCCATAGCAGAATTTTTGGCAAAGTCTAAGTCAGAAGAGACCCAGGAGGAAGTGCAGGTTCTGTTGGATTCTTTGGTCCACGGCAATCCCAAGTACCAAAATCAAGTGTATAAAGGTCTAATAGCTTTGCTGCCCTGCGAGTCCCCAAAAGCCCAGCAGCTGTCCCTGCAGACTCTCAGGACTGCCCAGGTGAGCCAAGGCTGCATGCTCCTGTGGTTCTGATTCAGATGCAATAATCTTACAATTACCTTCCGCAGTTGCTCTCCACACAGGCATGAGAAACGGAGCTCAGCCTCCCACTGCATGTCTGTTGTTCAATCAGCGTTACTTCCAGAAGGCCAAGGTAGGGCAGAGAGTTCATGCCTCCCAGCAGAGTGATTTGTCCTGTTTACTTAAGGATCAGAAAGATGTTGGCAGACTTAAAAGTGGTTGAGACAAGCAACAAGGATGATGAAAGGGCTGTAGAAAAGATTAAAGGAGTCGATTTGATAGGGAAAGAATAATGGTGCATTTGTAGACAGCATGTAAGTGAAGAGGCCAGATCTCCAGTGCTGGGGAAGGCTTTTTTTTTTTTCTTGTTGGCTTTTGCCCTTCTCTCAGACAGTACCCTCGGATGCAAGTGAAAACCGAATTTGGGGCACGGTGAGCATACGAAGACATCGTACCTAGTAAAGAGGGGATAGAGGCTTAAAAAGTGGCTTTAAGATGAACCATCAGACCGGGTGCAGTGGCTCAGGCCTGTAATCCCAGCACTTTGGGAGACTGCAGTGGGTGGATCACTTGAGGTCAGGAGTTTGAGATCAGCCTGGCCAACATGATGAAACCCTGTCTCTACTAAAAATACAAAAATTAGCTGGGCATGGTGGTGCACACCTGTAATCCCAGCTACTTGGGAGGCTGAGTTCAGAGGATGGCTTAGCCTGAGAGGCAGAGGTTACAGTGAGCCAAGATCATGCCACTGTACTCCCTGGGCAAAAAAGTGAGACTCGTGTCAAAAAAAAAAAAAGGCAAATTCAAAAATAATAATAACTGGCTGTGGTGGCATGTGCCTATAGTCCCAGCTGCTCGGGAGGCTGTGGTGGGAGGATCGTGTGAGCCCAGGAGTTCGAGGCTGCAATGAGCTATGATGGCACCACTGCACTCCAGCCTGAGTGATAGAGTGAGACCCTGTCTCTAAAACAATTTTAAAAACAGATCAGATTATCATTATTATCTTATTTCCACAGTTCCCAGTTATTAAGTGCCTCATACATGCCAGCCACTGTGTTAGGGGCTTATCTACACGCTCTCTCTTAGTCTTCACTATAGCTGACGGAGGCAGATACTATTCTCCCTTTTTCAAAGATGGTGGAGCTGAGCTCAGGAAAGTGTGTTAAGTGACTTACCCAAGGCCGCATGCTAAGTAAAAGGTGTTTACCAATCGAGAATTTAAATCCACCCTCTCCTACGTCCTTATTCTTTCCACATACCACTCTGCCTCTTCAAAAAAGGGCAATGACAGGGCCGGGCGCAGTGGCTTACTCCTGTAATCCCAGCACTTTGGGAGGCCGAGGTGGGTGGATCATGAGGTCAGGAGTTCAAGATCAGCCTGGCCAGCATGGTGAAACTCTGTCTCTACTAAAAATACAAAAATTAGCTGGGCGTGGTGGTGTGTGCCTGTAATCCCAGCTACTCGGGAGGCTGAGGCAGGAGAATTGCTTGAATCCAGGAGGCGGAGGTTGCAGTGAGCCAAGATTGTGCCACTGCACTCCAGCCTGGAGACACAGCGAGACTCCATCTCAAAAAAAAAAAAAAAAAAGAAAAGAAAAGAAAAAGAAAGAGGGCAATGACAGTGATAGAAGAAAAATAGGGTTGGAAAATCAAGGGAAAAGAGTTTCCGTAAGGAGGACATGATCAGCTGGGGTCAGATGCAACAAAGTCATTCAGTAAGGGTAGAATAGAAAGATAGTCCCAGCAGGAAAAGTTTTGGTGAGTTAGGAGACTGTCTATGGCAGGAAAAATTAAATCGCAGCAGCCCATCAAAGGATGAATAGGGGATGAAGAAGTGGCTTCTCTTGGGAGGCTTAGATGTAAAGGGAAAAAAGAGCAATAGCAAAGGAGAAGACAGAGTTGAAGGACGATGTTGTTAAATATGGATGAGCTTGAGGATGTTTAATGCTAAAAGAAAAGAACCAATGCATGGGTAAAGTTTGAGGAGAGAGGAAAAAGGGGGCTGTCTGATGGGATGAGGTTCCTGAGGAAGAGAAGATTTTAGGATCTTGAATGAGTTCCATTCTCCTTGCCCTGTGTCCTCTCTCCCCCAATCAGAGTAGCCGGCCTTGTTCCTGCACCTCTAGCAGGTAGCCTCATTTAATGCCTCCTGAGCTAGAGAGTTCAGTGGCAGCCTCAGCCTAGGCCCAGTGACTCACCACTGCCCTCCCTCCCTCTCCCCATTCACCCAGGCACCTGGCTGTTTGGAAGTCTGCGTTTCCTTTCTAACAGGTAGACAAGATCTAAAGACTAACCACCTTGGGCGGGCACAGTGGCTCATGCCTGTAATCCCAGCACTTTGGGAGGCTGAAACGGGTGGATCACTTGAGGTCAAGAACTCGAGACCAGCCTGGTCAACATGGGGAAACTCCGTCTCTACTAAAAAAAAAAAAAAAAAAATTAGCTGGGCATGGTGGCGGGCACCTGTAATCCCAGCTACTCAGAGGCTGAAGCAGAAGAATCGTTTGAGCCCAGGAGGCGGAGGTTGCAGTGAGCCGAGATCGCGCCACTGCACTCCAGCCTGGGTGACAGAGTGGGAATACATCTTTTTCTTTTTTCTTTTCTTTTTTTTGAGACGGCTCTGTTTCCCAGGCTGGAGTGCAGTGGCGCGATCTCGGCTCACTGCAAGCTCTGCCTCCCGGGTTCACGCCATTCTCCTGCCTCAGCCTCAGGAGTAGCTGGGACTACAGGCGCCTGGCACCACGCCCAGCTAATTTTTTGCATTTTTAGTAGAGACAGTGTTTCACTTTGTTAGCCAGGATGGTCTGGATCTCCTGACCTCGTGATCTGCCCACCTCGGCCTCCTAAAGTGCTGGGATTACAGGCGTGAGCCACCGCACCCGGCCGGGAATCCATCTTTAAAAAAAAAAAAAAGACTAACCACCTTGTCCTGTTGTCTGTCTGGTCAGCCAATCATTGGGACCACACACCCCAGCATCGTGGACTGCGTGCTGAAGGTGCTGGGCACGATGCACCTGGAAGTCCAGTATGAAGGTAGGGAGCCTCCAGATTGCAGAAGGGGGCACCGAGAGCCAGACATATCAGCTCTCAAAAGCTTTCTCTTAGTCACAAAGAGCCTTGATGTTGAGTGTCTGAGACAGCCTTGGCAGATGGAAGATGCTGGTTCAGAAAATGTCAGTCACACCTATGCCTTGCGTCAACCACAGGGTGCCTAGGGTGCCTGAACGGTTACGAGAATCTGCCTGGGTCCAGAGCTGGCTCTGGCTCCCAGTCTTATGTGATGCTTCCTGGCTAAACAGAAATCACCCTGAGGAATGTCCTTCTTCTAAGAAACTAAACTGAATAGTCGTAGTATTTGGTTGGTTGTTTTTGCTGGGTTTTTTTTTTTTGAGGCAGGGTCTTGCTTTGCTGCTCAGGCTGGAGTGCAGTGGTACCATCATAGCTCACTGTGGCCTCAAACTCCTGGGCTCAAGATATTCTCCCTCCTCAACCTCCCAAGTAGCTAGGACCACAAGTGTGCACTACTACATCCATCTAACTTTTTAATTTTTTGCAGAAACGAGGTCTCACTATGTTGCCCAGGCTGGTCTTGAACTCCAGGCCTCAAGCGATCCTCTCACCTCAGCCACCCAAAGTGCTGGGATTACAGGCATGAGCCACTGCACCCGGCCAGGAGCTTTTATTTATTGAGAACTTTTTTTTTTTTTTTTTTGAGACGGAATCTCGCTCTGTCATCCAGGCTGGAGTGCAGTGGCGCAATCTCAGCTCACTGCAAGCTCTGCCTCCCGGGTTCACACCATTCTCCTGCCTCAGCCTCCCAAGTAGCTGGGACTACAGGCGCCTGTCACCATGCCCGGCTAATTTTTTATATTTTTTAGTGGAGACGAGGTTTCGCTGCGTTAGCCAGGATGGTCTCGATCTCCTGACCTCGTGATCCACCCGCCTCGGCCTCCCAAAGTGCTGGGATTACAGGCATGAGCCACCGCACCCGGCCTATTTATTGAGAACTTCTATGTGCCAGCCACTTTCCATACATCACCTCATTTACTTCTCAAAATAACCATAAGAGGCCAGGCATGGTGGCTCACGCCTGTAATTCCACCATTTTGGGAGGCCGAGGCAGGCGGATCACCTGAGGCCAGGAGTTTGAGACCAGCCCGGCCAACACAGCAAAACCCCGTCTCTACTAAGAATACAAAAAAATTAGCCA